>NC_000009.12:131986366-132300184 GCF_000001405.40 Homo sapiens
GAGGCAGGGTCTTGCTATGTCGCCCAGGCTGGTTTTGAATTCCTGGCCTCAGGTAATCTTCCCACCTCAGCCTCCCAAGTACTGGGATTACAGGCATGAGCCACTGCACACAGCTCCATTTTTTTTTACCTTTCATACAGTATTTTTACTATACATTTACTATGCTTAGGTATGTTTAGATACATAAATACTTACCATTGTCTTACACTGCCTTTAGTACTCACTATGGTACCATGCTGTAGAGGTTTGTAGCCTAGGAGTAACAGGCTACACCTTATAGCCTAGGTGTGCCGTGGGTTCTACCATTTAGGTTTTTGTAAATATATGTTTGCACAATGATGGAAGAGCCTAATGATGCATGACTGTATTTACCTTCTGAAATATTATTCCTGACAATTACTTGGCCTTGGCTGTTTATTTAAACAGACCACTCACTTCACCATTTCTCATCAGAATGTAAGCTAATGAATCGTTACATCCCCAGTGTCTCAAACAGGGTTTGGCACGTAACAGGCAGTCAATAAATATTTGCTGAATGAATGAACTGACTTCGTTGATCCCTTGACTCACTGCATTTTGTCACTGAGTAGTTTTTTAAAGAAAGACTCATGGGCCTTTCCTTGAGTTCATGGATTTTTTTTTTTTTTTTTTTTTTTTTTTTTTTAGAATACTACTATCTTTCTACATAACTTGGTTCAGTATAAAATTATTGGGTCAAACTTTCCCCCAAATTTTGCACTGCTCCACTGCCTCCTGGTATTAAATGACAGCTGTGGAACTGTAATCTTCTGTGATAACTTCCCTTGCTGCACGTTCTCAAAGAGGTTAAGTCCCTTCCTGTGACTGACTAATGCTGGTGCATCTTTTACTAGTTTTAACTTCTTTTTTGTTTCTTTTACTAAGTGTATGAACAGGAAGATTTCAGAATCTGGGGTAACTCTGCCATCTAACATAAAGCCTCCAGAGTATCTGTAGATGTGGAGATGAGAAGGGTCAGAAGTCTCATGCGATGTGGTGTGTCCCTAAAGTAGCAAAGCGGAGTCATTTACTCAATGCGGGGAGGGGGAGCGGTGGGAATGTGGACAAGCAGGATCTTGAGCTCTTTCCAAAGCTGCATAAAACTGAGAGAAACTTCATTCTAAATAGAGTCTGTCTTAAAGAAATCACTACCTCCCACTAAATAATCACACCTGGCAATGCAAGAGATCAAACGGTTATTCAAATGATATTAAGTCAGTCTTTAAGGTATTTCAAAGGCATTCTTATTTTCTTGCAAATTTCCTCAATTTTCTGTCTCCTCTTGCTTTCTATTTACATTATCTTAGCTGTCAGGAGGACAATATTTTGACGCAATAACAGGCAATTAAAATGCTATGGGCAGTCATGAAGAATTATGCGTGAAACTGGTCCTCTCCCTGCTGGAATGGGTACAAGAAAACCTCATTAATTCTACTGGGGCAGTGGGGAAAGCAGTCAAGTAGGAATCAGGACACTGGGGATGGCCCCCGGTTCCTCTCTTAGTTGGGGCGGCTGGCCCTCCCTGGGCCTCAGAGTCTCCAGTTCCACAAAGAGAGTGTGCTCCAAGGTCCAATGCAGCAAAAACTGTCTGAAAAAGCCACAGTCTGTGTCCATTAAGACAAGGACTGGTTTAGGCGATTTTTAGGTTTACAGTTTTTAAAAATGTGAGCTACAAAAATCATTTCCGTAAATACAACAGTCAATAAGTAAAATCATGGTATTAAAAACCTAAAATTGTGAGCTCTTTTGCCTTTTTCAAAATTTCCTATAGCATAGTGGCTACTCAATCTTTTTAATTTCAGAAAACAACATGATATTGAGAAATAGTTTTTGTTAGCTACTTAGCCATGCTTGTCTACAAAGGAATAGTTATTAATGTATCAGTGGTACCTATTCATTAAAGGAGCCATTTATTCTGGCTCTTGCCATTTGAAAAAATAAAAAAAAAGAAGCCATTTATAGCTGACCCTTGAACAACGAGGGTTTGAACCGCATGAGTCCACTTATACTCAGATTTTCTTCTGCCTCTGCTACCCCACAGGCAGCAAGACCAACCCCTCCTTGCTCCTCAACATGAAGACAATGCGGATGAAGGCTTTTATGAGGATCCATTTCCACTGAATGAATAGTAGATGTATTTCCACTTCCTTATGATTTTCTTAGTAACATTTTATTTTCTCTGGCTTACTTTATTGTAAGAACACAGTAATATAATACATATAACATACAAAATATGTGTTAATCAACTACTTTGCTTTTTTTTGCGGGGGGATTGGGGGAGAGACCAGGGTCTTCTTACATTGCCCAGGCTGGTCTCTAACTCCTGGGCTCAACCTTCCCCCTTTGGCCTCCCAAGGAACTGGGATAACAGGCATGCACCACTGTGCCCAGCTAATTGACTGTTTTTGTTATCAGAAAAGCTTCTGGTCAACAGTAGAACAGTAGACTATTAGCAGTTAAATTTGTGGGAAGTTAAAAGTTACATGTGGATTTTTGGCTGCGCCGAGGGTGAACAACCCCTGCATTGTTCAAAGATCAACTGTACTTTACAAACCTAGTTCTTTTTTTAATTTTACTTTAACCAAGTGCAGAACATGTAGGTTTGTTCCATAGGTACACGACTGCCATGGTGGCTTGCTGCACCTACCAACCTGTCATCTAGGCAAACCTAGTTCTGAAGGAGGATCTTCAGAAGTGTGGAGAGAGAAATGGTGCTAGATTTTAAAATATTCATTATCTCACTTAAACTCTGTAACTACTATAAGGTATAAATATTATTATCCCTATTTGTAGATGAAGAAACTAAGGATTATAGCATTATATAAGTGGCTGGTGAATGCTAGAAAAGAACGCTTTTATTTATAACACTTTGAAAGGATCCCACTATTCAGGATTCCTCTTAGAAAACAAGCTAGGAAACAGGTCTGGTTCTAATATTTTGCCTAGAACTTCCCTTTCAGGACCACAGCAGGAGCCTAGGATTTCTCCTAACCTTTTATTCCATGAAAACGTGTCTTGAGAGGCTTCGGCAATAGGTTCTGTGGCTGCTGGACAGGGTCTGATTACCCCCTTTGTAGGTAAGCTATGTATTTTTTAATTGTGGTAAAATATCTGTAACATAATATTTACCATCCTAACCATTTTTAAAAATTGTTTAAAAAACACATAAAACAGTTACCATCTTCACCATTTTTAAACATGCAGTTCACTGGTATTAAGTAGATTCACACTGTTGTGAAACCAGTTGTATTATTTTTAATTTAACTCTATTATGGAAATGTTCGAACATACCCAAGAGTAGAGAGAACCATACAATAAACTTTTGTGAGCCAGCTCCAGCAATTATCCATGTTGCCATCCTGTTTCATGTATCCCTCCCCTCCACATAAACATACTTAAAAAAAAAAAAAGGAACAATGCAAATCCTGGCATCACTATCAATTCGCCTATAACCTACAGCTATGATATAGCTGTACTCAAACACCTGCCGTTAGGAAGCAATGTATCTACCTGGCAAGTCACTGGGCCAGCAGAGCCTTGCTCAAAATACCTTGCTACTGACTATGTACTAGTTAAAATCTAACTTCAGCTTGCAACCAAGGCATTCCAAATTCAGCCACTACCCTCCTATACTGCAGCTTACACACCACCTGGGCTGTTCACTATGGTTCCCCCGCACACAGAACCTGCCCCACTTTAGATCCTTCCCAGACGGTGCTTCCCTGGCCCACCCCCACCACTGCTTCCCCACAGCTTCTCTGTTTGCTGAAAGTCTTTGCTTCCTTCAAAGTCCAGCTCCAGTCTTGTCTGCGAAGGGTCAGGGCCCTTAACAATGCTTTTTCTTCCCATGATTGAGCCCAAAGATACCATGTAATAAATACCTGAGGCTCATCTCCATCAATTTAGTGATGCTCCGAGGAGTCAACCCCTCTGGAACATTCCTTCATCCTCTGTTTTACCTATGAGCCTCTACCTGAATTGTCTCTCTCTGACCAACTCTGAGGTCCTTGTCCTGGGGTCCTGAAATTGCACACACTATTTACATGTTCACAAAAACTATCACTGCCATGAGGGCAGGGATTTGTTTTGTTGTGCAGGCCCAGATCCCTAGTGCCTGGAGGAGTACTCAGAACACTCATTCTGCAGTCATCCCAGAGTGTTTATGGAGCATCCTCAAATAAAACGTTCAGAACCACTGATCCAGTCCTTTTGGACCTGTGGGTTGCTTGCACACCCCACCTGGCCAATGATTTCAGTGTCACCCCAGGAGGATGTGGTCTCTCAGTTCACCCTTGACTCCATGCTCCACATCCTGAAAACCAGTCTTGTCCCAGGAACGTGGGTTCTGACCAGATCTAGGATTCCCATTAGTGCAGCAGCTGTGGCTGAACTGCACCTCCTGGAGGACTGCGGCTCGCAATAATCCCATGGCCCACCTCTATGCAAATCACCAGGAACAGTATTCTCTCCTCATAGTCAAGGGCACATAACACTATGCACTAATCAGATATGCAACGGGAAATCCATAACACTTGTAGTCAATTCATTAATCAATGTAACTGGCATTACAGGGGTAGGGTACGATGAGAAATCTGCGGGGTTCTTGCTGAAAGACAGGACTAGCTATGCTAAAGAGTGGAGCATAGCAAGTCCTGTCTTTTAAAACATAACTGAGAGCACTAAAACAAGAGCCTGTTTTCCCTTCCAAGACAACCTTGACGGTTTCTCATAGCTGCTACTTGTACCCAAATATCTTTGAGGCAGCCATACAAAACAACAGACACTTGCTATGTTAAAGTACAGCTGCGTTTCAAAAAATGCAAGTGCCATCAGGGACCTAAATGCACCTGTGAGAGAGAAATACTCTCAGATACAACTGCTCAGAACTTAATTTTAAAGCAGAGTTATTATTTCTATATTCTCTAACCAAGCCAGGAATTCCTTAGAAAATAGATAGGAACATTCTAATTTCATTAGTTGCTGTAGAAATTCAAAGCCTCTATTTTTCATCCCACTATTAGAAGCAAGAAAAATACCTTTAGCAATTATCCCTGCCCACACCCTACAAAGATGTGAACCAAACTCAATCACTGTAACAGGCAAATCTTTACTGAGCTCTGTAAATGATCTGTCCTCTCATAAAGCTGTGATATTTTTAATCTAATTTCCTGTTTTAAGGCACCACACTTAACATACATAAATAAACAATTTTCAAAATTAAAATACTATGAAACTCAACACAAAATATATAGCATGAAATTTAATTTTTCTTCGAAGGTTTAGGAAGGAACTAATAGTTTTCAGTGTCTTGGAGATATCAATCATTTATTTATTTGTTTGTTTATTTATTTATTTTAGACGGAGTCTCGCTCTGTTGCCCAGGCTGGAGTGCAGTGGCGCAATCTCCGCTCACTGCAACCTCCACCTCCCAGGTTCAAGCGATTCTCCTGCCTCAGCCTCCCGAGTAGCTGGGATTACAGGCGAGCGCCACCATGCCCGGCTAAGTTTTTGTATCTTTAGTAGAGATGGGGTTTTACCACGTTAGCCAGGATGGTCTCGATCTCCTGACCTCGTGATCTGCCTGCCTCAGCCTCCCAAAGTGCTGGGATTAGAGACGTGAGCCACCGCGCTCAGCCACATGAATTATTAATAACCAAGACATTTACCCAAAATGAACTTTGTGTAAGTTCACCTGGTGACATCTGTTAGGACATTTTATTATCCTTCATTGCCCAATTCCCATATTATTTGTTAAGAAAACAATGTCCTTCCACGTGTAAGAAATATGAGAGTGTGTGTACACAGTGGAAAATATCAATGTTGATTATAGGTGACATAATTTTATCTCAGTTTGAACCAATGAGAAAAAAAGGAAAGGAAAGCCTTGTTATCATTTCTTTCACCATTAACAGAATCTTTGAGATGTGAACATGGAAAACATCTCAATTCAAACGGGGATAAAAATCTACAAAATTCCCATCTGTCGATACTGCACCTCTTTTGGTACCTTCATTCATTCATTCGTTGAGATGGGAGTCTCACTCTGTTGCCCAGGCTGGATGGAGTGCAGTGGCGTGATCACAGCTCACTGCAACCTCGACCTCCTGGGCTCAAAGGATCCTCCCTCCTCAGGCTCCCGAGTAGCTGGGACTATAGGCACGTGCCACCACACCCTGCTATTTTTTAAAAAAATTTTTGTAGAGATGGGGATCTAACTACATTGACCCAGCTACTTTTGAACTCCTGGCCTCAAGCAATCCTCCCGCCTTGGCCTCTCAAAGAGCTGGGTTACAGGTATGAGCCACTGCACCTGGCCCAGTACCTACTTTTAAAGAGGAATGCACATATTCATACAAAAGATAACTCTTCAGAGCCCATCTGCCCCATAAGCCTTCCTCCTTGCCCCTTGCTGGAATCCCTGAGAAACTCACCACCCACAATATTCAGCTGGGACATACTACTGCCACTCTAAACAACAATAATTATAATACACAAGCAGCTAGCACTTACTGAGTGATCGCTGTATCACAAACACGGTACTCTCATTCCATTATTATCCCCATTTGACAAATGAGAAGACTAATGGTGAGAGGGGTTGAATAAGATGCCCAAAGGCACACATATGGGGCATGGGTGACCCGGGGTGCAAGCCCAAGAAATCTCACTCCAGAACCTGTTTGTTTAGCCTATGCATCTTTATTTTCATATGCAGGATGTTCCAAATCCCCAGCTTGACTGTAAATTCCTGAGAACAAGGGCTCTCTGTATTTCTAGAGTCTACCACCGTGCCTTACCTAAATCTGCTGGATAAATAACACCATAGTTTAACATCAGTTGTTATTCATGTTTTTTTTTTTTTAAAAAATTCAAGTTTTTCCTTACAGACCCTTATTTACCATGTTGAAAGGCTGTACCAAAAAGAATACTAGGGGAAGGGGGAGAAATGAATACAGGTATTCTTGATCTTAGCCATACAGCAACAGTATCACAGCTGAGGACGAAAGAGGGTGGGAGACACAGAGACGCCTGCTCAGCTCCCCCTCAGGAATGCTACCCAGCTGTGGGAGGACAGTCAACACGTGGGCTCCAGCTGTCAGCTCACGCAGAGTCAGCGTCAGCTGCAGAGAGCCACTTCTTAGAGTTAACACTGATTCTCAGAGACCTGAGGCTTCAGGATGCCCCCGTTCCGAGTGGGGGCACATGGGGAGCAGGTAATAAATGGAGCCCTGGCCAAGGTCTAGTTTACAGTGGATCCATCCACTGGGTCCACAGACCCATCTCATCATGACTAACTGAGACCAACATACAGCAGGTCCTCAAATAATGTTTTGTTCAACACATTTCATTAACATCGATGACAGGAAAAAAAATCCATTCCCAGCTGGGGCCACTGTCTGTGTGGGGTCTGCAGGCTCTCCCCATGTCTGTGTGGGTCTTCTCCGTACACTCTGATTTCCTCCTACATCCCAAAGACATGCACGTTAGGTGAACTGGTATGTCTAAATTGTCCCAGTCTGAGCGGGTGTGTGTGAGTGTGCCCTGTGATGGGATGGCGTCCTGTCCAGGGTTGGTTTCTGCCTGGCACCCTAAGCTGCTGGGATAGCTGCCAGCCACCCAAGGCCCTGAAATGGAACAAGCAGGTAAATAATTATCTTGTTTCTATTAATCTTTCTTAAATGTATGTATAGCTCACATTTACTTCAATGTTTAATATCAGAAGTGTTTTGGTCTTAATTTAGAAGTTTGGTGATGTTTTGCTGTAGGAACTTAACTCTTGTTATTTCAATTAGCCTAGGGTAAAATTAGCCTTGTTATACATTGTTTTGCTTCAAGTCGCAATTCCCAGGAACCTATCGATGATGCTAAATGAGAACTTATTGTATTTGACAATTTCTACAACCACATTAGGTCCTTGGTCTATGGGGTAAGATCTACCAGAGTAGGGAAGGCCGAATGGAAGTCTCTGATACACCCTGCTTCTGCACTGCCTCCCCCACCCCCAATACTGCATTAAAAACCAATATTGCATCCCAGGGCAATGGCAGAGATTAGTGCCACCTGGAAGGATCTAAAGGACGCAGGGGGCAGTGGTCCCACTTTACGTCTGTTTCATTTACCAGCCTGCCCCCTGCAGAAACCAGATGAATCCTGGAGGACTGCAGACCTCTGCGAGCTCAATCAGGCAGGGAGCCCTGATTGCCACCATGGTATCAGATGTGGCATCTTTGCTAGAGCAGAACAATATGGCCTCAGGTCATACAAAGCCATCACTGATTTAGTGAATGCCTTTTTTTCTATCCCAGTCAAAAACAAGACTCAGGAACAGTTCATATTTCCATGAAATAGACAATATACACTTAGAGTTCTGACTTAGGGCAAGTTCTCTTGCCCTTTGTTATAATATATAACACCCATCACAGTAGTCCCAGTGGCCCTCCCCAGCTCATGCCTGTGGTTGCCTGGGGGAATCCTACACGAGCATACGGAGGAAGGGGGAAGTGTCCAAGCTTGGTTTACAGACAGGTCACTCTGGCATGTGGGTAAAAGCCAAAAATCCATGGCAGCTGCATTACAAACTCACTCGGGGTGACAGAAAAGACAGCTGTGAGGGAAAAGCCTCCCAAGAAGTAGGGCTTCAAGCAGTGCCCTTTATATGGGAAAAGCAGCAGCTCAAGGCTAGACTACAGGAAGACTCATGGGCAGCAGTGAGTGGTCTGCTCAGATTGTCAAGGTCCTAGAAGGAAAAAGATTGGAAAGTCAGGACAAGAAAGTATGAGGTATGGACATGTACATGGGCATATGGGGAGGGGACACGAAGGGTGGAAAAGCTTTGTGTCACATGTCATCACCCACCATGGAAAAGGCATTAAACAACCAAGCAGAAAAGTGACCCAACCAGTTGACATCAGCCATCCCATTGTTAGCATGATAGACCCATGAATAAAGTGGCCACAGTGACAGAAACGGACCCAACAGCATGGACTTGCACTTATTAAAGCTGATCTAGTTGCTAATGCCAAAAAATAACCCATCTACCAATGACAGAGACCATCATCAAGTTCCCAAAATGGCACTATTCCTCAAGGAGCACAACCATCAACGTGGTGCAAGTTAATGGACTCCTTCTATCTTGGAAGGCCAGATATTTGTCCAACAGAAATAGACACGCCTTCCAACTAAGGGTTTGCCCTTCTGACTCACAGGGCCTGAGTCAGCACCACCATCCAAGGGCTTAGTGACAATCTTTGAACCAACAGCACTGGATCCCACATAATATTATATCAAATCAAGGAAACCCCTTTCTGTAGTAGGCCCATGATCATGGAATTCATTGATCACATCACATACTACCACCCAGCAGATGTGGTCTAGCCTGCTGAAGGCACAGCTGAAGCACCAGCTTGGAGACACTACTCAGCAAAGATGGGGTATGGGGTACCATCCTCCAGGATGCAGTATATGCACTGAATCAAAGACCTTTTTATGGTGCTCTCCCCTAATAGGAAGAATACTTGGGTCTGGGAGTCAAGGGGAGGAAGCAGGAGTGTCCTCTACACTCCATAATTCCTGATATCCCATGGTAGACTTCAAGCATCCCCCTTCCAGAACTCTGGGCTTTGCAGAGTTAGAGATCCTGGTCTGCAAAGCCCAAGTCTGGATCCCCATACTTTTGCCTGGGAATAGCAGGGATCTCACTGCATTATAAGCTATGGCTGCCACCTGGGCACTTTGGGCTCCTGGTCTAGGGACCAGTAGTCAAAAAGAAGAGTCACCATCTTGCCAAATTGGTTCTGCTCGTAAGAAGCAGGGGCTGCTGTTACACAATGGAAGCAGAGACAAATATTGTGGAGCCTGGGTACCCCTGGATACTCCCTTGCTCGATTTTGACCGTGAATGAAGACATAGCAACTCTGGCCTGAGAAAGGCACAGTGATGAGGGGCTCAGACCTGCCAGGGATGAAGTGCTGGGTCTTGCCACTATGGGAGCCACTGGAGCCGGCAGAGGTCACAGCTAAGGGTGAGCCAAATCTGGAATGGATGTCAAAGGAGAGAGAGAACGAGACTAACTGCAGAGGTGGAGGCTATAGTTGATCTTGATCCCACGAAGCTTCTAAGCTCTCCCTCAGGAAGGGAGGCCCCACTGGACTCCTGGAGGGGCAGCTCCTCAAATGTACGTAGTAGAATTGTAGAAGTAGAACTGAGCAACACAGGATAGCTGAGAAGACAGGGAGACGCAGTGATACATAAGTGTCTGGCAGTGAAGAACACAGCACAGTTGGCCCTTGAACAACATGAGTTTGAACCACACAGGTCCACTTAAATATTGAGATTTTCTTCCACCTCTGCCACTCCTGAGACAGCAAGACCAACCTCCTCCTCCTTACTCTACTCAACATGAAGACCATGAGGATGAAGACCTTTATGAGGATCCACTTCCACTTAATGAACAGTAAATATTTTTTCACTTCCTTATGATTTTCTTAATGACATATTCTTTTCTCTAGATATTTTATTGTAAGAATACAGTATGTAATGCATACAACCTACAAAATATGTGTTAATCAACTATGCCATTGGTAAGGCTATTAGTAGTTAAGCTTTTGGGGAGTCAAAAGTCACGCACATTTTTGACTATGGTGGGGGATGGGTACCCCTAACGCTGTGTTAAGGGTCAACTGTAGTTTAACAGTGGGTATTCATTGTAAAAAATAAAATTAAAATTAAAAGCCAAGTTTTTCTCCTCTGTAAGCCCTTATCTTATCATGTTGAAAGGTTGTACAAATCTGCCGCTTCCGGAGAATAAAGAATTAACTTCCAGCATGCTGGAGCTTAGCCATCTAGTAATAGTATCACAGCTGATGAAGATCAGGGTAGACAAGGAGATGCAATGGCAGATCCTCTTCCAGGAAGAACCTGCTGTCTGGCTACAGGACAGCGATCGACATACAGCCTCCAGCTATCGGCATGTTCAGGGTCAGCCTCTGCTGCAGACAGCTATCTCACCGAGGTCACAGCCTTCCTGGAGCCACCTGCATATGGTGACTGAGTGAGGCAGGGGTACAAAGGCCCAGACTTTTGGCCAACACAGGACAAGGCAGGTAACCCTGCTGCAGAGATCCCCTGGGTTGACCGAGGCGTTGCCAGCCCTGCACTGTAGGCTGCCATCTCCCCCAGCAGTCCTGCTTCCTCCCACTTTCTTTCACAGGGGGTGATCCCTAATAAATATATTGCAGCCCAATTCCAACTCAACCTCTGCTTCCTGAGAACCTAATCCTCTGCCTTGTACTACAGCTGAGACATACAGATTCCGGGTTCTCTGTGCCCAGGTTTGAATTCCAGTCCCAGCACTTCCTAGCTGGGGGCCTCCAGACAAGGTGGGAGCTTCGGTGTTGGCCTCTGTAAAGCTGAGGCAAGTAACGGTACCTCTCAAAGGACAGCGTTCAAACTACATGAGTGCTCTATGCGGTGGCTTTCATTATTAACCAGTCCGATGGTGTTCCTTCCCTCACTGCAGACTGCTTTGGTTGGTGATCTCTCATCTAATTTCTTTGAACTCTGAGTCTATAAATCTGGGCTCATTTGTAGAACAGAAATATCTGTTCCCACTGGCTGATAAAGTCTTGCTGCTCTGCCAAAAAGCACTGCTAACAGGGCAGAGTTCCAGGGCCACAGAGCACCAAAGCAGAAAGCTCTAATTCTTAGTACACGAGTGCTGAAACCATCCCCTCCATTTGCAAAGAACCAGAAGGAATGGGCGAGGTTCACACGCAAGTCTCAGAAACAAAAAGGGAAGGAGCGCACTTGGGGAGAGCTACGAACAGCAAAACAGGGTAGTGATTCTATAATACCACTCAAAAGCATCATCTTAAAAAAAAAAAAGACACATTTTTAATATCCTTTTTTTTTTTCCTTCCTCCTCCATTGGTCACTTCCTATCCTCCAAGAAGGGAAGACAGTGGTAGATGATCAGTGGGAGCATTATAGGAGCGGGAAACCAAGAAGTTCCAGGCCTGGATCTGTTACTGAAAAGTCTCAGAACTCACTGGAGAAAAATGCTTCACTTATCTGCATCCTTATTTCCTTCACTATGAAATGAGGGTAGAAAGGAGATGCCTTCTGGCTCTTCCAGGTCTGGGTTTTCATGACGCTCTAAATACTACCCAACGATGTCAGAGGTTCCTTAGGGGTGACGGAAATTCCATCTACCGTCTAAATGCCTACTCAATAAACTGCACTGAATTAATTGGTCATAGGAGACCTTTAAATTCTAAGTGCTCCTTTGTTTAAAATTAAAAAGTGTAAAAAGTATTAATAAGGAAAAAGAATGGTGGGGTGAGGTCTGTACAAACCAATCCTAGCCCCACATTTGATGTGTAAAGTCAGGTCCTGTACAAGCCACACTTGGGAGGCACGTCCATGTTAACTGACAGGAAGAAGGAGGGAAAAGGAAATTGGTGGCTTTGATTTACTTAATGTATTTACTTAATTTCAATTGTTTTATTTTTTCCACAGTGCCCAAGTCCACCAAAAAAAAAAAAATCTAAATCTATTTTGTTACCTGTCAAATAGGGAAAGGACAGCTTTCTAGAGCTACTGTGCCTGGGATTCATGCTAGTTTAAGGAGCTGATAAAACATGAAACAAAAATTTAAGACTGTGAGAGACTTCTAAGGAAACCTTTGGAACACTGTGATGCCCCAAGGTTTCTTCTCCGGGGACATTAAGTACCCAGCAAATCGAACTCCCTGTGTGGGGACCTGAAGCTGCAAAGAAAGAGTTCCATTCCTTTAAAAGACATACCTGGGAATATCTTTGCCGGAGCCCCAAAACATAGCAGGGTAAGAGAGAGTTGGAAGGTGAGGAGAAGTTTCAGCTCAACCATCCATAATGAAGTCTATCTATGGGCCGGGTCCACGAAAAAGTTCCCAAAGCCGGTCCTGTCCTATCATGATGTGTCCATCAATGTCAGAGACTAGGTCTTTTGTAAGTTTCATGTGAGACCCAAGTCTGGAAAAGTCTCTTGGTGTGGTTACCGAAGGGTTAAAGACAAGGTTTCTAAGGGACAAAGATGAACAGGACAATGGGGGTCACCCTGGCATTGACCCCAGAAGAAAGGCCTTCTTCTGGATCCAAAAGGCCTCTTTGCTGGTCCCCAAGGTACATTGCAAGCTCCTTAAGGGAAGGTTATTCATCACTGAATACCAGCACCAAACACTGTAGATATTAGATTTTATTTACTGAATTGCAAAAATGAATAAAAAGCATAGTGCCAATAAAATAACAATTACAGATAAAGAAGAGCAAGAATCTAGACTTCAGTGCTTCAAAGATAAGTTTTTCTACCAAAAGAAAATAAAAAATCAGGACAAACTAATTAAAAGCCTGTCACCAGCACCAACTCCAGCCCCACAGCTATCACATCTGTACAGGAAAGGAGGTGACAAGGTTAAGAAACACCATGAAATACTTAAGCAAAACTTGGAGTGTTTGGACTTGTTGGTGTTCCAGCCCACAACTACTGTTTCCTCTGAACTCCTCACAGCAACTAGTGGAATGATGAGCAGACAGTGGGTGTCCAAAGGACGCTCACCAATCAATCAGTACAAAATCAATCTAAGACAGGCTCTACATTAAGGCATTTTCAAAGCCATGAAAGGAAATTCTGAAAACCTGTATTTCTCAAAAGTAAAATCACTTTTGATCAAAAGTAAAATCACTTTTGATCAAAAGTAAAATCACTTTTGATCAAAAGTAAAATCACTTTTGAGAAATACAGGTTTTCAGAATTTCCCTTCATGGAAAAAAAGCCTTAGCCTTTTTCTGCACTTCACCAAAGATATACGGATGGCAAATAAGCACATGAGAACATGCTCACCACCATTACTCATTACGGAAATTCATGTTAAACCACAATGAGATACCACTGCATACCAGTCAGAATGTCTAAACATTAAAAAGATGGACAATGTCAAGTGCTGGTGGAAGCACAGCAACTGGAACTCTCATACCCTGCTGGTGGGAAGGTAAAAACGACACAACCTTTTGAAAAACAACTTGGCAATATCTTTAAAAAAGTTAAACACACACCTACCATATGACCTAGCTATTGTACTCCTCAATATTTACCCAAGAGAAATGAAAGCACATGTCCATACAAAGACTTGTACATGTATGTTCATACTGGCTTTATTAATAGCCAAAACAACCCAGTTGTCCATCAACAGATAAATGGATAAACAAACTGCAGTATATCCAATTGGTGGAATACTATACAGCAATAATAAGAAATAACCTATTGATACATGCAACAATATGGATGAATCTCAAAATGACTATGCTGAGTAGAAAAGTCAGATTTTAAAAAAAAATTTTTTTTTTTTTTTTAGAGATGGGGTCTCACTATGTTGTCCAGGCTTGTCTTGAACTCCTGGGCTCAAGTGCTCCTTCTGCCTCTGCCTCCCAAATTGCTTAGCTTACAGGCGTGAGCTACCACGCCTAGTCAAAAGCCAGATAAACAAACAAACAAACCAGTATATGCTAGGCCATCTTTACAAAAAACTTAAAAATTAGTCAGGTGTGGTGACACACACTTGTAGTCTCAGCTACTTGGGAGGCTGAGGCAGGAGGATCACTTGAGCCCAGGAATTTGCAGCTGCGGTGAGCTATGATCACACCACTGCACTCCAGCCTGGGCGACAAAGCAACATCCTGCCTCAAAGAGAAAAAAAGAAAAAAAAAGTATATGCTGTATAGTTCCTCTAATATGACTTCTAGAAAATGCAAACTATAGTGACAAAAAGCAGATCACTGGTTGCTTGGGGTGAGGGTGAAAGGAATGATAAAAGGGCATGAGAAAACCTTCAGGGTAAGAAATATGTTCATTGTCTTGATTATGTTTGAGTAAGGTGATAGTTTCAGAGGTATATACATGTGTCACAATTTATATACTTTAAACAGGTATAATTGATTATATTTTTGTAGCCTCAAATAAACCTGAAAAAATACAGCTATAAAGGAAAAAACAATACACATCAGATCACAATAAATTAAACTGTATACTTCTGATTTACATAAATGACAATGCATTATGCTTAGTCATAGATACCAATTTAACTAGAGGGATCAAACCACTATTATAAAATGAAATAATATATTCAAAAGAAAAAAAACAAAAAAATCACCAGCCTATCCTTTTCTGTGGATCTGAGCATAATAAGCTAAAAGAGGTCAGGAAAATGATTGGCATTGATGATACCAGATACATTCCAGAGCTGATGAGGCAGCAACAAAGTTAGGATCCACCTTCTTCTAAGTTCTAAATTCCAGCAGGTTCCCATCTGTGGCCTTGAGCAAGTCAGCTCTGCCAACATTCCCCCCACAATGCTCATTTCCCTTACGGTATAGATGCTCTGACAACTCTTGGCCCAGAGCCTCCATCGCTGGAGCAATCCTCGTACCCCTTCTGGAGCAGTGGTTCTGAGTCTCAGCTGCATGCAGGAATCATCCTGGGAGCTGCTTAAAAATATGGATGACTGGGCCTCTTCCCTGAAACAACTCCCCGTAAGATTCTAATGTGTAGCTAGGGCTGGGAGTCACTGTTGTTCCAAAGTCCCCCTTACCTGCAGAGCAAAGCTGTGGCCCTGCATCAGCTGGCTAGTCCCTTTAATTGGCAGCCCATTATAGTCTACTACTACTATTCAGCTGTCAGATGTCCCTAAAGTGAGGACTGGCCCTGACCACTCCTCCTAAGGGCCAGCAGGCCCTGAGCTCAGAGCGTAACTGAGGTTTAGAAACACCTTTAGTACCCATCCCCCTCACCACTGCCTCCAAACACAAAGAATGTCCAGTTCTTTCCACACTAACCAAAATTAGAGATTTAATGTCTCCGCAAGCTAGAAATAAGTATAATCTGCACTGAAAACAGGTTTTTCATGTTATTATTAAGAATTCCTGTGTATCTATTTTAAACGAGTACTCTCAGAGTGACTGGTACAACTAGGATAAAATCTGTTCTGCCCTAAAAGACTCAAGCTAGGAGACAAACCCACTTCCCATGCATGCCTATTCTCATGTTACTGAGGTCACTGTACCTGTGAGAGCTGGTGCAATCTTCAACACAGGTGAAAGAGAAACTGGCTTACTGCTTCTTGATGACTTATAACCCTAACCAGGGACTTGCTTTCTGGGCCGAAATCTATATGGCACAGAGACAGAAAGAAAAAAGCATCAAGAAACCATCAAAATTGGCTGGGCACAGTGGCTCTCGCCTATAATCCCAGCCCTTTGGGAGGCTGAGGCAAGCGGATCACTTGAGGTCAGGAGTTCAAGAGCAGCCCAACCAACATGGTGAAACCCCGTCTCTACTAAAAATAACAAAAAAATTGTCCTGGTGCGGTGGTGCACGCCTGTAATCCCAGCTACTCCAGAGGGTGACACAGCAGAACCGTTTGAACCTGAGAGGTGGAGGTTGCAGTGAGCCAAGATCACGCCACTGCACCCCAGCCTGGGGTACAGAGTGAGTGAGACTCTGTCTCAAAAAAAAAAGAAAAAAGAAAAAGAAAAGAAACCATTAAAATTACTTTCCATTCCAAGAAAGAACAGAAAGATCTGAAACAAAAGAGTTTCACTTACAACCAGCATTAGTTGGGGGACAGCATGGTGTGAAGTATTAACAATCCTGAAGCTCTTTGTTATGCAAAGAGAGATTTAAAAAAAAAAATGGATCCAGCTTCTATGTGATGAGCTGTACTACACAACCACCCATTTCTTTTCTTCCTTTGCCCAATAATGGCCAGTGATGTAATAACCACACCAGACAGCTGTCTTCCTGGATAAAATCACCTTGTAAAGGAGAAATGCAATTAGAGGATGCAATGAAATATAATTTTCAGACTGCTTCTGCAGGCTGCCACATTCAACTTAGTGCTTAATGGCCAGGTTCTTTATTACAGTTTTCTATTTTATGCAATTTCTCTTTGACTCAGTATCTACGGAAGACACTGGGTTTTAAATTTTAGTCTATGTCACGATGGGTCTGAGACAAACCCAGGTCAGGTTAGCTGAGAGTGAGGCCAGGATCAGAACCAGACACTAAGGGCCACAAGGGGCACGTGACAGTTGGGCCTGAAGGGTTGGCTAGAGCAAGGCTAGACGGGGAGGCAGGGATAGGTGGGATGGGGTGGCAGGGCTCTGTCACCAACTCCTCTGCCTGCTCTTCTGGTCTCCCTCCACAATTGCTGGCACAACATATCCACTCTGAGACTTCTACCCTCCCTGTGCTCATGAACAGTATCCCGCTCTCATCATGCAGTTTTAACCAATTAGCAACTATTTCTCCATACTCCTCTTTCACACCCCACCACCCAGTACTTTTGGGAAGGGGGGATTGGAGTATTTTAAAGTGAATCTGGTTCATCAAATCATTTCACCCAAGGTTTAAGGGTACCTCAAACTTGACATGCTTCAAATGAAACCCATTAATTTTCTGTTTAAATGCAGTAGTACTTTCTGCACCTTTAGATTCCCGGTGTGGTCAAACATACATCTGGCCTGTGGAAAGTACATAAAGGCTTTCAGAGTGAACATACACACACACACATACACAGAAATTCTCTCCTCACTCTGTCTCTCTCTTCTCTCTCTCCCCCACCAGGACTTCCTCCTAGCTTTCTGCCACAGGCCAGTGCTTCTAAAGATGAGGGAACCGAGGAAACCCCCCGGGACGCAGCAGGGGAGCGAATCAGTTCTCCTGTCCGCCTAAAGTGTTCCGTCCCTGACAGGCTACAGATTTCAGTCTGTGGCTTATTGAACTGAGTACGGTTCTCTCAAGGGGAGAAAAGTAACTTTTACAACATATATGCTAATGAAGCATAACGACAGAGAGCATTTAAAACAAAATGTCCCTATATTTATTCTCCATAGACAGATTTTTGCATTAATATTTATGAGGGATTCCTCGTTTATTTCTCCCAGAGATTTTTCTCTTGCCCAAAGAGAGGGGATAAAAGATAAGTAACATGAACCAATTATCTTTTAAACAGTTACAAAGGACTATCTTATTTATCTGCATTCTGCTACTTGATTAATCTTCCTAATATACCACTTTCCACATATCAGCCCCTGCTCACAAGCCCCGGGGGCCTGCTCTCCCTGTAGCAGCGCACTGCAAGACCTCTGCCTGGCTCTGGGGCCCTGCTCGCTGCCAGTACCTCTAGATCCAACCCTATCCATCCTCACTCTGCAGGAAGGGTTGCCACTGCCACTGGGGACAGACCTGCAGCTACAGAGCCCTACCCATAGGCATTTCTGTCTGTCCAAATTCCACCTGGTTCCCGGCCATTCAAATACCCAACACTTACACTTCCAATCCACTAAGAGCCACGGGCAGTAGGAACGCACGTCCAGAACATGCTGTGAAAGGATGTTTTGAGCCTCATCAGCCAGGTGAGCAGCACACAGAGGAACGAGCCTTCAGGACTCATTCATTCAACCAACAGTGCACAGTCAAGACTAGGCCGTAAAAGAGACACAGGCAGCGCCAGTCCTCAAGGAGTTGAAGTCTCACAACATGGGGCACAAAGTGGCAACTGCCCTGGAAGAGACAAAACTGAAACCTTATAGGAGTAAGAAGCTGAAGGTTTCTTTCTGCCCAATCACTGAATCACATTTTTCCTTCCCTCATCAAAGACAGACTGAGAGAGACACTTTCCTCTTCTACCTGCCAATAACAGGAGTACATAAAATAAATACATAAAAACGGACATTTCAGCAACTATTACTGGGTGTGACTTCTCTGACGCCTCAGATGAGAAACTCTAAAGAGCAATGAGGACAAGGCGACACTGGAGATGGCACACATAAGGAAGATGATCCCATACCCTTGGCCTCAAAATGCCTTCTGAGTCTACTTCAAGGCAAATGGAACAAAAAAGCAGAAGGAGAAAGAAACAGTGCTTGGGCCGTTAAATGTTTACAATCCAACCAGGCAAGGCCTTTCTCTGTTCCTGTGTGAGTCTGAGAGTGTACGCTGGCTTCAAGGAGCTCTGAATGCCAGGTATTTGACCACGAAGGGTTTCTTTCTGTCACCGTGTCAAGGTGGCCTGGTAATGTCTATAGTGCTCCTGACCGTTCATGAGCCACAATTATAAAACTTTGGCAGGTATCCTAGTTCCTACCAATCTTTTAACTTTTGCAAAAAAACTGGCCGAAATTGGGATCTTAAATCTTGAAATTCATTGTATCCCTCTCTTTTGGCAACTGAATAATTTTCCATCTAAGATCCCAATACGGGTAACCCTTGCTGTCTAAAACATTCCTATTCACACTCGGGACATGGAATTGATACGGATAAATATCTGGGATAAGAGTGGTATCCCTCACCATTCCTGGAGACAGCTCCGGTCTTGCAGGAAAAAGGCAAAAGCAGCTGTCTCAGTCAGACAGCTTAAACATGACTGATATTAATAAACGAGCTTAGGTAGTGTCAGTTATTGGAAACTGATCTCCTCCTTATTAATATGGTCCCGCAATGGAGAGAAAAGATTTCTCCATGTTCTAGAATGCAAACAATGTTTTAATCTTTAATTATATTCTCAATTTCAACTCTTCTAGAGAGTTATCGCCACCTAGGCCTAGGATTATTTCTTTATTACATAGCCTCTCTGTGGTATTTCATGAATACTGTTACTTAATACTTGCCAGTAGGGGAAAGAATGACTTAGCAAATTTCTACCCAAGTTTTGATGACTTTTTCCAAAACGCAGGAAACTTACAGCTGCAAAGTTCTCTGTTTCCTTTGTGGGACATTAAGCCGGGCGACATCTCTGCCCACCAGCCCAAGCTCAGGGTGAGCCAGCCTGCTCCCTTTGTACAGTGTCCCTGGAAAAGGAGACTGAGGAAACGCTCTGCATTTCCAAGGCTTGTGGCAATGAACCAGTTTGTATCACATTCATGGTTTATTCACTGTTACTTTGCTCAGAGGCAAACTAAATTCAACTCCAATAAAAAGAGATGCCAGATATTCTTGTTCAAGGTTCCTGTCCCTTCAAAGTTGAAGAATTTAACATAAATGAATCAGCATATAACCAAATTCTGCCCTCAACAAAATACCAAGAGTCCAGGAACAAAACAAACCCCAGGTAATCAAGAAGAAAATCAAGTCCCTGCAAGGACACATGCTCACAGTCACTATGTAAATGGTGTCTATAGCCAGGTTTTTGTAATCGAACTGCAGAAACCTGGAGTTTTATACCTGTATGGCAGAGGAAAAAAAAAAACAACAACCTTAAAAAAGGTCTCAAAATGAGCAACAGAAGAGATAATGATATAATGGCCAGGAAGCTACGAGAAGAGACTTGTTTAATGAGCTTCATCCTGGCAAGTGTTTGCCTTGCTCAGTTTAAACAGCAATGACGATCACCCCCCCTTCATGCATCACTATTGCCAAAGACGGATTCAAGTTGCTGCTTTGCTCTCTGTGATTCCCACTGGTTTTACATCAAGCAAAAAACAACATGAGCCTCTGACTTTCAAGAACAGAAACAGCATCTACCACACATCTTGGAAAGGATCCAATCATCTGGATAAGCACCATGTGTAATTTCAAGTCAATGATCTTCTTGGGAATTAATGTGCAAGGCGGTGGCAGAAAATGAGCCTCTTTCAGTTAAACTCCCAGAGCCAAATCAGTGGCCGTACCAAAGGCAATCTGTTGTTCAAACACTGGAAGCCCTAGGTGTGAGTGCTGTGTCATTATCCCTGTTACCTCCTGAATGGGTGGCACTTCCTTCCAGCAACACTTGTCACTGCATGCTGTTTTTGTGGTCTTATTGTTACTCAAACCTGAGAGGCAAGTCATCCAAGAATCGAAACGCAAAGTGAGGACTCTCTCTCTCTTGAAAGTATTACAAGATACTGAAACAAATGCAAACGCTGAGGAAATGGCACCAGTAAGCTCCAAAGAACATCGAAAAAATACTATTCAGCAATAAAATGGAACCAACCGCTGATACATGCAACATAAAGGAATCTCAAAAACATGTTGAGTAGAAGAAATCAGAAGGAAAATATTATGTTCTGCATGACTCCACTTATACAGAAGTTCCAGAAGAGGCAAAGCTAAGGTATAAGTATAGATATCAGAACAGTAGTTGCCTGGGGTGGGAGAGAAATTGGAGACAAGTATAATCCACCCTTTGGAGGAGTTTTGCTATAAAGAGGAGAGACACGAGGTGGGAGCTGGGAGGCAGAATGCAGTCATGGATGTGTGTTCTTACAGGAGACAGTTTTCAGGGTAAGCATGTTTTGTCTATGAATGAGAATGATCAGGAGAAAAGGGAAATAATTATGGTGTAGGACGGAAAAAGGAGACCAATGGAGACAAGGCCAGGAGTAGGTGAGAGGGATCCATCAGCAAGTAGATGGGCTGTTCTTAGCTTGGAGCACGAATAGCTCACCCCCAGGGACCACAGAGAACAAAGCCCGGGAAACAAGTATGCCCTTAATCAAGCAGACAGAATCTTTTCATGGAAGATAATATAATGCAAGAGAAACTGCCTGTCCCCACAACTTCCAGGGCATGGAGGTAATAGTTTTCAATGTAAGCTTTCTGAAAAACTATTTGTTTTCCCTCAAACCTAAATAAGATCTCGGTTTGCTGGATATGAACACAGTCACCTCTGCTGTTACTGAAAGCTGGCATTTCATCAGGCCAAGTTGTTGAAACTCAGAGGAGTGCTAGGCCATTCAGCCTGGCCATACTGATTGAAAGCAATATTCCATGTTAACACAAAAGCACACAACACTGCATTAGAAAATCGAGGCTGCTATCTAAGATAGAACACAGGTAAACACAGCTACATCTCTCAATAAATACATAGATATCTCAATATATAACTCATAGATCAATTAAATAAGATATAGCCAC
Organism: Homo sapiens; assembly: GCF_000001405.40. Classification (NCBI taxonomy): domain Eukaryota; kingdom Metazoa; phylum Chordata; class Mammalia; order Primates; family Hominidae; genus Homo; species Homo sapiens. Next base: position 132,008,309 of record NC_000009.12, read on the forward strand.
TCTCCAGGCTGATCCCAATCCTATGAGGCTCAGAAGCCCAACAATGTTTGCACAGCAACAGTGGACACAGCCTCTCAGCCTCTTTACGGAAACGATAGCACCCCTTGTGCAAAAACCTTAATTTGAGCATTTGGAAATCCTAGAAGTGAGGTCACTTCATCAGTGCCCTCTGAACGCTAACAAGTGATAAAATATCTTTCATCATGAACAAGATCTTTATCTTCTATCAAGCTTCTTTGGAGGGGGAGAAAGATATGAATCATTAATCCCATGAATCACTCATCCTATGGGAGCTCAGGGAGGAATCTGAGTCTTCAGAGACTACCGTTAGAGCCCTGCATTTTAAAAACAAACACATCGTACACAGCTCCTGCATTCCTGCCACGCCTGTGCTCTCTGCACAGTTGGGCAGAACTAGTAGTTTTGCTGTAGCAGCCTTAGTGCCATCCAACTGCTAACACAAGCCACGCAGAAACCTACCCATCACTGCACTAATACGCACAGGGTTGCAGAGAAAGGTGTGTGAGGAACCCAGACGCTAGCCCTTCACTGCTTTCCTCCACCGTTTAAAAACAAAACCTTTCCTTAGAATCCTGTAAGCCTATGCAAGAAAGCATCTAGCATTCTCAATGAAATAAGGCCCCCATCCTTCACAGCCAGCAGCAGATAAATCTGGTGAAGGGCGGCTGGGCTTCCCCAAGTGGACCTCCCTCCCCACTCTGCCCGTGGCCTTCTCAGGCACTGGAAGAAGGTCATGTCAGTCAACTTGGTCCATGTTGCTATGATGCTCTGCTCCTTGTTTGCTCCTATCTCTACTCAGAACTTCCCAAAAACCAAGATTATATCTTATTCATCTCCGAATCCCCAGCACAGTGCATAGAACCAAGCATTTGTAGGCCCTGAGTAAATATTTACTGAATAAATAAGTGAATGGGGTTTACAGGCTCAGCCATTGTTCCTGTGTGCGATGTGATGGTTTTAAAATAAATATGTCCACAAATTCTTTGACACGTCTTTCTTCAAAAGGGAGAGCCTCATCCCCTCCCCTTGCATGCCAGTCAAACTTCGTGACTCATTGCAAATGAACAGAATGGGGTAGAACTGACGCTGTGTGTCTTCTGAGATTAGGTCATAAAAAGGATGGCTGCTGCCTGGCTCTCATTCTCCTAGATTGCTGGCTCTGGAGGAGCCAGAAGCCATGTCATGAGGATATTCAAGCAGCCTGCGGAGAGGCCTAGGTGGAGAGGAACCGAGATCTCCTGCCAACGGCCAGCACCAACTTGCCTGCCATGTGAGTGAGCCACCTTGCAAGTGGAGCTCCTAATCCCAGCCAAACCTCAGGTGACTGCAGCCTTACAAGAGGCTCTGAGCCAGAACCACCCAAACGAGCCACTCCTGGATTCCTAATCCACAGAAACTGTGAGAGATAATGTTCATGGCTGTTAAAGCACTAAGTTTTAGAGCAATCTGTTATGAAGCAATAGATAATTAACATAGCAACCTTGGAGGATTTCGGTGTTTTATAAGGGGGTTGAAAGGATTTTCTTAATGACAAAAAGTTAGTTTATAGTTATGTTGTGCTTATAATAAAAATTTTGTTGATGGGGTTGTTTTTTCTTGTAAATTTGTTTGAGTTCTTTGTAGATTCTGGATATTAGCCCTTTGTCAGATGAGTAGATTGCAAAAATTTTCTCCCATTCTGTAGGTTGCCTGTTCACTCTGATGGTAGTTTCTTTTGCTGTGCAGAAGCTCTTTAGTTTAATTAGATCCCATTTGTCAATTTTGGCTTTGTTGCCATTGCTTCTGGTGTTTTAGACATGAAGTCCTTGCCCATGCCTATGTCCTGAATGGTATTGCCTAGGTTTTCTTCTAGGGTTTTTATGGTTTTAGGTCTAACATTTAAGTGGGTGAAGGATATGAACAGACACTTCTCAAAAGAAGACATTTACGCAGCCAACAGACACATGAAAAAATGCTCATCATCACTGGCCATCAGAGAAATGCAAATCAAAACCACAATGACATACCATCTCACACCAGTTAGAATGGCAATCATTAAAAAGTCAGGAAACAACAGGTGCTGGAGAGGATGTGGAGAAATAGGAACACTTTTACACTGTTGGTGGGACTGTAAACTAGTTCAACCATTGTGGAAGACAGCGTGGTGATTCCTCAGGGATCTAGAACTAGAAATACCATTTGACCCAGCCATCCCATTGCTGGGTATATACCCAAAGGATTATAAGTCATGCTGCTATAAAGACACATGCAAACATATGTTTATTGTGGCACTATTCACAATAGCAAAGACTTGGAACCAACCTAAATGTCCATCAATGATAGACTGGATTAAGAAAATGTGGCACATATACACCACGGAATACTATGCAGCCATAAAAAATGATGAGTTCATGTCCTTTGTAGGGACATGGATGAAGCTGGAAACCATCATTCTCAGCAAACTATCAGAAGGACAAAAAACCAAACACCACATGTTGTCACTCGTAAGTGGGAATTGAACAATGAGAACACTTGGACACAGGAGGGGGAACATCACACACCGGGTCCTGTTGTGGGGTGGGCGAAGGGGGGAGGGATAGCATTAGGAGATATACCTAATGTAAATGACGAGTTAATGGGTGCAGCACACCAACATGGCACATGTATACATATGTAACAAACCTGCAGGTTGTGCACATGTACCCTAGAACTTAAAGTATAATAAAAAAATTTTGTAATAAGGAGTCTTCTATAGAATACAACCAAAAGATGGATATTGATATGCAAATTTGAATAGTCCATAGATCAAATTATGCTCCCTTAAATGTCACAACTATATTCAATAAAAGGTTGAGATATGAAATAGAACAATACTATAATATACTCCTTTTTGGAGATTATTTTGCTTTTAAAACCTATTTATTGCTTTAAAAAAACTATTGCTTTTAAAAACTATATATGACATATGCACAGAAAAAGTCTAGAACAATATCCATCCTAATCTTAATAACTTTTTCAGATAACAAAAACATTATTTTTTAATGTTTTTGTTACCTTTTCAAAATCTACATTATGTATATACTATTATTGTTCTATTTCCTAGCTTAAAAAAGAAAAACAAAACTTTTTAGACAGGCAGCCATGTTGCATTTCTAGCCAACATCAAACATAATGAGTGGCACATAGTAGGTGCTCAGTGGAAGTGCAATGGGGCGGGACGCAGTGGCTCACATCTATAATCCCAGCACTTTCAAAGGTCAAGGTGAGAGGATCATTTGAGCTCAGGAGTTTGAGGCTGCAGTAAGCTGTGATCATACCACTGCACTCCAGCCTGGGTGACAGAGGAAAAACATGCCTCTAAAAAGAAACAAAAAGGGGAGTTGGGGAGGCAATTGATGTCTTTTAGATATAGCTTCTGCCTACTGGACAGTAGTTCTATAAAGGGATTCCAGGATAATGTAAGCCCAAAAAGCTCAATGATGTGAAAAGGCAGCAGTCAATTTTCACAGGAAATAGGCTACTAAGTATAGGAAATCATTTCTATGTTGTATTCTTAGGACACAGTAACCACTTTTCTCTTTGAAACTATTTTGAGTGATTTATTATAAATTTATAATGACAGTTGTGAACACCTCTCGCTCTTTTTTTTTTTTTTTGGCATGAGAACAGTCTGTTGATTGCCCTAATGCCTAAAATAGTTTCTAAGTGTCCTCACAATAGCATGTCACCTGTAAACAGGTTTCAAGCCAATGCAAATTAACAAATGGTGAACAGATGGACTAAGAACTGACTTTTGTCAAGAGAGAGTTAGCAACAAATACTTTTTGGCTCCAGTCTTATGGGACCATTAGAAAGTCTTTTACTTCTCGCCAAACATCTTGCCTCAGTAGACAATCCATGCAGGGAAAATGACAAGTTACAAGGCCCATTAGACTTTAGAGAGCTGAAAGTTGAGATTTGCAGAATCACCAAATCGACACATGAGAAACAACAGATAGAATAATGGCCCTTAAGAAGCATTCTGCCAAATAGTCAAAACTCTGGCTTGCATCACTAAAAGCAGCTGTCCCTGTAGTGACCTTCTTTTTGAAAAATATGGCCCCTGTGCATGCAAGCAACAGACACAAGCTACTTGTCGAGGCTGGCTGGTTACATTCCTCCTATCCTGGAAGCAAGTGTGAACTGTGAAGAAAGCCTGAAAATCATGGAAGTGGTGGCATAAGAACGTCCACCAGCTAGAGAAAGGATCCCCAGAGCAGTCACCCCTTGGGATCCCCCCGGCTCTTCACTGGTCTTTCTCCTCCTCATTCGTCAAGTCTCTGCCTCATATTGGCTCCTCAGAGAAGCCCTCTTTGATCACCCTATTTAACAGTATCCCCCACTCCCATACCTTACCCCACTCTGTAGTCCCTTCCTAGCACTAAGCATAACTACAAATTATGGCGTTAATTTATTAATTTGTTGAGGGGTGCTTGTTTGGTCTCCTCCCACCCCCGAAATGAAAAGCTTAACAAAGATGGGACAATGTCTGTCCTGCCCATGTTTATATCCTTGGGGCCTAGAAACATGCCTGACACAGAGTAGGTACAATAAATATTTGCTAACCAAACAGCAAATGAGACCTTGAGCAAAGGTAAACAATCAACTCATATATGCCAACACTCCCTTGGACTAGAAAAGAATGCTGTTTGTAACTGAGGATGTAATCAGAAGAAGGTACAAGGGGTGAGCAGGACAGGCGAAGGAACGCTTCTCGGGCATCTGGCCCTCCCAGAGGAGTGTGCACACTGACAGGAAATGGACTGATGTGCCCACATTTCTCATTCCACATCACTGAGTGAGCCTTTGCACTCACCTACTAGGGCTTCTAATACAAAAGAACCCAACAGGTTGAACGAACCAAGTGGATGAATCAAATGTGGCATATTCAAAGGAAGACTACACTGCAACAGAAAAAGGACAACAGGATGAATCTAACACATATGATGTTGAGTGAAAAGAAGCTCATACAAAAAAATGACACTGCATGATTCCGTTTAAATGAAGTTCAAAGACAGGCAATATTAACTGTTTAAAGAAGTCAGAATGGTGTTAAACTTGGGAAGGAGGGCAGCACAGGTATAGACAGAGAGCAATGAGGAGGAACCCTTATGGGATTCTGGAAGTGGTGGCTACACGGATGTACATGAGTGTGAAAAAATCATTAAACTGTATGCTCTGTGAAGCTTACTGTATCTGTTATCCTTCCTAATGGGAAAAAGAAGAGCACATATATTACTATTTTTAAATGTGAACGAATGAACCTAGCATTTATTCTAATCTCAGCTCTAGCAGGTTCTCTAGGTGGTCTGCAGCTTAACCAAATGTGCTCCTCAGCTGTCTCATTTATAAAATAAGGACAACTGTACTCATATTCTACCACCTTTGGGAATGTGATAAGGAAACAAATAATAAGCCGTGAGGTCTCTTAAAATCCTAGGTGGAAAAGTCACATACAAAATATGTAAAATAAACTGCATTACAGCTGTTTCACAAAGATCTATGCAAATTATGTTACCATCATGCTTGGTTTCTAATCCTAATAGATGCCTTTTTAAAAGAAAGAAATAATTCTGGGCCGGGTGTGGTAGCTCATACCTGTAATCCCAGCACTTTGGGAGGCCGAGGCAGGTGGATCACCTGAGGTCAGGAGTTCGAAACCAGCCTAGCCAACACAGTGAAACCCCATCTCTACTAAAAATACAAAAATTAGCTGGGCATGGTGGTGTGCGCTTGTAATCCCAGCTACTTGGGAAGCTGAGACACGAGAATTGCTTGAACTCGAGGGGGTGGGGGAGGGCAGAGGTTGCAGTGAGCCGAGATCATGCCACTGCATTCCAGCCAGGGTGAAAAAGTAAGACTCCGTCTCAAAAAAAGGAAGGGAGGGAGGGAATTTTGAAGAAAACAGTAACTTTCCACTACCCAAAAACAAGTATAAAGTAAAAAAGTTCACCCAGTACTAAAGTAATTTTTCAAATCCATCACTCACTGAGGTGGTAGGACAAGAGTTGTGGGCTGAGCCTTTGGTCTACGTTTGGCAGATACTCCCATCTGATTAGCGGAACGCTTCAATGACTGCTGATTTAAAAGGCCAGATGCTAGTCCTGCATGGTACTGCAACTGCAGAGAAAAACAAAACAAAAGGGGAAGAAAAATAGCATTTGGTAAAAGTAGGACAAATGGTATTAAACTAGCAATGCTTGATAATCTTATCCCCTTAGAACATTTTAAGTAACTTCAAATACAACTGCTCACATTCTGCTTCAAGGAATTTACCCATAAAAAGATAATCAGACAAACAGGAAACAAAACAAGAACAAGACTGTTCATCACAGCATTACCTCATGATGAAAAACTGGAAGCAGTCGGAATGTCCAACAACTGACTGTGAAATTGATTAAAATAGAGAAAGAACTTCACAACACCATTTTGTTGAATTAAAAGAAAAAAGGTTCCATTGTAAACAGAGAGGCACTTTAAAAAATGTTCTCTAAAATGCTAACTGTATTTTTCAGTAGTAGAATTCGAGTGATTTTTACTTTCTTCTTTATTTTTGACTACTATTCATATGCTTTATGTAAATGGTTTTAAAGCCTACGTAATTTTTTAATAAGAAAATCCAGAGGTTTTCCTTAGAGACAAAGTTAGTTCTGGGAAGTCTTGCTACCACCATATCTTGCTTATAATAAAAACCATAGAATTTGTAGTCTACCGCAGTACACCATGACCACGACATGGCTTATCATACACAGATTCAAACATACTATCAGTCTGCATTCAGAACCACTGAGCTATCTTTTCAATGGTTAAATTACAAATATCAATCATAAGAACAAGCTTATGAATATATCTTACAACAATGTATACAAATGGATATAGGCTCATTGAAAAGAATCGAATGGAGAAGCCAATTTCAAGTCCATGGACATGCAATTGGAACAATGTCATGGAGGTAAGGAAGCAGCATGCTTTAAATGTGTCTGGTGCCAGCATCCCTTACTTGATCCCTGGACAAACTGCTGAGCTTCATGGTGACTTAGGATAGATAACTTTACTTCTCTATACTTCAGTTTCTTATTGGGAAAGAGAAATGATACTGCCCAGTTCTAAACCAAACAAAACTTTGAATTCTAATTTACGTAAAATATAATATGCACATTTAAAGTGAACAGTTTAATGAGTTTTGACAAATGTATATACCTGTATAACTACCACCCCAAGCAAGACAAAGCAACTTTCCATCATTACAGAAAGCTCATTTGTGCCCTAACGCAGTCAATCCCCTTAGCACCTAACATCAGGAAATTCTGATTTAAAATATAACTCATCATTCTCACTCCTTGCTAAATGAAGTTTATATCCAATTTGACGTGTGACAATAACTTTTAGCTTCCCTTTCTAATTCTATACTTTTGTATTTTAGATCATAAGAGTTGTCATCAATATCGCTATAATAAAATTATCCTTGAAAGGTATCCCAATTTTGAGCAGATGTAAATAAAAGATTCACATGTGAAAATGCCAAGCTAAGAACTTGGATAGAGACCATTTATAACATCCAATATGTTTCTTCCTCTCTTCTCAGATTAAGCAAGGTCTTTCAAACATTTATTTAGAATTATCTAAACATACAAATAGTAATTCATTCTAAAGCTCTGAATCAATTTCTTCTCAAAATGCTCTTCCAAGGCACAGATTTTCTTTGCCGAGTCAGCTGCATTACAGCTCACGGTAATGAAACTGGCGACCACCATATAAAAGGGGCTGGGCCTTGGATGCAAAGGGCAATAATGTTCTGAAAAATAAATGGCCTCACCTAAAGCCATAGGGCTGCATGCAAATAGAGAGCAAAGACAACAAAACCAATTGAAATGATCTGCTCCTGGAAAGTGGCTATAAAAATGAGGCTATCCAGTGATCCAGTATGACAGAAGTATCTGTGTTTGGAGCATCCGTACTGCTTTTTAACAGGCTCTTGATTTACTTGGTCGATTTGCTGTGGGAGCCTTACAGGTGCCCAATACAAGACAAACATACATCACATTCATAATAAAGATGGAGCTCTTTTCAGGGTAGAAAGGGGGGAGCATAATTTGGCTCTAACAACTCATCTTAGACCAATGAATTTTCCTCAAATTTGTTTTTTTCCTACAGATTTCTTAAATGGGAAATCAATGGAGGCAAGGGACAGTACAAGTTTGAAAGACAATGTTTCAAAATGTCAGCTACTTGGGTTTCGATCTTCCCTGCCAGAATTTGCAATGAGTGCAATATGCATGGGGCTTTATGGAATTACAGGGAAAGACAGCTTGGCAGGGGCCTCCTCCTGGCTCAAGGAATCGACTCTCCTTTTGGCTTTCCTCCTTTGTATTTACTAGGGTCCATGCAAGCTCAGCCATTCCAGCCCTGCTGACTCTTTGAGTGGAGGAGGCCTGCTAACTATGCAGAGTGGCAGGGTGATTTTGCCCACCCGGCATCATTTTGATCATTTGCTCAAACAAACAAACAAACAAAAACCCAAAACAGCAGAAATGTACGCTAACTGCTATCTGTCTTTTAAAGGGTTCCTCTGAAACCTCAACCATCTTGGATGCTCTCAGTGTACAGTGCACCTCTAACAGCACACATAGGTGGAAGGACTCTTCTTCCCCCAAAACAAAATCTGCCCTTGAGAGCTGACTCATAAGGATTAAGCAGCACTTGTTAATCATATATATGTATCCCAGTTTCCAGGAACACGGCTCTGACTGTCAAGATCTATAAGGGGCCCATTAAATATTTACTGAACCACCTTTATAATGGGAGAAAAGGTCAAAGTTAATAAAACTGACAGGCAGCTCCTGTCCAACTGGATTATACATTATTTAAGCACCAAAACTCCATTCCATGCAACACAGTTTAGATCTGAAGAGGCTCCTGGAAAATGTTCACTCAGCCAATGGTTCTAAAACAGCAGAAGGGAGTTCAGAGTGAATCTACAAATTAACATTAGAAACATATAACTCCCCAAAATACCGCCATAAGTTCTCAATTACAGGTTCTGTAATATTTTCTATAAAAATATATTTCAATAAACATACTTCTCTCCAAATGTCTGCAGCATGGAAACAAGTCTATTTCAAAAAGCAACTTATCAAAGTTCTATTGTGATTTTTCTATCAAAGATCCTCCACTAACCGGGAGGAATAAAAATGAAAGAAGGAGAGAAATGATCTATTCTTTTAACTTTCATATCTTACAAGTGCGGGGAATGGGAGTGTTTATGTGCTGAGTTGGAGGGGAAGGTTCGTGATTTACTGTTAAGTTACTGCTCCACAGGAACAGCCATTTCCGTGTTGCAGTGTTCTCTGGATTTTTTAGAGTATTTCTCTCAGTTACAATTTCACTATCCATTAATTTCCACTTTCTATTTTCTATGAATGACCTAGGATTTTTCTATCAGTTCTCAACCTAAAGCCCTTTCTAACCAATTATATCTACTAATTACCTCTATACCTGAGAAAATTTTAACAATTAATAATGGTCTGAGGAAAGACCAATTAAAATTAGGAAAACTTTGATCTACTGAATCGTTTTTAAAATAATGCTGTTTTAGTCTTATTGAACACGTAAGAGGCTCCAAGTTGTCAGGCAGGGTCCTGACGAAATGTAAGTGGGAGAGGAAGCGCCTCTGTAACCAGCAGCCTCTTTGGAAATGTGCTCCTGGGCTTTGCTGCTACCAAACTGGGTGACCTTACACATCTCCTGTCCCTCTCTAGAAAATATGCATGACATTTTCTCTGAGGACCCCCAAACTCTAAAATTCAATTCCTTTGTATTTCTAAAGGTAGAAAGGTATTTGATGTGAAGGAATGTCCCTACAACATTAATACAAGAGACTTAACAAATCTTTTTCTGTTGGATAGCCAAGGTCTTTACAGAATCCTCTTTTAAAGAGTCCAAACTACTGGGAGTCCAAATTCAATTAGCTTTAATACGCTTCAAATTACAAATAACAACAAATACTGGAAGCAAATGATATAAAAGGAAATGATAAAAACAGGATTCAAATGCAAAGTTTCTGACTTAAATCTTGAGTTCAAGAAATCAGATGAGCAATCACCCCTCTCCCGTTCATTCTCCACTTGCATGATGTCTTCTGCATTGTTCTGAATGCTTCTACCCGCCCCAAAATATTCATAGGTTAATGTTTTGCACTGGACCAAAGTTTGAAAAGAGAACAGAAGGAAATTCATCACACCGATCATGTTCAATATACTAATGAAGCCAGTGGCATTCAATTAGGCCTAGTACTTAAAAGCTGAAGTGTATGCTGGAGCCTCCCTGGGGTCCCTGCTACAGCATCCCATCATATGCAGCACTGCTCTACCCTTGCCATCTGGCCCGAATCCCACTTTAAGAGAACCTGACATTTGAAAACCTCAAAACTTATAAGCCAGATCAATCAAGATTTGATTCTTCTCACTATGAAAATCACTATTCCTTTCTCAAGATTCACCAAAGGCTTCTTTAAGGGTAAAGGGGAAAAAAGAGCTCTCCTGGACGTAAGTTATGATTCACTTTATTTTTTTTTTAAATCACTTTGCATATAATTACATATAAAGGCAAAGAATGGCATAGAATTAAGTTATAATAAATTCTGTCTGGCTTAGACCAGAGGACCCACAGGAGGGCAGAAGAGATCAAGGGGGTAGGGAGCCCCACCATCTCCTCTGCCAGTCACTCTAGGCCAATTTCCTTCTCCAAGCACAAAGCTCCGGTCTGTACTGGGAAAAACGCCCAGAAAAGACAGCCTTGTGTTATTCCTGGGTCTGGGAGTGAAGCTGCCACCCAGGGAGTCTTATCTCTAGGGCACAGACCTTGTTATTGATGACTCTATTCTGTACAATGTCCAGGATAGTGCATTGAATACAGGTGATGCTAATGAATTTGTCAGCTAACAAGTAGACTGGCAGATTCATGGGAATGCTGGCTTGGCTTGGCACTGCAACCAATCTAGAACAGACTGCCTCCATCTGACAGTCCTCTTATGGCTGGCCTCTTACGAAAGCAAACACACTGCTTTCTAGGTGCTCACTGTCAAGATAGAACCACAGAAGAAACCTTTTTTCCTCTTATTCCAGTTGCCCAGAAAGTGGGTATGTTCACAGGCTTGAGCTTGGACCAAGCTCAAAAGAAAAGGGGTCCATAGGGACTGCCCCTAGATGACTTCAAATCACAGAATTTAACAATAGAGAAAGGCCAAAGTAGATGCCAATCTTCCCCCCTACCCACAACCCCATTTCACATGAGAGGAGATGCCAGCCTTAAAGAGGTCACTGACCTCAGGTCACACCATTCGCAGGAGGACGGTGGGCCATACAGGGTTTGCCTTAATAGCTCTGTCCCGCGGGGATAGGTATGCTGCATCTTTCTAACTGGAGGTACTGATGTTTATCTTCCCTTCGGCAACAGAACACAGCGATCCCCCCTGGATGAGAGCTGGCCCATGCCAAGCAGGCAGCCACGTTCCCATCACCAGCCTCTCCTGGCTCCTGCTTGTCATGATAGAACTCTTCACTCTGCCCTCCTGCAGGCGCTGAGACGTTGCATGCTTTTCCCTCCCACTGACTCCAGTCATGTGTTAGGTGGTGAGTTTGAAGAAGTTTTAAACTCTGTTGTCTTCAAGTTTTAATATTCACAGTTAAATACTTTAGAGAAAAGAAATCAAGAAACCATAGTTTCATCAGAAAATCTAAATTCCAGATGCACAGTGGCATGTTGAACCTTCCTAGCAGTTTTGATATGGCTGTGTCACAGAGCAGTTGTGCTTCTGTCTAACGGGTTTCTAGGAGATTCCACATGTATACTCTGTTTCTACTGAAGAATTCTCTTTGCAAATGTATGTTATATATAATGATAGCAAGCAAGGACACCAGTGCCACTTCCCCTGTAGATCACTGACCAAAACAGCCAGAGGTGGCTGGCGTAAGTGCACTGAAAATCCTTCCAATGTATAACAGAACACACCAAAGCCCACAGCCACAACCTAAGGACCCATGACACCTGGAACAATCCACACTGTGTACACCTGAATCAAGTCACACCCCATACAGCTGGGATGTGTGTTGCGACACTGCAAGGTAGGGTGCTAATCTGAGAGTCTCACATAGTCATGTTTCCCCAGACCATTAAGCTTTCAACTAGAACTAAGATTTCTGCAACATCAGGAAACTTTGTCACCACTGTGAGTTGCAAGGACCTTTGCCCCTCATTACTGAAATATGTTTTGTTTCCAGCTAATGAGAAAGAATCATGTATTACAATAGAGTTCTGGTTCTTCTTTTGAACATAACTCCAAGCAAAAAACAGGCAAGCTTGTCTGGTATTATCTGTGCCAAGGAAAACAGCTACAGAAAAATACCATAAATCTAATTGTTTTGCTTGGGTTTTAATCTAAATATCAGATGATGATATTAGCTTCTTTCCTCCTTTTATCTCCTAATGCTTCTTTCAAATAGCCAATAGTTTAGAAAAAAACACCTTAGACTTGAGCTTTTATGGGTAAATAATCTTTTTACTTGGTCAAAACAGCATCAATAAACCATAAGAAGGAAGCCTCCAATTTACTTGCCTATTTGTTCTCTCCTGGAAGCTCGGTTTCACAGCTCCTTCAATTACTAGGAAAGCAGGACAGCAAATCAGGGCTGCGCTTCCTGCTCCACTGTGGCATTATTTATATGCTAAATGCCATTTGAGTTTCTTTCTTCCCTACATATTAGTGCTCAAATGTCCAAACTTCAAAAGCTATCCAAGAAGTAAACAGAGACGATGGATAGCAGCCCTTTTCTTTCTTAAATATCTGTAATGGTTAGGGTTGTTTAGATTGTTCTACTGCAACTCCCCAGAATTTGCACCTTTATTAATAGGACTTTCTCCACAACTGCTCCTGTTTACACTACAGCTGTATGCATGTTATCATCCTTCAAAGGTGCCAGTCCAATAGAAGGAGAATGACTCACATATCTGAATGAATTCACTAACAAAGCAAACTAAAATGTGGCTAACAATGGAAGAAACAACCATCATAGGGATTATTATTTGTAAAGGGAAAGAGAAAGACAACAGAAGAAAGGGAAAAAAAGGGAAGATGAGCAGCTAAGAAAAGACAGACGAGGGTATATAAAAATTGGTGTTTTCCTGTCTCCCAGGAGCCCCCTCTCACTTCACACCAGGTGCTCACCCCATCTGCCTTGCATGGTCTGAGAGAGCAATGGACAGGGTCATAAAGAAAGATCATGTTGGAGAGTCACCTGGTGTCAGGGGTTGAACGTTTTTGTCTCCCCAAAATTCTTCTGTTTCAATACACATTGGCCTAATTCCCAATGTGATGGTATTTGAAGCTGGGGACTTTGGGAGATAATCAGGTTTAGATAAGGTCATGAGGGTGAAGGCCCCATGATGGGATTAATGCCCTTATAGGAAGAGGAAGAGGAAGAGATCAGATTTCTCTCTCTCCACCATGTGAGGATATAGCAAGAAGGTGACCATCTGCAAACCAGGAAAAGAGCCCTCACCAGACACCAAATCTGCCAGCAACTTGACCTTGGACTTTCCAGCCTTCTGAACTGTGAAAAATAAATGTTTGTTGTTTACCCCAGTCTATGGCATTTTATTACAGTGGCCTAAACTAAGACACATGGCCACTTAAGAAGATGCAGGCCAAAAATATAAATAGGATCAATGCAAAATTTGACAACACAGTAATGAGAGCATCATGACAGATTATTGACAGGCGGTGACAATGAATGAGAATATGCCCTCTGAAGAGGGACAACATGGTGGGCTATCTTGTTTGCCTATGTTTCTACTGGGGGAAGAAGGCCACGTCAGATGCACCATCATGTTCTTGTCACCAGCTAAGGTTGAACCACCCCAGAATCCTTATCCATTTGCATATTATACTTCTGGACTCAAGAAAAACAGATTGTGCATCTGATCTTTCAGTTATTAACCAAAGACAGAAGTAACAGGGAAGAATGACACATCTCAGGATTATCTTTATATTTCTACCAGAAATGTAGGACATTAGTTTTTAAACACGTACTTAAGGCCTGAATCAAAAGTCTACAAAGGAAGGCTAGAATTATGTCTGAGGTCCTAACACTGAAATCCTGTATTATAAATATTACTTTGAGCAGTCTGCGCTTGACTTCCTAGTACAAAAATCAACATCAGTGAAATTTAAATATGGAATGCAAACATTTTACTAGTCACCAAAAGTCTCCAATTAAGGCAGCTAGTGAGGGGTTGGTGTATTAGTCCATTTTCGCACTGCTGTAAAGATACTTCCAGAGACTGGTAATTTACAAAGGAAAGAGGTTTAATTGACTCGCAGTTCCACATGACTGGAGAGGCCTCAGGAAACTTATAATCATGGCAGAAGGCATAAGGGAAGCAAGGACCTTCTTCACATGGCGGCAGGAGAAAGAAGCAAGCAAAGGAGGAACTTGCCAAACGTAAAACCGTCAGATCTCATGAGCACTCACTATCATGAGAATAGCATGGGGGATCCGCCCCATGATCCAATTGCCTCCCATGAGATTCCTCCCTCAACACCTGGGGATTACAATTAGAGATGAGATTTGGGTGGGGACACACAGCCAAACCATATCAGTTGGGAAAGGGCTCCTTGAGATGTCTTAGGCCTAGTAAAAGTTGAAATCAAATGCAATGCTAGAGCCCTAATAGGCACTTGAGCATTTACTGACATACAATACTTTATTGGTTTTTCTTTCCAAACATTCATAGGTGAGGCATGGGGGAAGAACTAAATATTCCCATATAAGAAATATGACCCTGAATATTTCTCTTTTTCCCCCCCAAAAGAAAACAGATGGTTTTCAACTAAGCCATGAGTACAATGAGAACCATCACTGGACATTTCTATGTCTCAGTTCTAAACACTGAATTCTAAGCATCAGTCACTCATTGCCAAGGTATCCAGTCAATAAACTAATAAACATGATTTTTTGAAAATTGCCAATCTGATATTTTATAAACTTCTTCTTTTATGGGTAGTGTGAAAAAGGGATGGCTTCTCAGAAGAGAAAAATGAGTTTCTATGCGCCTCCTAGTCCATTTAGATTTAGCTGGAGAGTTTATTTAGCTCTTCTTTATTCCAGTGTCATGAAATGCCTGTTTCTGCTTTAAGCACCATTTTCATTATGGTCAGATGCAGCCCCATTAGCCTCCTTGGCTTCCCTCCATAAACCAACAGTCTGCTGGGAGACACCTGGCTACAAATCAGGGATTTGATCAGCCATCCCCTTACTCCCTGCTTACTGGGGATATACAGTCAGAAGAGGCAAGGAAGAAGGAAAGACAGTGAAGAGAAACTCACACGGAAGGAGACAGGAAAACAGGGAGCCATATAATCACTGACTGGAAAAAGATATATGATGATGATGTCAGAAAAACAAAAAAGTATAGGAGTGGAAGTGAGACAGCTGCTTAGTTAGGAGGCATGCAAGAACAGAAATCAGGAAATAGGAGAGAGCTCTTAAGAAGGAATTTTTTTTTATTGATCATTTTAACAACTGCATTGTCCTTTTGGGAACAGGAAGAACAAGGCGTGGTGGCTCAGGACTACGAGGAGGCAACGGGTCCAAGGAGGCACCTGCTTTCCTTTGTACTTGGCCATGAAGCAGCAAAGGCTGACACTCTGGAGGCAGTGTGGCCCAATGCACAGAAGATGGAGCCTTGCAGTGAGATGGCCCTGAGTTCAAACCCCAGCTCAACATGAGTGATTCTGGGTGTTTTTCCTCCCTTCTGAGCCACTTTCTTTATCAGCTCAATAAGAAAGGCAACGTTCAATCTTGTAAGGAGAGAGTTGTCTTTGCGTTTATTGGGCACACTCCCTAAGGCAGGCTTTAAAAGTGCCTTTTCCCTATCTCACAACAAATCCATGGGGGGCAGTATTGTTGGCCTCCTTTTACAGATGAAGAATGGTTGTTGTTGGAATTTGGCGGTATAATGTGTGCAAAAGCCTTAAGCACAGTGTCCAGCACACTGCAAACAGGCAAAAAGAGCTGTTCTTGTGATTTTCCCAAGTGCCATACCTAGAAATTCGCTTCCTCCAATAACACCAGGAATGACTGAATTTTCACAAAATTGATGAGAATGATCACCTTTTAAATCAAATCCTGTCACCCTAAGCATGTCAGATAACAAATTGATAAATGTAATGAGAAAATAGGAAAAATGTACCCACTAGGTCGTTCTAAATGAGTAGCTATATTGAGAAGGAAATCTAACTCAGAATTCTTCTCATACAACTGTGGAAGACAATCTATTACAAGACGATACCTCTTGGCATCATCAAATCCTAAGGACAATCGTCTAAGGCCTGCAGAAACAAGGTAAGTGCTCTAAATGAAAGGCAATCCCGAGGATTAGTTGGACAGCTCCTTCTAATATACTGTAGAGATTGTTCTTTTTAATCTACACACAACCTAAATGCCCAGAAAGTTGGCTCAAGCTTGACACGTGAAATAATCAGGTTAAGGAGTGCTTCTTAGGCATCTAGCAAAGCATTCGGTACTAGAAGATCAAAGTCTCTCTCCAGACTCCCACAGCACTCTATTTCTGTCGGTCTGTTTAAATTCTGATTGTGATTATCTACACACAGGAAGTATGAGAAAAGGTAATGCAGGTGGAAGCCTGTGTGTCAGGATTTTCCCACATAAATACAGGACTACGGCTTTTCCCCTTGGAAGGAAAAAAAAAAAGCTAAAGTCATACATATTAACAATGGGCATGTTTTTGGTTTAAAAGAAACAACAGATTAGAGTGAATTTTTTTTTTTTTTTGAGACAGAGTTTTGCTCTTGTTGCCCAGGCTGGAGTGCAATGGTGTGATCTCCTCTCACCGCAATCTCTGCCTCCTGGGTTCTCAAGTGATTCTCCTGGCTCAGCCTCGCGAGTTGCTGGGATTACAGGCATGCGCCACCACACCCAGCTAATTTTGTATTTTTAGTAGAGACAGGGTTCCTCCATGTTGGTAAGGCTGGTCTCGAACTCCCAACCTCAGGTGATCTGCCCGCCTCGACCTCCCAAAGTGTTGGGATTACAGGCGTGAGCCACCGCGCCCAGCCCTGAGTGAATTTTCTACTGATCAACAAGAGCTAGGCAGAGAAAGAGTTCTACTACTCTTAATCTAATTAAGAATGTGGGTTCATAGTCAACCATCTGGATATACAACAGAGGCCCTCTCCTTAACCAACTCTATGACCTTGGGAGAGTTCTTCAATTTTCTGAAGCCTTGGCTCTCTTCTACTATTGGGGATAACACTGCTACTCAATACTATCTGATTACTCTAGAAACAATCTCAGGTTTCACTGAACAAAATCATACTCTGGTTATTGGAGTTAGTGAGGGTTAAGAACATGAAAAGGGCTCAGCAAAGTGGCTGGCACAAAGCACACATTCAATAAATATTATTATGATTAGTGTTAATCGGCTGAGATTGTTGAGCCATTAACACTTAAGCTAAGTCTTAGGAGTGACTGTGTCAATAACTGGAAGAACTTGTATCTGATGAAAAAAACCTTAGAAAAGATAGACAAGTCAAAAACAAGTCTGTTCCTGTGGATTTGGGGAAGGGGAATGCACAGGAATGGCTGAGTCATAAGAGAGTTGAGCCTAATACGAGAAGGGCTACTCCAATGTGCATGTTCCCTACTCCAACTCCAATGATGCTCAGCAGCCTTACTCAAACTTTCCCAAATCTGCTGTGAAGAACAAGCCGAGCAACCAAAATGAGGAGCAGCAGCAGCCAGCTGGGAATGTCCAAGAAGGAATATTCACGCATCCATCACCAACCACGTCCATCCAGAGGAAGAGCCCAGATATGGAAAGTAGCCTGCTTTGGGACCAGGAGTGAGAAAATAAGAATAGGCAACTTGTGCAACACCTCATGTGTCCTTTTGGTCCTCAATACCCAATAAGTAGGCTGCCTTTCCCTTTAAGTACCTGGCAAGCAGGGAGCAGTGAAGAACTGAAGTTGCTCAAGCCAGACCAGAAGCCTTTCTGAAACACCTTTCCCAAGGCTGACCACTGTACATGACAGTGTGGGGGTTTTTGTGTATCTACCTTTACTCTTTTCCCAAAGTGTATTCCACAAGAGTGCCGGAACTGTCTTGTACTCCATTTTAGAAGCCTTACTGGCCTAGCAGAAGGGTCTACGTGAGCATTCAATAAAAATGTGCTGAGAATGGGATGGCCTGATGGATGCAAAGCACAGTGCTGGACATGAATGGACATACAAAGAAACCCTCTGCTTTTAGAAGGTCAAGATCTGCCTAGAATGTAAGCCCCGTAGGAGTAGATATCTCCCCTAGTCCTCACAGCTACATCCCCAGTGTCCAGAACAGTGCTTGGCCTATCAATAAAAAAAAAAATAATAACATTAGCTAATGTGTATACAGGACTCACTATGAACCAGGTGCTATTCTAATTCATTTAATTAATCTGTACAACCACCCTGTGAGGTAGGTACTATTATTATCATCTCTGTTTCACAGATGAGAAAATTGAGGCACAGACGTTAAGCGGCAGGGTCAGGACTGGTATCCGGGGAGCCTGGCTCTGGGGCCCCTGCTCTGTAACCACTACACTCAACTGCCTCTCCAGGACTTAGCAGGCTCTCAATAAGTATTTTTTAAATAAATGAGTAAATGAATACATTAGCTGGCAGGAGATAGCCTGAGGGGATGTAAGTAAACCTCAAAGTATGGTAGGAATTTGAATTCTGAATCAACGGAGTGAGGATGGTGGGGATCTAACGACTGCTCTTATTATCCAGTTAGGACTGCAGGTTACAACAAGCACAGTTGTGCTCTGGTTACCCAGGTAGTAAGGGTCCACTCTGTGAGAAAGAAGAGAACGCAGGAGCCGTGTCCACAACCAGGCCTCTTAGAGACCAGAATGCAGCCCACCGCAGCCCAACTGCTCCAGCAGCTTCCGGCCATTTGCCCTACTCAGCTTCTGGGATTCGGATTCTTCTGGGCTGCTTCTTCCAACTCCACCACAATCAACTCCTCCTGACTCGCCTCTGCTCTCTCTGGGACTCTGCCTGCTGCAGCCTGAGCAGGCACACTCGTGTGCACACACCTTTTCACCCACTCACTGCCTTCTGATGCTTCACACCCAGAACAGAGGAAGGGCCAAGAATCTGCCAGTACACAGCCATAATTCCCTAGCACAGTATAAAATGTATAAAAAGTTCTGAACATCTAAAGCCTTCTCATCGATGTAGGCGCCAAAACTCATGTGGCAGCAAAACCTGACGTGAACTGATGTGAGTCTATTTAAACCTTAATTTATCTCACTTAGTGTGAATAGTCATACATTTTGCTGCACAAAATTTGATTACAGGGTACTGCTCCAGACCCTGCTGGAGAAATTAATGGTATATGAGCCATGCTACTTTTCTATAATATAAAATGTTGTAAAATCCAAAACACATTCAGATGCCCAAAGCTTTGATAAGGAGCTGTGAACCTGTGCCAGGCCGTGGAGGGTGAGTGTACTGGGCACAGCACCCATGCTGGCTGGGACCTCATCAACTGCTGGCAGTCACCGGCCTAGGTGCCCATCTCTGATCTGAGCAACCACAGCCATAGTAGAGTCACAGGGCACACACACAGCCGGACAACCTACGTGCTCCGGCCCCAGCTCCTCCTTCCACCTGCCTCACCAGCATTCTACCACTCTGGTTGGCTTCCTTTCTGTTCCTGTTTTGAGGCCTCTTGCACTAGCTGTCCCCTCTACCTGGAACGCTCTTCACCCTGATCTTTGCATACCTGACTTCTTGTTGTGCAAGTCTCAACTTGAACTTCACCTTCTAAGAGAGCCTTTTCTGGCCGCCTAAAGGAGCTGGGGGTGCTTTCTATCACAGCAGTTTTATCTGAATCACAGTAGTAAAGCTGGCTAGGTATTACATACAGAGGGTTTGTTTCTTTAGTTTCAACTTCTCCCACTCACCTTCTCCCTGTCTCCCATACCTTAGAATACCTTAGAATATAAGCTCCATTAGGACAGAGGCTTCTTAGTCATGACTGTAGCTGCAGCACCTAGGACAGTGCTTGGCACATAGCCATGGCTGAATGAACAAATAAATTAAAAAAAAAAAAAATCCAAAGAGGTCTGTAGGCATTGCATAACTGCACAGCCAGACCTATATACCCTGCCTACACAAATGACAAGTCCCAATGCTCCCAAGTAATATGGAATTTTTATACCTTCTTTGGACTTCATGTAGTAGACAATTGGGGGAGAGGTGTCATTGGAGATACCGAACAGGGGAGTGGTATAATCAAGGACATTATAGCCTTCAAATCATTTTCAAAACACAGCCAGAGATCATCTGCAACAGAATCATCTACAGAGTGCTTGCCAAAAGTGCAGATTCCAGGGGCCCACCTCCAATCTGTGGGATCAGAACTTCTACTGAGGAACCCAGGAATTCACACTGTAACAAGCACCCCCAGGCAGCTCCAAGACGCGCTAAAATCTGAGCACAATCATAGTACACTCTCAAAATTAACATTTGCAGATTCACCGGTAGCTTCAGGAGGCCAGTCTCTTGAGACCTGGAAGCCATCAGAGATGCCACGGAGAGAAGCCTCAGACAAGTCACGGTCAACTAAGAGAAGGACACAGCTCTTGTTGGTTCACCAGAAAGATTCAGCACTGTACTTCCAGTATTGAGAGGATTCCTTCTTTCCAACTCCTATCAAAAATCTGGCCATTTCATGCATGTATTGTTGAAGAGTCAGGGAGGGAGCAGGATAGGAACAAATAGTAGAGATTGAAAGCTTTTAGAATTCTGAAACCCTACTCTAGTACCAAGTTACTTGATTAAGCAAATACAGAACATGCATTGCACAAGTCTTCAAATAGTTAAATTTTCAATCTTTATAAAAAAGAAAATCCATCAGATTTGATTGATAAGTATACTTTTTAAAACTAAGAGTAAAAAAGTAAAGATTGGCAACATTTTTTTGCCATATAATTTGCTTTCTTTGCCTTTTTCCACAGCACTGCACATAAATCAAAGAAATGTTAAAGAGGCCCATATATCACCAACTGGCATTTCAAAACTATTTACAAAGTCTTTAACAGACACAGGACAGAGTATGAAAAACCATGGCCAGGGAGGCTAAAACGAAAGGGAGAAAATTAACTCAAACACTGACAGAGAGTTAATTAAGTTTACAAATAACTCTCCAATGAGCAAATTATGATATTTAATAAGAAGGGCCTCGGTGAAGCAAGGTTACAAAATAGGGAAGGAGGTGGGGAGGAAGACAAGCCAAGAGTTTTCCAAGCAAGAATAATGTATATTTGAACAAGCTGGCTTTCTATGATTAAGCACAGAAATCTGGGAACAAGGCAGGGGAAATGATGTTTTAATAAAGTCTGAAATAGGCCTGTGAGCTGCATTTTGTATTACCCTTGCAAAAAAAAGTGTCGGTGTGTGTGGGGGCGGGGGAGGGGAGCAGAGCATGGCCCAAAAATTGCAAATCAAGGTATACAGGCTATGGTATGTGAACTGCTACTAGAGTGGCAGGAGGTAGAAAAGGGTGGAGTGACATGGGCTGGCTGTGCTTCCCACACAGAAAATGTGAGGATTTCCCAAAGGCAGAAGACAACAAACTGGTGACTTATGTCCTGGTTTTCAAAGACAGGGAGGGATGTGAAAAGGTGTTACTGGTCCATCTGTTGGAGGTGGCACAAGCCTGACCAGTGTTAGGGGATTCGGGCCTCTGCCCCCTCTTCAGGGGAGTGTGCACTGGTGCCAGAGCCACGTTGTCTCAAAGACAGCGGTGCCCCTCGTGACAGCGCTGCCTGGCTCTCCAAGGCCCTGACCCAAGGGAGTGGCTCTAAGTCTAGTGGAGTCTCTGCTTCTTTGAAAAATTCAGCTTCTAACACTGCCATCACACACCAGGTACTCTTGCCCTCAGCTATTCCGCTCCAGAAAAGCTAACTGCTGAGAGCCAAAATAGTAAGAGCACTGCTGAGAAAGAGGTTTTTAAAACCAGCGTGCACCTAAAAGAGGGGAAGAAAGGCCAGTCCTTTCTTTTCAGGAGCTTCGTGTTTTATCATTTCTCCCTCCCGCGACATAATGAAATACTAGCATCCGACGGATCTTCTTAGAAAGCATACTAGAGACCCAGAGACGTTATTACTCTATTTCAAAGCAGCAATGTGCATGTCTGCACACATTTCTTAGAATCATGTGATGAAAAGAAGACCCTTCATGAAAAATATAGACCCATTAAATCAAAATGTGCTTTTTGAAATACAAAGATGCTATAGACCTATGTGTAAAAGAAAGCAAAATGTATCAAAAACAGGAGCCAGAGGCCTTCCTGTTGAACACGGCAGAATGAAGTCATGTTCACCTGCATTCTCTCCCCAAACCACTAAAATGACAGCAAATGAATAAACTCACAGTATGAGCCTACAAGGACAAAGAGAAGAGGAGACAGCAACAGAAAGAGAGGTCAACTACATTTCAGAAGACAGGAAGTAAGTGGAACAGCACTACCTTTGCAGAGTGAAGTATACTAAACACCTACCCTGAACAGAAGGGAAGGTTGGGAGGGTGGGAGAAGTCGATTTTTAAAAAGCAAGCTGAACTGCACTGCAGAATTTCCAAAGACTGAGGAAGTGGGGACACTCGGTGGCCTGGAAGGCCAGGTGTCAAGTAGGCATAAAACAGATGGACTGGTTAAATCTTTCTTGAACACCCAGATCCCTGCTCCATCAGAAGCCAGGTGGTGTCCTCTCTGGAGAGGCTGTCCTAGAGGCTCAGGGTTTAGGGACAGCTGAAAACAGGTGGATAAATCTGCACACTAAATGGTGAGCTACCCTCTACCTCAGCCTTCACCAACAGAAATAGCAATCACAGTATCCTACATGTCTCCACTATAAAAAACATTTCATAGTCATAATAATGTAAAAACCAAGTATCAATTAAAGCAATGCAGTGGGAAGATGGTGGTCTATAAAAGTTAAATCTTCATCTTCCATGGCAGAGGCAACAGATAACTTCTAAAACAGCAGTCTAAGCAGGTTATTTAGGAAAATGTGGGCAAGTATCCAAGGAAAGAGCTAAAAGAGTTAAGAGAAGCCAGGTATGGTGGGGCACACCTGAGTCCCAGCTATTCAGAGAGGTTGAAGTGGGAGATCACTTGAGCCCAGGAGTTACAGTCCAGCCTGACCCCTCCTCTAAAAAAAATAAACAATGAAATACAGACTTAAAAGGAGTTGCCTCTGAGGAGTGGCATAGCAGAGTTGGGCAAGACCAACACATCTGGTATAAATCTTGTAGTATTATTTATTTGCCTTTTAAACTACGTACTTATGTTCCTTGGATGAAAATAAAAACTATACCAGGAAAAAAAAAACAGGGCCTCAAAGTTAAACAGATCCTGAAAATGGAAGCCCCTACACACTACAAAATGTGCTTTATCACCTGGTGACTATTAGTTTACTATAGTAACACTTAATTTTATTTCAAGTTTTACTGCCACAGTTAAAGGTTTTTACAATAGCAGATGCCTTCCCTCCCACACATCAATTAATTTGCAAATTCACTCAAGGTTGTAGAAATAATGAGGTGTGGAGAGAGTTCGTTCCACTGGTGGGCACTGCCATCAGAAGGTGGATGTGGTAGGCGAGGCGCTAAGCTTGGCCGCTGCTAGCTGCATGCCATGGGAGCCTGGGCACGGGGGACGGCTCTGCCACAAGCCCACGAGCCGAGCCCACCTTGGCTGCAAATAAAGATAAAGAACGTAATGCCAACCACCTTGAAAGCTGAAAAACCATAGAAAAATTAGACAGGCAAGGCATTTTAAGTCTCATGAAATAAAATCATGTTTTTAGGCTCCTTTTTATAGGTTCTTATTTGGTGTTTACCGAGAAAGTGAACTTTTTGAGAAGAAATGATGTGGCACTCTGAATGCAACTCTGGTCTGTACTTTGGCAAAACCACCTGTCAAGCCCACACATTTGATTTTTTTTTCTTCTTTCTGAAAGAGCTGAAGTAAACCACTGTTGTTTCAAAACACAGGGGTTGAAAATAGTTACACAGTTTCTGCTCTGCCAAAGAACTGTCTCTTTTCTCATTTTCACTTAAATCTTGTTCTTTAATGACCTAAATGATAAGAGGAACAAGAAGACACATTTTCATTTGCACCTAAGCAAATAGGATTGTAACAGAATGTGTTCGTTCCCAAATGTAGCTCTTAACTAACTTGAGGGGTTGACAGGTCCCAGGAGGCAGAGCCAGTCAGGAAGGAATGCAGAATGCCACAGATCACCAGGGCCCACTTCCTGCTTCCACTGGCTTTAAGTGATGGCTCTTGTCACCTAGCCACTCTCTTGGCCTCCCCTGCCCCTCCCTCTCACAGCCCTGCGCCCAAGCCACTCTTCTCATGGGGATCACCTAGTCCCGCGCTCCACACTAAGCCTCTCTCTAGGTCTATAATAAATTGTCTGAGTGTGAATAAGCATTTCAAAAGGCTTCCTGCTTTGAGAATTCACCTTTCCAACAAATTTAATAGGTGTCTACAACAGCCTGACAGGTAGCAACATTTTTTCTTATCCACAATTGGTCTGAACCAAAAGTAAAATATCACTCAAATATTTTTCCTACCCCGCCAGCTAAAAGCAGCCCCATACATGCTGTTTGTGTCTCTAAACATATCACTCTATTAAGAACGCCTGTCATAGTCTCTGGATTTTGAGGACAATAATTTTCTTTACACAATTATGAAGGCAATCCAAAGCTCCCCTGACATTTTCTGACCTGGTATTGTCTGTAAAGGGCACAGGTTAACAATGTTTAAGAAAAGATCACATACAATATATAAATCACGAAGCTTCCTGGGACATTGTATGGTCCGAGGCTTCGGATTCAATACCACATTACCAAGAAAGAAACTGCTTTTCTTTTCACTTACACTCCATACTGGGCTCAAAAAGCACCATTAAAATGCCAACAAAGGCATTTTTGGATCTACAATCATTTGACATTTTTTTCTAAGAAAATTTAAATTTGAAAAACTTTGGTAAATTTAGAGTCTTGTGAAGTACCACCCGCCTCCCCTTTCACTCCCCTAAAAAGGGCAAGAAAATTCATCATCAAAGGTTACCTCTCCATCGAATGTCATCAGAGTGTGGTATTTCAGCACATACATTTGTGTATATAAACTTCCAACTGTTCTGAGATCTCTGCCATTATTGGCATAACTGGATGAGTTAATAACGGAATGCTGCCTTCCTAAACTCCGGTGTGGATTTGGGCTTTTTGTTTTTGCTTTTGTCAGTGTAACTTAGATCTTTGGTGTTCTGTGTGTCTCCAGATTCTATTTCGCATAAAGGTAAGAGGAAGCCACTTTCTTTCCTTTCTCCACCTCCCTAACACAAGAATCCAAGGACATTCATAACTTGGTTATTAAAAATACACTATTTGTATTTTGAAAGTTCAACCATAATGTATTCCCTTCTTTAAAAATTTTATAGTATCTACACTTTCAATTTGAGATTTTTCATTCATGCCAGGTGAGGCTCTTATGTTCTGTATTAAATGCGAGGCATGTGTGATCAGTACTATTAATAATATAACAGTGCCAATCTCAGAAGCAGCAACACAGCACCAATACAGCCCCGTATGAATAGATGAGGAGTCATGAGTACCGCTGCAATCTTTATTAAACATATGGGAATAAAGAATGTGGCTTACTGCTCTCCCCCTCCCCCAGCTCAAGAATCAAGAGGAATTTTTCCTCTCTTCCCCAAAGGCATAACATATCATTAGGTCTCATAAATATAAACAGATCTGAAGCAGAAAACAAGTGATTACCTTTATTAGATTCAAGGGAGCAAAGAAAGAGGAGTTTAAAAGTGTCCATGGACAAATAAAGATCATAAATTCATCAAAGTATGTCAGACTCAAGGACTGAGGGTCACTAAAGTCACCTACTATCACAATAAGACAAACTCCAGTCCTCACGTCTCCAAGAACTACAACCCTAACAAAGCCTGCCCTTCGCTTTGATGCTATTGCAGCGCTCTGTCCAAGGTCAAAGGGCAACTTAAGAAATGTTCTGGAAAGATGTCTGCAGAAGAATCACAAGGTACATCTCACTTTTAGGTCGAAAGGTAGCTAAAACTGAGCACGTGATCAAGAATGGAACCTCAGCGCGATAGCTTGGGTTTCTGACACGGTACCAGAAAGCCACGCCCTCCTGTCTCCTCAGCAATCTCATGTAATTCAGGGACAGCCCCTTCCCTGGCACCCAGGGGGTTCAGGAAGAGCACCAGACTATGCACTGACTGTGGCCTTCACCTTCTCGACTGGCTATGAGCACAGGTCAAACAGAAAGAAACTCAAGGTTAGGGGGATGTGACATGTAGGTCTTCATTATAAAACATCAAATTGTTACGTGTAAAAAGTGGGGAGCATTTGTGCTGAGACTTCAACTCTTAAAACTATCTGTGAAAGTGGCCTAGTTTATTCACCGAGTACCATAATCAGTTCACCGGACCATACATATGTATGTGCACACAAACAGACACCCCCCTCAAATGAGTAGTATGTAAACGGAAAAGACCAATCAAGACTCCCAGGCTACGTAACTTTTGAAACGGTAACAATAGCCTCCAAGTGTTCACTGTGGGGCAGGCATTAAATCCTTGCAATGCAATAAAGGGGAAGGTGTTCCTACAACCCACACCACCAATCAGGAAGGAGGCTTAGAGAAGCTGTCATTTGCCCAAAGTCACACAGCTGATCCCAGGTCCAAATGAGCCCAATACCTGCAGGTTGAATTACAAAGCTAACTTGTCTAGCCAAACAGCATTTCATTCATTCAATAATGAATAATGAATATTAATACATCCTGAGTCAAATGTGCCTGGCACTGCTCTAAGGACAGTACTGGGAATAAGCAACAAACAAAACAGACAGACATCCATGCTTGTGGAGAGTACACTCTAGAGGAGAGATAGGACAGACAATAAACAAAGGAATAGGTACAACATGCAGGATGTTCAGTGACAAAAAGGAGGACCATGAAAAACGCACAGGGAAGCAGATGGGGGGTGGTGACGAGAGGGCCGCAATAGTAAATAGTGTGGTAAAGGAAGGCTTTCCTGCGAAGGGACCACTTGAGCTGAAACCCGAAGGATGCAAATGCATCTTAGAGGCAATCAAGGAAACCGTCTGACAGAGGGGAAAAAATGCAAATGATCATCTCGACAGTGAAAACTCCAAGGCCTGGTCAGCCATGGTGGCTCATGCCTGTCACCCCGGCACTTTTGGAGGCCAAGGCAGGAGAATTGCTTGAGCCCAAGGGTTCAAGACCAGCCTAGGCAACATAGCAAGACCCCATCTCTACCAAAAAATTTTTAAAATTAGCTGGGCATGATGGCAGACACCTTTAGTCCCAGCTACTTGGGAGGCTGAGATGGAAGGATCACTTGAGCCCAGGAAGTGGAGGCTGCAGTGAGCTCTGATCACACCACTGCACCCCCAGCCTGGGCAATAGAGCAAGACCCTGTCTCTAAAAAACACAAAAACACAAAAAAAACCCCAAGACCACAGAGAATGGGGCCTTTGTATGACTCAATCCCATTCTGGTGCTGGGTTGTTTAAAGCAGAGAAACAGACATTTTAGAAACATGAAAAAGCAAGAAAACAAAAATATTCCCTGGCTAACGTTTATTAAGTAGGAACATCTCTTTCTCCTAACCATTTTGATAGACTCAGAATGCAGGTCTTTTGGTTTATATGTATTACTGTTTTGTTTTTTTGTTTTTATAGTCAGGGTCTCTCTCTGTTGCCCATGCTGGAGTGCAGTGGTGAGATCACAGCTCACTGCAGCCTTTAACTCCTGGGCTCAAGCTATCCTCCCGCCTCAGCCTCCTGAGTAGCTGGGACCACAGGTACATATTACCACACCCAGCTAATTGTTTCTATTTTCTTGTAGAGAGGTCTACTATGTTGCACAGACTGGTCTCAAACTCCTGGCCTCAAGACATCCTCCCACCTTGGCCTCCCAAAGTACTGGGATTACATGTGTGAGCCACTGCGTCTGGCCGTTAACTGTTTTCTGTCTGTCTTGGTCATTCATATGTCACTCGTGCCGGCATGCGCTGCTTCTTAAGAAGAGCTGAGAAAAGAGCATGGCTCTACCACTTACCACCTGGATGATTTGGGCAAGTGATTTAACCTCTCTTTATCTCAGTCTCCTCACGTGTAAAACAGAAGTTATACTATGCATACGTTTCATAGGGTTGTCTGTGAAAACACATTTATTACAGAAACATGACTCAGTCTATTTCCAGGTACAGTGTTAGGTGCTAATAAAGCTTGGAACCTCAAAGAGGTTACAGCCTGTAAGTATTGACAGACATTAAATAGGTAACCCCCTACACTAAAAATGAATGACCTTTGTGTCAAATGCCACAAAGGAAAGTCATAGGTGCTGAAAGCCTATGCCAGAAGGACAGTCCAGGCCGAAGGAACAACATGTAAAAGCAGAGGCACTGCCTGTAAAATTTGTGACCGTGTAAAGTGACAGCAACGGAGAGAAAGACAGACAGCCCAAAGAGCAGAGCAAGGAGAGCTTGGCATGTTAAAGAAAATGAAAGAAGCTGTGGGTGGAAGACGAAATGTTGAAGCACTGCGCTGGGCACAGGTGAACGCTCAGCAAAGGATGGCAGTAACAACAGATGCTGCTGCTAGGACTGAGGAGCGCGCCACACACAATCACGCTCACAGACCCCTCCGTTTATCACAGAGAACAGTAAGCTGAAGTCACAACGCGAATAAACACGCTTGAAGTGTAATCCTAATCCATGAGCTTACTATATTTACGGTTACTATACACTGGTATCTTTCTCAAACAACTTTCTGATTTAATGCTCCCTATCAGGATGAAAGCATGGACAGTAATAGTCGCATATGGTGGTTTTCAAGCCCATGGTTCAGTCAGATACCTAGGTACTAGTTCATTCAGCCACAGTGACTGCCCAACGCGCCTACACAACAGAAGAGTAATCTAGGCTTTTAAAACGGTGATTCTAACAGTTGAAAGACTAGTTACTGGCATACAAAACAAACAGTAAGCCATTGAAATCCTTGGAGCGGTTGGTAATTCATATTTCAAAATCTAAAGCTTGGATGGTAAAGAGAACAGATGGCTGTGCAATATGCAAACAAATCCACAGCAACAATGGGCTTGGGCTGGCTTCGGTGGCAATGACAGAAAACCGGAGCTACCCTGCTGGTGATGGGAAATGACAATGGCATTGCAAAGAGGCTCTGGAAACATCACCAAATGAAAGTGGGCAAAACAGTCAGGCTTTCACCGGGCAGCTGTAGACTGGGAAAAGTGCTGTGTTTCTGACACATGAGCTTTGGCTGACACACAACATGTCCCGACCCCAGACAGGAGCTGCACCTAGATCTCTAGATCTAGCAATGCAGGATATGTCATCTGCCTCCCCAACACCAGCTGAATTCTGCCTGCCCCACGAATCTCACATCCTAGGGTGCGTGAGGGTGGATTTGTGATGCATTGACGCAACCAATATGCAAGGAATCAACAGAAGTTACAATTGGGAGGGTGTATGTCATCTACAGCAGTACAAGCTGCTATTCTACTTTTTTTTTTTAAGGCCCCAAAGAGAAAGCAGCTTCACCAAGGCTACACTCTCATTCATTCATTCATTCATTCAGCAAATATTTATGGGCCAATCGCTAAAATGTGCCAGGCATCCTTCTTTTTTTTTTTTTTTTTTTTTGAGACGGAGTCTCGCTCTGTCGCCCAGGCTGGAGTGCAGTGGCGGGATCTCGGCTCACTGCAAGCTCCGCCTCCCGGGTTCACGCCATTCTCCTGCCTCAGCCTCCCAAGTAGCTGGGACTACAGGCGCCCGCCACTACGCCCGGCTAATTTTTTTGTATTTTTAGTAGAGACGGGGTTTCACCGTTTTAGCCGGGATGGTCTCGATCTCCTGACCTCGTGATCCGCCCGCCTCGGCCTCCCAAAGTGCTGGGATTACAGGCGTGAGCCACCGCGCCCGGCCGCCAGGCATCCTTCTAAGCACTCGAGAAATATCACTGAAATAAACAAAGGCTACTTCCCAGTAAGCACTCTTTTTAAAGTAAAATATACAGTATATTAGAAGATAGAACATGTTATGGTTTTTCAAATGTGCAGGGCATGGGAGTGGGCTGCAATGTTAAATGTGGTGCTTACTGAGAAGATGACACCTGCAATGTGATCTGAAAATGAGAATCTAGGTATTTGGCATATTTGGGGGCAGAAGAGTCAGCACAGAAGCTCTAAGGTGGAGATGGGAGTGTGCCTGGAATGGCTTTGAATCAGCAGGAGACAGGGAAGAAGGAAGGAGCTGAGGTGGGTGAGGGCGGCCATTGTAAGCTTTCCTCTGGATAAGATGGGTGCCGTGGCAGGGCTTCGAACGGAGTGACAGGACCTAACTGTCCTTGCTAAATGACACTCTGCCTGCTGGTAGAGAACAGGCAGCAGAGCGGAGAAGCCAGCCAGTCCATGGCAGGGCTACGACAAGAACATGGAGGTCAACCTGGTTTCATTATGGCTTCAAATGCAATTAAACACTATGATTTTGGTCTCTTTGCCTTGAACCTGGACTTCAAAATTGCAAGGAATTCCATAAACCAAAATGACTCCCAATGGAATAAAGAGTTAACGATTTCTAGATGGAGAAGTTCTCAAGCTTGAAAGCAAAGAAACCACAAAGAACACTATTAAGAGATTTGCCGTACAGTTTAACTTTATCATCAAACCTGTCACTTACCACGTGAGTGCTATGTGTCGGGCACTCTGCTGAGAGGCGGGAGAACTCAGGGGCTAGTGAAGAGGAAGCTGTGTAACTGAAGCTCTGTGCACCTCAGTTTCCTCAGCTCTCAAGTGAGAACGATAATAATAATAGTACACACGCCTCCAGGCTCTTGTGGGGACTAGATGTGTTAATTCACGCAAAGTACCTAGCATGGTGCCCCGCACATGGCAAGTGCTCAATAAGTGCCGGCCATTGTCATTATGAGTCGTAACAGTGCAGCTCCAGTACTGACTCCATCCCGAGGTACTGAGCGAAAAGAAGGTTGGGTCTCACAAGTGGCCACTGAGCTAAATTCACCGCCAGTCTGTCTGCCATCAAAGGCCACACTGGATCCAAGGTACACTTCAAGGAGGGGAACCCTACTTCAAAGGAGAGTGAGTGAACACCCTGTGTCCCAAGGACGAGTGGAAGAGGACCCAGGAAGCCAGAGTCCACCTGCTTGGCAATCCCTCCTACCCCTTAACCGCCACTGTGTGCTCCGTTCAGTGCTGGCCCTGGGGAGAAAAAGACACTCAAGACAGGGTCCTGCCTCTAGGAGTTTCACTGGCTACAAAGGACACCACTCGCCTCTGTGACTGCAGGTCCCTCCCTTATAAAAGATAGTACTTCTGTGGCCTCTCTGCTAATTCTGAAATTTCATGATTCCAAGCTTTGTTTTGTTGTCTTGTTTCATAAGACCATAGAAGGGTGAAAAGTATCAATAAAAAAGTGGGACATTTTGATAAAGAGAAAATACACAATATTCCCCTTTCACATACACTTTACGATATGATAAATTTCACTCATACCACTACACCAATATCAGCTCCTTATACATCACTTTTCAAAATGCTGTCAGCTACAAATTGATGACCTGTGAGATTTCACCTTGTCGTGCTCAGCATCAGTCCCCGCATATGGGCTGCCCAGCACTAAACAAAGCTGCTGCCAGCCACCAGGGGCCTCAGTCTCTTCCCTGCGGCGGGGAAATGAATTATTAAAAGATTAAAAAGCAAATGCCATCACCTTTTTGCTTTATTTCCCTGTGGGAGAATACTTTAAACCAAACTAGGTAAGAAACCGCATGGCAGGTTGCTTAAGAGCAGCCATTTATACACAGAGAAATCTAAGTTGGGATGAGAGGTGGGGCCGTGGAGAGCGGCTGGCTGGTCTTAGGCGGCTCCACATGCAGAGAAGGCATCACCTGACGAGAGACTGCCCGTACAAATGTCACGAGAAAGCTATAAATAGGGCTTTAGATCTATACATTGGGCAAAAGTGTGGTGTGGAAAACAAATACTAAGGCAGCATGTTTACTTTTAGCTGGGAGCAGACGGCAGAGCTTAACTACACCCAGACCTTCCAGCCCATCAGGCTTCAATCTGGTCAAGGACATGAAGGTCCCAGCAAGGAGCACTCAAGGTGACAAAGTGCTCGGCTCCACCAGCACATCTCTGTTTCTGCCGGTACGCCCTGTGCACGTGCACACACACCGCACACTCAAGCACCAGCACACACGGCAGGATATTCTAGGAAGGCCCAGGCAACGGTTTGATTTCCTCCCATATGCTTTGTCAAACAACTAGGTGCTTCCATCATTTTCCCTCATGTTGAGATTAGGGGAGGGGAGGGGGCCACAGCCTGGTTCCAAAGAGTTAAGCTGCACTCGCAGCCAGGACCCAGAGCCACTGCCATCTCACCACTCCAGAGGCAAGGCGTACAATTTATCTGGAAGCAGTGCAACACAGCAGCCCTGCTGGCAGCTGTCATCAGACCACACCACGGGCAGCAGAGAAGAAGAGCAGAAGGGAAGAACAAGAAAGAGGAAATAAAGTAAAGAGGGGTAGAGAGAAGAAACAAAAAGAGCAAAGGGAAAAAGAGGGTTGTCAACAACTGCCTCTGTGTCCCTCAGCACCTAATGTGGGCTGTGAGGGAGACGACAAGCTCGCTAACAGAGCAGAGAGGATGGCAGTGAGGGTCCAAAGTGGGAGAGTAGACAGTCATGCTGAGAGCCCAGACTTGAGTGGACTGAACTGAGCACGCACACACGACTAAAGAGTCTGCATATTTTCATGGCTCACACATCCACTCTCACACCATCAGCTCTGTGATTTGGGTGCAAGGAAACATTCTGTAGACACCAAGCTTTGGGAAGAACCAGGTATGGCATGTAGGGGTAGCACCAAATGAACATTTAACATAGGGGACTGCAGTTCTGCCAGACAGTAACCATCATGCTACCGACTGCAGCGTCCACAGAGCTCAGTCGCTCCCCATCTTCCTGTCGGGCACTGCAAGCACAGCCTCACACGGCGTCAGAAGGCCTGCAGTGCCCATGTGTGTTGTGACAAAGCTCGACTGAAAGATGGACAGTCACAGGATGTATGGAACAAAATGAAAGAGATTACTTTTTAAATTTTTAAATAGTCAAATAGTCAGTGTGCTGAAAAATTTGTTCTTAAGGGCCAAAGTCCAAATCAGTACGGTATGGCAAAGAAGAAAAGGGAGAAGCAATTACGTGCAAACACGTTCGTGGGGCCTGGCCTACGGTGGCAGCTGCCGCTGACTTTCTTCTTCTCAAGAATGCAAATGATTAAGATAGATTAAATACCTACTTTGCTTAAATACTCTTGATAATGAGTTTCTTTCCTTCTTTTAAGGGTGTTTGATGTTGGCAGTTGATGGATCTTGAGTTAAATTGTTTTAATTCAAAACAGGACCATCTGTTGTTAGGATCTGCCGGCACTGCAGAGAACCAGGGGAGGTGACAAAGTACGTGATCTAGAGATATGTGGAGACAGGCAGGTGGCGGGGTGGAAAGAGCACGGCACGGGAAGCACAGACGCTGCCAGTCTTGTCCCAGCTGGGCTGCTGAGTGGCCACAGGATCTGGGACTCAGTTTCTTCCTCTACAAATGAAGAGGCTGGCTTAAGGATGACAAAGATGATGGTGACGGCCATCACTACCGGCAGCTACAGTTATTAACCCATGCTGTGTGCCAGGCACGGAGAAAAGGCTTTCACTGAAACAGTCTCATGGACACCCTATTTATACATTGTATAAACTCTTTATGCTCGAAAGTGTGTATACTGATGTTGCCCCCATTTTACAGATGAGAAAACAGGCTTCACGAGGTAAAGTCACTTGCTGCAGGTCACAAGGCAAAAAGGAAGTGCCAAGAGGTATGAGACTTCAACGTCTGCACTCATAACCACAATGCCATACTGCCCAGGGACCTCTGGGACTGAAGATCCCACAATTCCTGCCCCTCCTTTATCCACAGTCTAGTGGCCACAATCTGCATTCACCGTGAGTCAGCACTGAAGGAAATGCCAAGAAGAACACTAAGCATTTCTGATGCTGGAATCTTAGATCTATGAGTGGACCCTGCTGCACACACCACCATTGCAAGTTAGATCTTATTTCACTGGGCTTCACTTTTAATCCACATCTGTGACCTGAATGTTGATGTGAGTTATAAAAATTAGCAAAAACTGAACTAGAGCCAGTGGAAAATCCCCAGCATTTGACTTTTTGAAAGGCTAGCCATCTTTCAAGATAGGTTTATTCATTTGGAACCATGGTATTGATTGTATAAAAGAGGTGATCACGTACCAATTAATCATGTGTACATTACCTTTGCCAACTCTAGCTATGGGAACAAATTAGAGAGGTCAATACACAGATATCCCATAGACCATAGGTACTTTTGTTTTTGAGGGACAAGGTAAGTTTTCTAGTAACATCTGGAGTAGGCAAATGTAAAACTCTCAGTAATAAGAGCACTGCTTCCCCAAAATTTAAATGACTCTTCAGAAAAAATCTATATAGTTAAAACCAATAAAGTTAAATCTATATAGGGTGAGGGTCAAAAAAACCACAATACTATCAACACAATGAGGAGGTATTACAGTGTTTCAAAACGGAAAGAAAAAGTAACACTTATACTAGAAGTCCAAGATTTGGGTGCTAGCATCACAGTTATTTTCACTGCCAGACCCTGAGCAACTTACTTGACCTTTTAAGGCTTCTATTTTTTTTTTTTCTTAAAAAAAAAAAAAGGAATAAAGATGTCTGTCTTCAGGAAATAATAAACTCAAAATTCAGTTAGGTGGGGTACATTGGAGGAACTAGAAGGAGAGAGGGAGAATGAGGAGGGGCTCATAACACACGCACAGGAACTGCTGCCTGCTCTGTTTCATAAGCTGGGAGCAGGTACATGAGCATTTATTATACATCTGCATTTCACATATATGATATATATAGTTTCATACATAAAATCTTTTGTAATTTAAAAAAGAAAAAACCCTTCTAATTCCACTATTACAGAGATAAAATGAAAATATATGCTTCAGAAAAGAGTAAACTGAAAAAAATAATTTTCAATTAAAACTCACATTAACTGATTTAATAAGGAATTCCTAATGGTAATGGAATTTATGATCCAGGAAAAAGGTTCTTAGGGCAAAAGAACCAAAGCTCTACAGTATAGTAGAGGTGGAAGGAGCGTGGATATCAATAAGAAAAAAATGCCACACCAAGCAATGCAGAAAGGGCAATGGCATGAACTTACAATGTGCAAAAGATGACATGCAGGTCCCACCTTCCTTCAGGGCAACTGGCAAAGACTGTCTTCTCATCTCCATACCCAGTGCTGACAAACCGTGAAGGGAAATGAGACTCATACACCGTAGTCAACTGTGTCAACTGGCAGGGATGTCTTCTTGCTGATCTTTGCTATATTCTCCAAAATTTATATAATAAATGTGTTACTTTGATAATTTGAGATGTTTTTTAAAGTCCCTCATGAGATAACAAAGGAAAAGAGAAAAAAAGTCACAGAGGGACAAAGGGTAGATGGGAAAGAAATAGGGAGGGGAGGAGGGAAGGGAGAAGTACTCTGAAGTTTGGGGGCAGACACAAGCCTGGCTCCACTGCCTGGTGGCTGAGGGACCTGACATGGGCCACCTAACTCTCTAGACTGTTTTCTCCTCATTAAAGGAGGAACAATAATGCATACGTCATGGAGTTGCTTCTAGGTTCAGCAATTGTGTCAAGCACCTTGCACAGTGTTTGCTCATTTATAAATGCATGATAAACTTTCTTTCTCTTACGCTTCTTACTTCTCACTCCCAGCGCTTTTTCAGTGATCTTGCATCAGAAACTCCCAGAGGGAGAGGGAGAAGGAGACAGAGATGGAGAGAGTAACCATGAGATGCTCTGTCCTAAGGGGCAACACGAACAGAAGGTGAAGACGAGGCCGACTTCACCTCTTCCCTGGGTGGGTGCTCTACCGGCAGCCAGGCCGCCCACTGCACCAGATTTTCAGTGTGTAAGCTAACTTTGTTTATCCTTAACTGCTTTGCAGTTGGATCTGCTGACCTCACATCTGAAGGACAACTCTGTATCTGCTTCAGTGATCAAAAGCAGTCCACATTTTACCCTCAATGCCATGGCTGGAAAATTCCCTGTAGAAGCCAATCAAATGAAGACACTCTAATTTTTTTTCCCCTTCATTTCTGGTTAGTTTTCATTTAATGAGAACTCTTATCATTCAAGTCAAAAATGAAATTTATTTAATTCAGTGGAAATACATTAAAAACAGGAAAAAGTTTTAATTTGGAGTGCTACTTCATACCGTACACCAAAAGTAATTTTAGATCAATTAGAGTTAAAAGTATGAAATCAAATCACAGAGAAATATGGGAGGAAAAACAGATGTGAACGTCTCACAACTACTAAGTTTCAAAGAGACAGGTGAAAAGAAAAAGACCAACAGATTTGGCTATGAAATTTAAAATT
This sequence comes from Homo sapiens, assembly GCF_000001405.40. Taxonomy (NCBI): domain Eukaryota; kingdom Metazoa; phylum Chordata; class Mammalia; order Primates; family Hominidae; genus Homo; species Homo sapiens. The sequence goes on from NC_000009.12 coordinate 132,045,071, forward strand.
TGTATATGTTTTTAAAAAAGAAAATATAACAAAATATAAGGCAGACAACAAATTGGGGAGATACTTTAAAAAAACAAAAATGTCTAAAATTAATAGATTTAAGGAAAACAAAGACAAATATATGTACCAAGTATGCCAAGATAGATACTCAAGATTGTTCCCTGCAGGCATATTTGTAAACATAAAATAGCTAGGCAACATATCTATCGATACAAGAAAAGTTAAGTAAATTACAGTACATTCATATAATAGAATGTTGTATGTATGGTGTACATACATATGATTTGTATGTATATTGTTGAATGAAAGAAAACTCGAAGATAATGTCTAAGAAGAGGAAATTACACACACACACACACACACACACACACACACACACACACAGACACACACCTTTTACATGCATAATAAAAGGTTCTAAGAAACTATTTGCCAGCCATTAACAGTGGTTATATTTGAGTGGTAAAGGGACAGGATAGGAAGGAAATGCCAACCCAGCCATTCACCCTTGACTTTTTAGGCCTCTATTATGTTTGTTTGCTTGTTTTACAACAAACAGATATAATTCCAAAGGAACTAACACCATGGCAGCCACTTCTAACTGCATGTCAGTATTTATTCTCCACTACGTTTTGAGTTACGGAACTCCAGTTTTTTAAACAGGATTCTTTGCTGCCCAGCTAAAACACTCTGTTTCTCAACAACCCTTGCAGCGAGGTAGCCAAGTGTCTAAGTTCTGACCAGTAAGAAGTGAACAAAATGTTATCTGTAGGTTCTGGGAAACCTCCTTAAAGCTCATGAGTGTTCTCTGTTCCTTCTTCTTCACTACTTCCTCCAGGTTGCTGCTAGGAATGAAAGCCTAATGGCTGGAGCTCCAGCAGCCATACTGGACAACTTGGGAATAAAAGATACATGTGGCAAAGCAATAGGATAATGGAACCTTGGTCCCTGGAAATACAGAGCTCCCAGACCAACTCTGTGATATTTTGAGAGGTTTATGTTATTTTATAGTTAAAAATGACCACGTATAAATATGAACACTAAATTTAGCAAGTAGGCAATGGATCAGAACTGACGAATCGAGAGAAGAAAAGAGATATGTTAAGGTAATAAATATACAGGCAAAAGTTCAACCACACTACTAATTAAGAAAATAAACTAGCACGGTAAACTGCAGTGGTTCACCTATCAACTAAGTAAAGATGAAAGTAGTTTTATTTTGTTATTTTGTGTTGATTGTTTTGACAATTTTTTCTAATGCTCACAAAAGTATACTGAAACAGGCCAACTAATATTGCTATGGAATATAAACTGGTATAGCTATTTTGGAAAGCAATTTAGTAATAGGTACCAAGAGTCTTTAAAAAAAAAAAATCCATACATTATTCTGGATGCAAGTAAGACAGAGGGAGTACTCTCCACCCTGACTTTCCACTGAATGCAGCTATAAAAGCTGAACAGAATATATGGAGCAGTTATTCGAGGACTATGAAGAGTAAATAGTAATGGCTGAAATCATCTGTTGGGTTTTTCCCGTCTCTCCATTCTCTCACGTCCCAGCCCCCAAGCAATCGTAGCAGTGGTGATGACACTGGCATTAGCAGCTGCAGTGGGAACCCAGAAGAGCCTAAAATGTTGAGGGTAGAGAAATTTCCTTTCCAGTTAAAGGAACAGTAGTCCCAAGAGAGTGAAGGAATCTGTCCCCCGCACATACGCACATACACACACATGCAACCTTGCTTTTATTCTCTCTCTGCCCTGCTACAGTTTTGTCACAAATACAACTGTGAAAGTACCCAGCAGAGCAGGGCAAATAAAGCCCCAGTTTTTTGGCTAAGGAATCAAAAAGGAGAGCCTCAAGAAAAGTATAAGAGAGATTACACAAAAAGAGGCACTTGGAAAAGTTACCTCATAAAGTTGATGAACTCCTGGCTTCATCCTTAAGCTGAACATGCATAGGTTTCACCTTAGAGAGCGTATGTGGTGTGTGTGTATATATATACACATGCAATCTTAAAGATATGTATGTAAAAGACCATATATCTATATATATCTTTAAGATTGTACTTGTTTCAGGGATCTCTCTGCCTTTACAGCTTTGCACCTCAGTTCAGTATTACCCAGAGAGAAAATAACCACGTGGAATGTGAACGTGTATTCAGCAGCAAAGACAGAGGCAGAGCATGAGATGAGGGGAGGAGGAGCAAGAGTGAAGGACATAAGAGATCGATAACCACGAGGAAGAGTACCAAATACAGTTGGGGTCCCATCTGCAAAATGGCAGAAAAGAGCCACCCATATACAGGTAACCTTACAGTTTAAGGCCAAACTGCTTGGCAATTTTAAAATGCTTCATTTCATAATGTTTTAGACACACACACACACACACACACACACACACACACGTCTTAGTCCACTTGGAACCTGTATAGTGGTTCAAATGGTGACCTATGGTTTTGTAATAAAGCTTGTCCAAATCACGAAAAAAAAAAATCCATACTCTTTGACCCAATCATTCTTCCGAGACTCTATCTTTAGGAAATACTCCTAAGCAAAAGATATTTATGCCATCAATATGTGTATCAGTGGTAAACAAAATTTCCAACAACAAGAAAATGGTATGAGAAATTATAGTGCATGCCCTGAATGGAATATTATACAGTTTTTAAAATCCAAATTTTCTGAATACTATATAATAACATTATCATATAATATCATAAAAATTCGTAAGCTATAGTGGGAAACAGGGTGAGGCTAGTTTTCATTGCATATCAAGAATGAACACAACAAAGCTAAAAACGAAAACATTTACCTAGAAAAAAAGACTAGAAGGAGGTATAAAAATGCTGATGGTGTTTAAAGCCCATTTATGCCTAGTGTTCCATTATTGGAACACTAAGCATGTGGGAGTTATTTATATCCTACTGCTCAAGGTCATTGCCAAGGTCTGATCGCAAAAAATTCAAAAACTGCAACCTCAGGTATACATTGGTTAGGTGGTGAGATTATAGATAACTTTTTTCTTCTTTCTGCTTTTCTGTTTTTCAGGCTGGGATAATGAGCACATATTACTCTGAAAACAATAATTAACCATCCCCTACAAAATAATAATTTTTCTTCTATCTTGCAAACATCCTTGACATTATCTCTTAGGATACTAAGTCATGTTATAGATTTTCCAATCACAATTTTTCTCTCAGGAATGGAAAAAAAAAATGTTTCTTGAATGCAGGAATCTCAATTACTCGTTTCCAGTCCTCCAGTCAACCACTACGGAGAGGAAAAACATTCCTACAGCTGATAGTTAATAAATAATGTGAAATTACTCAGAACTTTCATATCAGACCATTCCTCCTTATTAGGGAAAAAATTAATATGACACATTTGCAAGAACACCATTCCAAAGTAGTTTGGTCTCTGTGGACAATTACAGAATGTCAAGCTGTCACACAGAACGCCACTAGTAACTAAACTGTTCTTTTGATTCATCATAACTTAAAGGTCCCCAACCTCCCAAACTGTCAAGAAGGCCCCTTCCTTTCCATCTGTTCTACAGCCCCATGCTTAACATGAAAGGCCAACAGCAGAACCCCTCTGGACCTGTCAGCTCGGTTCATCAACCGCTCAGATAAGCCAACCCCACTCTGTGGCCACGGCCCGTCCTTCATCCGACACCTGCATCACGGGGGTGGCGGGCAGGGCTTTGGCAGCATGCTGGGGTGTCATGCCATTCATGGTAGGATTTCCGTGGGCAAAAGAGACCATTTCTAAACCACAGACAACTGGCTGTGACCAATTTTCAGGATAAAAAATGCACCCTGGGTTTTGCCCTTTAAGCACAGGTATAACTGCTTAGTAAATGAGAGATGTCCTGTTAAAAGCAAATAGCACCAAAGGGGAACACAAAGTCAACTATGGAACTTGGGCAATTTGGAGTCTTCTTCAATCTTCCTGAAATGTGATTAAGCATGACCTTTAAGAGTAGTGGAGCAACCAATCAGTTTTGGTGAAACAACCTTGGACAAGACGAAAGAGCACACGGCCTGGATGGAGGAGCCCACCATGGCAGCAGAGCCTAACCACCTCATTGTGCAGGAAAAGTTACTGAGGTTTATCTCCATTGATTTTACTTGCAAGAAAAACACATCAGAAAACTTCAACCTCAGCAGGACACTAAAGGTCGGTCTTGGCTTCTGGAGGGATGAACTTGATATCAATAGTTATTAGGACACATTCATACAAGATACACAAGAGTGATGGAGAGAAGATACTGGTAATCTTACTTAATCCTGGTGTGGCCCTAAATCAGGCTCTGCAGACTGTGGGAAAAATCAAGCAAAAACTTCAGTATTCCTGAGATGAGCTTCTGCAGGCATGTGCTCACACTGGAGCCAGAGGGAGAGCAGCGGTAAAGTGGTCATTCTAGAGCCCAGTGGGGAGGAGGCAACAGACTGGGAGCAGGAAGACGGCCAGCACGGTTGCCACACTCTCCTCTCAGCTCTAAGGGACAGGCTGGCAAGGTCTGGTGAATGTCCAGCAGAATACGGTCAGCCCAGCCGGGAAACCAGCACAGAGCATCATAGAGAACTTGGGCCTGGACAGGACCTTCCAACCAGAAAGGGCTGAGAACAAAACAAAGCAATGTGAGCACTCCGAAGCTGCACACTTAATCTCTGGCCCACCAACTGTCTGCGAGACTGGCTCCCAGAAGCCCACATCACCCTAACCACACATTCAGCTCTCAGAAATAGGAGGAAACTGAAAAGACTGCCAAAGAGAAATGGGGGAAATCCAAAGAAACCCAAAAAAGGTAAAATTTCTTCTAAAGAATCCAGAATTGGAATGTCTGTATGTTTTACACTATTTTAAGTTAAACTATTTTTTTTTTCCTCAAACCTAACACTACAAAGAGTCCTTGAGTTCAAGGCCAAGAAATTGGAGAAATATAACATGGGATGGGCCTGATCATACTTATTACCAACTCAACAAATATCAGGGCGTTGCTCATGATGTAATCCGAACAATCCGTCACCAAAAATCAGGAAATAAGGGTTCCGGCCACAGCTGGGTGGGTGTGGTCAAGTGTCCCAGGAGAAGGGACAGTAAGCAGGCCTTTAAGGATGGGAAGGATCAGGGAAGAATTGAGGAGAAAAGTTTGTTTCAGAAAAGAGGCACCATGTGAACAAAAGGGAAATCTGAAAAGTACCAGCTATGTTCCAAGGACAGAAAATGGAACAGTCTGACTACAGAAGGCAACGTGCAGGGCCTCAGATGGGAGATGAGGGGCGGTCCAGGTGCCGGGCTAAGGAGGACGCTTGTCCACGGGATCACCACTGAAGATGCTGACACAGCCCGTGGGAAGACAGCCCACTGCATGTGGCAATTAACAACCTGATTTTGGCTGAAGGTGTCCAATGAAGACAGTCGCTCTGTAAAAGACAGGGTCCAGGCCTGATTATGTTCACAGGGAAAAGAAGAGTAGGAAATCAATATAAGTTATAGATATCAAGAGCCCCTTTTGTGACAGCAAGAAATACTAACAGCTTCAACTGCAGCAGAGTGCCTTCCAAAGACTCCAAGGCTGGACTTGCAGTTTCCTCTGCTGGAAGGCGCTCTCCAGACACCACATGCAGGCCTCTGCTCAGACTCTGCTCTCCACACAGGCCTGCCCCCAACCCCATCAAAGGGACTCACCCCCGTCTTTCTGTAGCCCTTATCCTGCATGATTTATCACTACCTGCCATTGCTTTTATAGTTTTGTCTCCCCCGGCAGAATGTAAGCTCCATGAGGGAGGGTGAGGGCTGTGAGACCTTGACTTTTTCATTACTACATTGTCAACATCTCGGCATATGAATGGCACTCAATAACTACTGGATGACTGAAAAGACTCAATGATGGCCTTATTCATGTTTCTCCAATCATCACTTGTCCAGGAAACCCTAGGCTCAACACATGCATCTATACAACTGCACATTCACCCACACACACTGCAGCGAATGTTCTAATGGATCCATCCTTTTTCAAATGAAGTGTCAAGACACAGCAGTTTTTGTAATCAATTATGAGATGTGTCCCAAATAACATGTTCCCGATAACAGTTAAAGTACATGAGATTATCAATTATTTACTGATAAATTAGATCAGATTCAAGGTTATCCCTAATAACATTTCGGCCACTCATTTGCATTCCAGTAAGCTTTCCTGAGTGGGAAAGAAAGGGGTAGAATTACAGCTAGCTAGTACATGGATTTCTGAAAGGATTAACCCAAATGCCAAATGTACTTTGTTCTGAAGTCTAACTACGTTGGGGAAAAAAGAGGGCTTGTCTTGGCCACAGAGTCCAAGGCTCCCTGTCTCAGAGGCTCTACGTTCTTTCTCACCCCATCACTAGAGCTGATGCTTTTCAAAGCCCTATCCCATCCCCTGCCCCTCCTTAGCTAGACATAAAGACTGTGGAAATATGCACAGTGAAGGAAAAAAGGGTTAGGTCAAGCACTCATCTACATGGCCCAAGGTTCCTTCCAGCCTCCAGATCTGTGTTGTCCAACATAGTGGCCACTGGCTACAGGAGGCTATTTAAGTTTAATTAAAATTAAGTAAAATAAAAAACTTATTTCCTCAGTAACACTAGCCACATTTCAAGAGCTCAACAGTTACATGTGGCTAGTGGCTACCACGTGGGATAATGTGGATACAGAACATTTCCATCATCACATAAAGTTCTATTGGCGAGCACTGCTCTGATCCCAGAAAATATGTCACATATCACATTAAAACCAGAAGAATCCCGATGGACGAGACTGAGGTGCCAAAACAGGTCCCTTTCCTTGCCATTTTAACTACGATGAGAAAGTTTAGCTTATAATAGTTGATCAAAAGATGAATAAAACAAAACAACTGTGTTCCAGGAAAAAGGGCAACAGGAGAAAATAACATGGCTCCATTCAATCCGTGACTTGCCTCATCCAGCCCAAGCATGAGATTTCGCGAGACAGGGGTGGGCAGCGGCATAGCTCTGACAATCAGAGATGGATGGCAACACAGAGAGGGAACACCAAGGGGGAAAACGGCACCAGCAGGCCCTGGGTCTCCTGGCTCTGACAAGGTCGCCTCAAGACAACTTCATTCTTGTACATTTCCTTTAAGAGGGGTCAGTTATTCGTCTACAAATTTCTGCTTCAGAAGCAAAATCAAAACACTGTGGACAAAAGCAGACATTTAATCTGCAAACAGTCCCTATTTTGAGGTTGAATAATGAAGGTTAAATCCACGCAGTAGTGATCTATTAGTTATACAATATATAGGTTTTTGAAGTATGTAACAGCTATCAGGATAAAGCCTAATAACTCTTTGTAGAGGTCACATTTCAAAGCTAAGATTTAAATACATACACAGGGAAAAAAAATCTCTCTGCAGCAAAGCCCAGCCAAACACAGGTGCAGTGAGAGTTTCCACACCACATTCCAAGTCAGCTGAAATTACCTGTCTATTCCATTCTCTCTCTTTTAAAAAAAAAATAGTGGTTTCAGCGTAACCATCACCTGAATAGTATACATCGTCGCTGTTAGGCAATTTCTCATCCTTCCCACCCCTCCCACCCTCCCACCTTTCTCCGTCCTCAATGTCTATTATTCCACTCTCTGTGTCCATGTGCACACATTATTTAGCTCCCACTTAACAAGTGAGAGCATGCAGTACTTGACCTTCCATTTCTGAGTTACTTCACTTAATAACCTCCAGTTCTATCCATGCTGTTGTAAAAAACATAATTTCATTTTTCGTGGCTTAGCAGTATTCCATGGCATGCACACATCACACCTTCTTTATCCAATCGTCTGTTAATCCACCTTCCATTCTTTATGAGTGTGCTCTTTAAGGTTCCCACGAAAGGGCTGCTCAGGGCTGGGCGGGGTGGCTCATGCCTGTAATCCCAGCACTTTGGGAGGCCGAGGTGGGTGGATCACGAGGTCAGGAGATCGAGACCATCCTGGCTAACACAGTGAAACCCCGTCTCTACTAAAAATACAAAAAATTAGCCGGGCGTGGTTGCAGGCACCTGTAGTCCCAGCTACTCGGGAGGCTGAGGCAGGAGAATGGCCTGAACCCAGGAGGCGGAGCTTGCAGTGAGCCGAGATCGCGCCACTGCGCTCCAGCCTGGGCGACAGAGCGAGACTCCCGTCTCAAAAAAAAAAAAAAAAGAAAAAGAAAGGGCTGCTCAGACACCTGTGAGTTAGGCTGGCTGCTGAGAAAACATGATAAGGGAAAAAATAATGGGGTACGGAGGTGCTAATTTTGTTAGGATGAGCACCAAAGATCTCAATATAGTACACCAGGGAGAAAGAGATTTGGGTACCTAGCAGAAATGCTTACCTCTTGTAACAAAAAAAAAAGGAAAAGGAAAGTCTATTGAGAGGCTTACTATGTCCCAAACTCTGCAGTGAATAACTTATAGACATTACTGCATCCTCACAATAACCCTACAGGGTGGACACTATCCCGTTTCACAAGAGAAAATTGAGGCACGGAGACATGAAACAACATGCCTGGAGTCACACCGCTGGGAAACAGCAGAAGCAGGCTGTGGAACCAGGCTGCCTGCGTCCAGACCCAGCTTGGTAACTCTGGGCCACACTCCCCATCTTCCTGCTCTGCTTCTCCTACTTTTCTCCAAGTTTTCAGACAAAACAGTCGAGCCTCTTCACCAAATACAGAGTTCCCCAAAGCGTGGAGTGTACCCCTGGTGAGTACCAGGTGATTCCTGGGTAGATCTCAGGGGAACACTGTTTCTCATTTTAGTGTTTATATATTTATTGTAACATGTATTGGGAAAAAATATATATAAATTATATATAATATGCAAATTATAAACAAAATTAACAGATTAGATAAGTGACAAAATTTCCTTCTTAAAACAAATGTATTCAGAAAAAAAAAATCTGCTTAAAAAGATATCAAGTAATCAAAACTAAAGATAATATGGGAGTGTGGCAACAACAACAAAAACTCAAGAAGGTAGCATGCTGATATAGTTTGGATATTTGTTCCTGCCCAAATCTCATGTTGAAAATGTGATCCCCAGTGCTAGAGGCGGGGCCTGAAGGGAGGTGTTTGGGTGAGCGGGGCGGATCCCTCATGGCTTGGTGCTGTCCTGGCCATATTGACGTCTCCTTTAAAAGTGTGCGGCACCGCCCCGCTCCTCTCAGTGCTCCTGCTCTGACCATGTGAGGTACCTGCTCCCACTTTGCTTTCCGCCATAAGTAAGAGCTCCCTGAGGCCTCCCCAGAAGCCCAGAAGCTCAGCAGATGTCCCGCCACGCTTGTGCAGCCTGCAGAACGGTGAACCAATTAAACCTCTTTTCTTTTATTTGAGACAGAGTCTCACTCTATTACCCAGGCTGGAGTGCAGTGGCCGGATTTCTGCACACTGCAATTTCCACTTCCTGGGCTCAAGCCATCCTCCCGCCTCCCAAGCAGCTGGGACTACAGGGGCACGACCACACCCAGCTAACTTTTTTTGTATTGTTTGTAGAGATGGAGTTTTGCCATGTTGCCAGGTCTCAAACTCCTGGGATCTAGAGATCCACTCGCCTCGGCCTCCCAAAGTGCTAAGATTACAGGCATGAGCCATCACGCCCCACTACCTCTTTTCTTTATAAATTCCCCAGCCTTGGGTATTTCTTCATTGCAACCCAAGAACAGCCTAACACACCTGCAAATCTAATTTTTAGATTAAGAAATTTAGGAACCTAGTTGTTTTGTTTACCTTTGCTCAAACTGTCCTTTCTACCTGGAATATTCTCCTGCCCTCCTCCCTACCCTCCACGTCTGCCTGTCAGAAGCAGTCACCCTTTGGGGCAGGCCAAAACTCTCCCCTGGTCTTCTCTAGGGTACCCTCACCAGTGCTGCCTCCTCCTCAAGCCTCTCAGAAGGGCGCTTTCTTTGACCATCCCAGCCTCACTGCTCCCTCCTGCTGTGTACCCTGTGGATCTGCTTCCTTGCTGTCCCCCTCACTGCCCTGGAAGCGCTGTGAAGGCAGGGCCTTCAGTTGAGCATACATCCCTGCACATAGTGGGCCCTCAAGAAGCATTTCCTAAATGACCAAGCTGGGGCTCCCCCAGCATTCTCAGGAGACAGGATTAAGTATTCTTCATTTCTGTCAGCAAACAGGAAAAGGTACAAAATAGTTATGCCCCCAATATTTCCTGAAACAAGGGACCCAAGCAGGAATCTCCCAGACTGAATCTATAAGGAACTGGAAATTCTTTTTCATTAACGCTCACCAAGTTTTATTGCAACTCTGCAGGCCTAAGCCCAGATGGAGCTTTTGTAAGTCCTCCACAATGGACCTAGTCATCTATGAGTACTTTATAAACAAAATACAGTAATTAACCTTGGGACCATCGAAAACCACATGAACAACCAGACTAAATTAATATTTACAAGATCAAACAGGACAGCAAAGACGATTAGATCAAGGAAGATTTAGATGTGGGTCAACTCACACTGCAAACCACAAATGAAATCTGCTATTAAGATGCCTTATACTCACTCATAGCACTCATAAGCCACCTCTAAGACAGAACATTAGGACAGGTAAAGCATCTGGACTAATATCAGTATTGAGAGGACTCCCCATTATCCATCCGTTCACTGGAACCAAGAAAGCAGCCGAGACCATTAAATCCACAGATAACACAAAAGCCTCATTTTAGTCAAACCTCCACCACAGTGCAATTGCAATGATTAACAACGCTAAGAAAAGTAGCCATTTATTGAGTCCTTATGATGTGCCAGATGCCACTTTAAGTACTTCAGGGGATTTAATTCATTGAAGCCTTACAACAACCCACAGAGGCAGCTGCCAGCTTAGGCCCATTTTTCAGATTAGGAAGCAAAAGGAGATTAATTCGCCCCCAGGACAGCCAGGAAGGCAGTGGTAAAAGCAGGGTCTGAACCTGGCATCAGACAGGGCCTGTGTGCTTAATCATCATGTCATACTGCTGTACACCTAAAATTGCAATTTTATCCTCGAATATAACAGGCATAACATTTGCTCACATTTCCATCAAAATAACTATGGCATATTTGCTTGTTTCATGCCTTCCTTATGGTGACTTCATTAAGTCGGACAAATACTAGCATTTTTTATACCTCATTATTAGTTCCACAACAGACACTGCTCATGCAAGGAACACAAAGATTAATCCTCTTTCTAAATCTTAGCGGAGTTCTAGCTGATGCAGTCATGACAGGGAAAAGCAGCAGCAAACTTCAAATGTATAAGGCTGATGCCCTAGTAAATAATTACACAGTAGCCGGCCTCCCATCCCAATGATAAAATGAGAATCGCTGGGTGAAAATACCACCAATTTCCAAGCAGGTACAAGTTGAGCATCCCAAATCTCAAAATCCAAAATCCCAAATTTTTTTAGTGCCAACATGATATTCAAAGAAAATGTACTTTGGAACATTTTGGATTTCAGATTTTTGGATTTAGGATACTCAACTGGTAAGTGTAATGCAAAATCTGAAAAACCTCTGGTCCCAAGCATTTTGAAAAAGGGATGTTCAACCTGTATGAGCTCTTTCAGAAAAGCAACTTCTCAACTTTCACAGATTAGGAAAGGTATAGACACCGTGACAGAGGGCTCACACCTTGCAGAGGATGACTCAGGTCTAGTTCAGCATAACACCTCTGTCTCTGAGAACTGTACACCCCAACTCCATGGACACATTCAGTGGACCAGAACAAAGAGCTGGCTCCAGATGCTCTCTCAAAAAATGGAACTAAAGATTCTTCATTCGGCTCATATGGCTGACCGACGCTGAGGTAATGTAAACTCAGAGGCCATGAGGCCATCGTGCCCTGACAAGTACACCCATCTGCAGACAGCAAAGCCTGATAGAGACTCATGAGGAAGCAGAGACAAGGGACCATGGGGCCCCACAGCACCAAGACTCACAAAGGAGTTGCTCTAGCTCTTGGTGCCAGGCCCTTGCAAGGCCTGGCTATACTGTTTGCCCTCTGGTTCCACAAAACACCTAAATAATGCCTCCTTTTTGTTCACATGAACTCAAGTGAATCTTTTCCTTTTAATCACAAGAGCCTAGACAAAAGCACACCACCCGCGGTAATCCTCTGCCAATCCCACCAAACAGGATGATCTACAGTGCTTGGCCATCCAGAGCTGTCTGGTTTCAGGCAAGGCATGTGTCCTCCTGTAGCCTTAGCGTCCTCATCCGGCAAACCAATCTAGTCTAGATTCACAAGTCACTGGGGACCAAATGAGAAACAAATGGAATGTGGGCTGTGGTCTGCTGTGAGCAGTTACTTCTATGGGTAATCACATATGGAGGCAGCCGCGGCAAAGGTCTGCCAGTGGTTGGTGTGCCTTCAAGAGGGAACAGAGCTGGGCTGCGCAGGCCACAGGTCACATGCATATGGTGTTTAAATATTCTCTTGCATCTGCAGCTAGTTTCCAGCCTGAAATAATCAGGAATAACTTAGTGGGACCTCCTTAAACTTCATTTGCTCTAGGATAGACATAAGCCAATGCGATGGCAATTAATTCAGTTTCCCACACTCACCGAGGGAGTGACTAGAAAATTCTGCCTGTACCTTGGATTTCCTAACACGTGGTCCCAAACGTTACTCATGAAAGTGAAAAGACCTCCTGAGTTTATCTTTCTTTGAGACTCACAAATTGTCAATGCCCCCTCCACTTCCTCAGCCCTCCGTGGTGACAACAAAGGAGACATCAGGACTGTGGCGCCCAGTGAGTGGAGCCCGGTGAAATGGCATGCACCAACAATCCCAGTTACTTGGGAGAATGAGGCAGGAGGAGCCCTGGAGTCCAGGAGTTTGAATCTAACCTGGACAATATAGTAAAACCTAATTTCTAAAAAATAAACAAAATAATAAATTAACAGAGTGGAATGTTCTATCCTCAAGAAAAAAAACTTGTCAAGTGATAATCCTATTTTTTTAAAGTTAAGAATTATATGAGGCTTGGCCACCACTTTTAAAAGTAAAAACTTTAAGCTGAGTGAAAATATGTAGAATGTGATCATCTGAAAGTCACACATAAAAAGCACAATATAACATGATTTTTCCAATCTTTTTGTGCATAATCTAGGGACACTGGTCTCCCTCTTCCTACCTCACAGAGAGATGGGTACATTACTTTTTTAGCAACTTGGAAGATGGTACAATTTGGCTGTGTCCCTACCCAAATATCATCTTGAATTGTAGTTCCCATAACCCCCACATGTCGTGGGAGGGACCCAGTGGGAGGTAACTGAATCATGGGGTGGTCATCCCCACACTGTTCTCGTGACAGCGAGTTCATTCTCACAAGATCTGATGGTATCATAAGGGGCTTTTCCCCCTTTGCTCAGCACTTCTCTCTCGGTATCATAAGGGGCTTTTCCCCCTTTGCTCAGCACTTCTCTCTCCTGCCGCCATGTGAAGAAGGACATGTTTGCTCCCCCTTCCAGTGCAATTGTAAGTTTCTTGGGGCCTTCCCAGCCATGCGGAACTGTGAGTCAATTAAATATCTTTTCTTTATAAATTACCTAGTCTCAGGTATTTCTTCATAACAGCGTGAGAACAGACTCCTATAGAAGGTCACGTGAAGGTCACCGGATGACACAAATATCTGGGCTCTCCAAATCCACATCTCTACAACTTCAGTGAAACTGTATCAAAAGCTAAGGGTTTTATAACCAGCCCCATTAACAACATATCACATGTCACTTATTCTAAAACCTGAAATCATGATGCATTTTACGGTCACAGTGTCTGAAAATTACCTGTGGCAGTGCTTTATCTTTCTTAGTGGTACAAAGAATGAAGCGTCTTACACTTTATGGCACTTTACATTCAATAAAACAGAAGCGATTTGGTGAGTGTCACCCTTCCCCACCGTGCACACCTCCTTCCCATCCCTGAAGGAACTTTTAAGCCCACTCGGGCCCCATTCTGAAAACCCCACTTGACTGGAAAGAAGCAGCAGCAGCAGTCGGCTACAGACTCACACTACTTAGCAGAAAAATGAAATTTAACTCACATGCAAAGATAAAAGGGGACAGCTCTCCGCAACTGAGACACAACATACGGGACCAGAATCCAAACAAGTCCTTTCTTCAAAGCTTCTAACCCGAACTTTGGAGAAAGTCTGGTATCTCAGAGAGGGCAAGAGGAACAGATCACCCTCAGAAAGACTCTGGTGGAGCACTACAGACCAGCCTGGGGGCTTAGTGAAAGGGAGGCCAGCTTCAAGTTTCAACAGTAATTTGTGCATAATGATCCTCTCAGGTTGACACAAGATAAATTAAATAAATTAATCAAAGTACAAATTGTGCTGGCAAGCTCTAGTGCCTAGCTTCTCCTAAGACCAACCTGCCAGCAATGCCAAGGCTGCGCCTCACAGCCACCAGCTCAGAGCTGGCAGGTGATGGGGCCGAGAGATGCAGTCATGCTCTGAGCCAGAGGCAGCAATCTGAGGGGCGGGCCGAGGGAGGGCTCTGCTGAGCCGCGACAGTGGAAGCCTTAAACACAAGATCCATTACAGCCTCAACACCCACAGCCATTTGTACATCATGGCTGGAAATAAATCCTCGGGAAAGCAGCCATTAATGCGCCTTGCCCAAAACCCAGCTGAAGATCCCTGTCTGCTGATTTGTGATACAGGGACATACGACTTCCCTCAACTTCCTCGCTTGGTATTACCAGTCTGAATGGCAGCTTAGGTGACTGTTGATATATTTAGTACCAATGCTCACTAATAAATTTCATTATCATACTCCTCAGAGCTAACACTGAGGGAGCCCTGAGCTAAGTTCTTTACCAGGGTTAGCTCACTGAGTCTTCACAGACATCCTAGAAGGTAGGAACCATGATTCTCTCCATTTAAAGATGTGGAAACTAAGACTCAGGGGAGGTCAAGCAACCTACCCAAGGACACAGTAAAGAAACTGCAGAGCTTGGACTTGATCTAGTTACCTAATGCTGCTGGGAAGTTGGTTTCAAGGTAGAAAAACAGAAACAAATTAACAAAAATTCAGTTTCCATTTTTTTTGTAGAAGAATCACTGATTAGCATAGGTATGACCCCCATGCGTAGAGATTAATGGGAGAATGAGGAAATGGGTGGCCCCCTGTTTTGGGGGAGGCAGTGACACACCATCTTGTCGAAATGCAGACACGTCACCACTGGCAGACAGACACAGTGGAAGAAGATGAGTGTTCACAAAAAGCTGTAGACACAAGCTTGACCTCTTTGGCTGCCAGCTCCATGTACACCTGTAAGATACAGATATCCCTGTCATAAGGCAAATTTGATGTAGGCCAACTCTCAAAGGCCTTTCTCATCAGTTGGACAAATGTGCAGAGAGACGGCAAAATTTACTACTCCCCCTCCCACCCGACTGTGACCACTGCACGGTCCCACATGATGGCTCCATTTCTATAGAAGCTTCCTTCAAGGGCCGCCCTTTCCAAGCTTCTACAGGAAACCCTTTACGGTCCCCACCAAGCACACTGTGTTGCTCAACTGGAAAATTCAGTTTTCAAACAAAATGTTTCAAACATTTCCCAGCTGGGCGCAGTGGCTCATGCCTGTAATCCCAGCACACTGGGAGGCTGGGACGGGCAGATCACTGAAGGTCAGGAGTTCAAGATCAGCCTGGCCAATATGGTGAGATCCCGCCTCTACTAAAAATACAAAAATTAGCCAGGCATGGTGGCAGGTGCCTGTAATCTCAGCTACTTGGGAGGCTGAGGCAGGAGAATCACTTGAACCCACAAAGCGGAGGTTGCAGTGAGTGGAGATCACACCACTGCACTCCAGCCTGGGTGACAGAGCAAGACTCCATCTCAAACAACAACAACAACAACAAATCCCTTTTTTCTTTCAGAGGACAGTGTCTACAAGTTTTAAGTTTCTTTTCATCTCCTGTCACCCTACAAGTAGCTCTTTCTTCATCAACTAATGGACTGATACAAGAGCCTTTCTGCATCTACAGCCATTTCTCCAACACTAAAGGACACTTTAGGATAGAAAGGGGGGCGGCAAAAGGATGTGGGTGAAACCTTGATGGATGGATGCTGAACCTTAACTTCAGACATAAGTTCTCCAAATGAAAAGTAAGTCAGAGCTAAAAGGGCCAACGGTGCCTTATTCACAGCACATGCCTGCAGGCCCTGTCCCTTGAGGGCCAAGGAGTGGCTATGGGAGGGTATGTCTCAGTCTCAGCCAGCATGGTTAGAACTGGAGGTGATGCTAAGGTATAAAAATAACCACACTTTACACCTTTTGACTTTGGTTGTAAGATCTTGCTTTTTATACTGACACTGCTAGTAGCTGGTAAGTGAAGTTGATGTGGCATACTTTCAAACTATATTGTTTTAGCTTGAATGGTCTATAATAAACTTTTATAGAGCATAACATGTTAATCACTATAAAATTTGTTGTATTTTAAGAAGGGTCTAAACATTTTATTAATAAAATGCCTTGTTTACAAATCACTCCTGCCATCAACCTCATTTTACAGATCAGGAAACAGGAGTGAGCTGAACAACGTCACCAGTTACTAAAGGGCAGCAGCAGGGCTGGCACCCAGGCCACCCACCGGGCCCCAGAGCCCAGGCTTTCACCCCATTCATCGCAGCTGCTCCTGGCTTGATGCAATGACAGGCATGTCCATGCTTCAGAAACTGTGAAGGGCTAAAATAAACATAAGGTATTTCTCTGACTTTCACTGTATCCTTTCTTTGCCCTTTTCATAACTGCCTCAAAATAATCAGGATAATTTACCTTCTGTTTGTATCCCCAAACTAGTTTTAAAAAAGAAAAAAACAAGCCTTAATATGCATGCTCCTTCAGCAAGCCGAGCTGTGAGTGGAATGCATAAGCCCAACACAGACATTGCAGCAGCCATGTGCTCTGGAGACACAGGAGTTAGTAGTCATCTCCCACCAACCTGCAGAAAAGTGGGCCTGGAATCCTACCTATGCTCCTACCTCCTCTCAAAAATACGCCCAATTAAAGCTATCATATTGTCTTCAAAGATAATTAAGCTACTCATCTAACTGAAAGTGTTTTGTTAGTTTGTTTTCTTCTGATGGACTTGCTAGATGTTGGAAATACAATGGGGAACATGCCCAACTGGCCCCAGGCCCTGTCCAGGTAATCAGTACCTACAGTCCAGCATGAATCAGGCCATGATGTGGGCAACACGGGAGCGGGCAGGTGGCCTGCAGAAGCACATAGGAGGGCTGCCTCACCCCAACTTGGGGAGTTAGAAAAGACTCTCAAGTAACAAATATAGAAAAATGAAAAAGTATTCGCCATGCATAAAGTGAGGTGGGCCCATCTGAACATGGCAACAGCTCAGGCAGTAGCAAGGGCCAGCAGGTTGAGTATGGTGGCTCAAGGTGACTAAGTACCAGAGCTGGGGTGCAATGGGAGCCAGACCTGGACCACATAACGAGCTACATTATGGAGACTGTCTTCATCCTGAGCACGAGAAGGAGTCATCAATACATTTTTTTTTTTTTTTTAAACAGACAGGGTCTCATTCTGTCACTCAGGCTGGAGTACAGTGGGGTGATCACAGCTCACTATAGCCTCAAACTCCTGGGCTCAAGTGATCCTCCCACCTCAGCCTCCTGAGTAGCTGGGACTTAGGATTATCACATACCACCACACTTGGCAGATATTTTCATTTTTTTGTAGAGACGGAGTCTCACTATGTTGCCGAGATTGGTCTTGAACTCCTGGGCTCAAGCTATCCTTAGCATCAGCTTCCCAAAGGGCTGGGATTACAGGTGTGAGCCACTGCACCCAGCCATCAATACATTTTCAGCAAGACAGTTACGTAATCAAACTTGCATTCTGAAAGGTCACTCTGACTATGTGGGAAAAGGACCAGATGTAAGACAGGGCTCAGTGAGGAAGCTGTTGCAAGTGTCCTAGTGACAAAAGATGGCCTGAAACAGGGTGGGAGTATTTGCTCATTCAGTTAGCAGCAAACTCATTAGTATCATCTGAGGAGATGGGAGATGCAGTCACTAGGAAGTGCCTTCCAGAGCACGCCAGGCTGCAGACAGTGACAATGTTCCCATCTGGGTTGCTTATGGGAGGCCTATAATAGGCCTTTTCCATTTTGCAACTCATAAGAATAAAGCAGTTCCCCCAGAAACCCCCTCAGCTAGCCAAGAGCTCTGAAACCTTCCTTGAAAGCAGTACGTACCCATCACTACGTGACTGAGAAGGACAACACTTCACTATCTGGAGGAAGTCTCAACAGGAAAAGCAACATTCCCCACAAGACATCTCACTAGGAAATTACCACGTTCTGGCTTTATGAGCTGAGGTCCCCAAGTACAACGTTTTGGCCGAGGATTCCAACCAACTGCCAGCAGGATAATGTGGTTATGCTGTCTGAGCTACTGTGAAAATGCATTAAAATCTCAATGTTTGAGCTCATCCAAGCAATTAAAATTAACACGGACTGTTCTGTTTTAGACTGGGAAAAACAAGGGATAGGGGAATGTTGGCCTCCATAATCCTCTGCTAGTTTCTTAAACACTTTAAAGGCATTTGGAGCTGGCATGGATGCTATCCAAACTGAGTGTGAAGGGAATCTAGTTAGGCAGGAACACCTCCACCGCTCAAGTGTTCAGGGGCAGGGGGAATGGCAGATGGGAGCCTGGGGTAATGAGCAAAAAACTTAGACCTACTGGGCACCTACTATGTGCCAGCCCGAGCTAGGTGCATTCACCACCCGGAAAAAGGAGTATCTTCAAACCCATTTGGCAGGTGAAGTGGAAGAAACTTGGAGAGGATCTAAAGCACACAGAAACTATCATGGAGACACCGGAAGGAAAACGCACTTCCGCCTTGTTGCTAAACAAAGCTCTTCAATGGTCACTTCATCATTTTCTCCTCACTAAGACATCAAGAATTCAGTCTATCTTGAAACTCAGGTGATTCCAATTCTCATCACAAACAACATGGATGATGTAGTAGTTTGAATCAATGCATTCAATTCTGGGAAACATGCAGAATACCAAGTGTGACTTTAAATGGCAAGGTAGATAAATCTTGCTATGATTGGATGACTGGATGAAGAGCAGGTGGGTGATCGGACACACCAAGAGAATACAGAGCATCCGGGAACCCAGCATACCCGGAGGAGGTGCTGAAGTCAGGGAATAAGGCCGGTCTCATGCACGGGCAAAATCGGCCTTCGGGGATCTAGAGGAGATGTAAACAGACCCAGTCCGAGATAAAAGGAATAACAAATATGTAGCTTCTTTGCTACAGAGTCACCAATACATATCTCAAAGAACATGTAGAAAGTTATCTCATGATAGAAACAGACCAACTGAGTCACGTCTGAGGTCGATGGAACCCTAAAGCTGATTGAGTGGTTGCCTTTCCTCCATGGGCCACAAATGTAAGATATATAGTGTTCTCTTCCAATCAATGAGAATCCCTTAAAGAGAGCACAGCCTTAGGCTAGAAAAGGATAAGGGAAACTGGTGCCATGCCAAAGGCAAATAAGCCAGAAAACGGTATATCGCTAACAATACATTTGCACTAAGTGTGGAGCAGAATTAAAATGCACCATACTATAAAAACTGGGTGATATTTAAGACACCAGGATAGCAAGACAAAATTTCCTTCATGTTCAGACACTGCTTTGGATAAGTTACATTTGCCAATTTAAGTCACCCGGCACTCTGTCATGGTCCTTTCTGACAGGAAGGACTGGTAAGCTGAGGCATTTAAGGCCACTGGTTAAGGAAAAAATAAAACTAGAAAAGACAAGCAGTAGGGCCAGAAATTCTTACTAAAACTAGGTGCTTTGGGCACTTTAGTCCTCTGTCGACCAGGAAGGTAGGGAATTACTGGCTTCGTTCACTGTGTGTAGAACAGCAACTGGAATATAGAGGTGCTCAATAAATGCATATAGACTGGATGGACAGGATATTTCCTAGCAAAAAGCACACTACCCAAAAACACAGTTTGGAAATGATTAAGAATTAGCACACTGGTAGCAAGTGCGACCATTTTCTCACACGTTAATGCATATACACGTTCAAAATCTACAGATTCTCATCCTTCAAAATTTAACACGTATAGCGGCATCAAGAGAGGGCTAAGACCAGAATGCACCGTGGCGGGAACTACTGATAAGTAATCAGTAATCAGTGAAGCCTACTGACTAAAAATAACAGTGGTCTACCATAACCCTCCAGTGCTGAAACACACAGACACACGCAAACAGGGAAAGGAGAAGAGCGGCGGGCATCTCAACTTATGAACCCAATGGGTGACCAAGTACGATTCCTGTTTAAAACAAACAAAAAGGTGCAGGGGTGGTGCCTGTCTTGACACAGTCATTCTTTTGTGCCCCCTCCCACCCCAGTAAGGGGCTCCTGGGCAGTACCTTTCTCTTTCATGAGACACCCCGCAAAGATGCCAGTGAGTTGCTCAGATCCCAACTTACCGTATCTAGAGCTTAACGCACACAAGGGTGCCTGCCACTCCCGAATCTGAGAGGCCTGCAGCTGCCTTCCTCATAAAGGTCAAGGCAATTCCTCTAAGCTATGTCCATGCCCGGGCTGGGCCCCATATGGCTGTCTGTGGATCACACCTGTCCCCAGTGATTCCCTTTGGTATGTCTCATGGACGGACCACTGGTCCTGCTGCACTGATGGGTGTCGCCCGGGGGAAAAGGCAGTACCTTAATGGGCCTCAATGGTAGAAGAAACCTCTCTGCTTTTCTGGACATTCTGCTGACATTCCCTTTTATAGCTGCCAAATACTGTTGGTCCCCGTTAGAGGGCTAGCAGCATGGCCTTGGACAAGTCACTCTCTATCAAATGAGATGTGATGCCCAACCTGGTCACCAAGGTCCCCTAACAGTCAAAGGAAGTACAGTCCCTGGAGTGTGCTTGGAAACATGGCAGAGGTGGTGCTCAATTACTGCATGCCTGCTCTGTACTCAGTGCCAGGCATGCCAAGACGACTCCAGTCCCCACCCTGGAGAACGGGGCCAGACCCATAGAGCAGGCAGCCGCAGTGTGGTCAGCGTGACTGCCCAGAGGCTGTGGGGCAAAGCCGGCTGAGCTAAGCTCTGCTTGGTCTTCATCGAAGAGACACTTTATCAGGGCTGGAGGAAAGAATGCATTCGCAAAAGTGCAAGGCATTCCAGGCGGAGGCATGGCGAGCAGCAGGGCACAGCTGACCTCTGCAGGCTCCTTGCAGCTGACCCAGGGTGCATCTCGCAGAGCAGCCACAGATGAGGCTGGAGGAGACTTCAGAAACAGCCTCCAATTCCCAGGGTTGAAACAAGTTTGGCAACGTGATAAAAAGACAACAAAGTTCTTGACTTGCCAGCAAGTACTAGATGAGCAAACCGTCCCCAGTGTGATGTGAGGGTCTTAGGGAGTTCCCTTCACCTGGAGAAGTCAGCAAGGAAAAGCAGAAGCTGAGCCAAGACCCTGGCCAGGGACTGGCCCCAGCAACAGGCCTCACCAAGCCCAAGAAACTGTGGTGAGCTGGTGCCTCCCAAAACAAGTAAGTGACTGCGGCAAAGGAAATGCAGAGAGCAAGTTCCAGAAGCCAAAGAAAAGTGCAGTGAGCAGGAGGCAAAACAGATGCCCCAGCTCCCCTCCCGCACACAGGCCAGAAGTCCTGAGCCAGCGCAGAGGATCCCTAAGATTAGCACAGAGCATAGTTTGGGAATCTTCTACTGCCAGAAAGAAAATGAAAAAAATAATAAAAATAAAAATAAAAGCACATAGCAGCCAAAGAACTGGAGAAGAAGCCTCCTGGCACTCACTCCCAGGCCTCCTGCCTCTCAGTGCTCCTGCACCTGACAACAGCCACAACCAAAATCTGAAAAAGTTAAGGTGATGCAAACAGAGGCAGATTCAGAAGGAAAAGAAACCACAATCTAAAAATGACCGAGGAAGAGACTCAGAGGCTCCAATTTCACTCCATTCAAATACTGTTTTATTGCACACTTAGAAATCGTTAATACAAATAATTACCATTTATTAAATGCCACTGTGTGTCCAACGCTGAACTAGAAACTTGATATACAGTTTCCAGTTAGATGCTTAGAACAGCCCTGTGAGATCAGCGCCATGCCCATTTCACAGTCCAGCAGGTGTCAGGTAACTGGCCCAAAGTCTCAGGGCTAATACAGGACAAGCCTTCATCTTGCAGGGAAAACAGACAAGTAAAGGCAATCATGGGGTAAACACAGGGAGCACCTAATTTGGATGCATCTCAAAGCCTTGCTTCCCAGAGATGTTTAACAACTAAGCTGAGACCTGAATGACTAAGAGTTTTCCACAGAAAGAAAGGAGGAGGAAGAACAAGTGCAAAGGCCCCAAGACAAAGAGATGATGGCCCCTTGGGGAACGACAATTACTTCTGTAGACTAGAAGTGGCAAAAAGAAGAAGAGCAGGGAAAGTGGGGAGAGAGGAAGCTGTGCACTAAAGTCTCCATAGACAAAATGCAGGATGTCTGGGCTCCATTTTCACGTATGGACTCCAGTCCTCGCCCCCCAACCAAAAAAGCAAGCAAGCATGCAACAAATTTAGCAAAATGTTCTTTTTGTTGTTGTTGTTGTTTTGAGACGGAGTCTTGCTCTGTCGCCCAGGCTGGAGCGCAGTGGTGTGATCTCGGCTCATTGCAAGCCCCGCCTCCCGGGTTCACGCCATTCTCCTGCCTCAGCCTCCCCAGTAGCTGGGACTATAGGCACCCGCCACTATGCTTGGCTAATTTTTTGTATTTTTTAGTAGAGACGGGGTTTCACCGTGTTAGCCAGCATGGTCTCCATCTCCTGACCTCGTGATCCGCCCACCTCGGCCCAAAATGTTCGTAATAGTTGAAGCTAGGTCATTATTCTCTCACTTTTGTGCATATTTGAAATTTTCCATAATAAAAAGTTTTCATAATAAAAAGGGTTTCTTCCCCCCGCAAAAAGGGGGGAGGAAACAAGCTAGAAGAACAAGTGGTGCTAGACCATGACGACAACAACGGGCCTGTGCTGGGGCTGCTAACGGTCAACAGGTCATGTACAGAGACTCCCCCGGGCCACACACTCGCATGCAGTATTCACATCATCCTCACTGCTACCCTAAGAGGCAGGACTACTCGTGGCATTTTACAGATGAGGAAACTGAGGCTAGGTAAGCCGGCCAAAGGACTCGGGCTCCCGTGTACTATTACTAGAAAGCCTCCAAGTGCCAGCGAGGGAGCTGGAATTCATCCTGAGAGAGAGGGAGGAAATCACCGAAGAGTGACAAAATCAGATCTCTACATTTTAAAGATCCCTCGAGAGCTGCAGAGTGGAAAATAGATTAGAAAGGGTAGACTACAGGCCAGAAACCAGTGGGGAGGCTGCGGCATTGCCCTGAGCAATAATGGAGGCCCGGGGAGAGGCAGTACCAGTCAAGATGGAGAGGGAAGAGCTGAGAGGCTGTGAAGAGGGGAAATCAATAGATCTGTCAGAGGGTGTGAGGGACAGGCAGAAGCGACGGATGACACCCAGGGATCTGGGTAGGTGGCTGGCTAAGGCATCCCACCACGAGAAGCAGGTTGGTGGTGGGGGTGAGGATTTCAGTTCTGGACTGCTTCAGTCTGAGAGGCCTGTGAGTCTCCAAGGGCAGCTGTCCAGCTGGGCCCTTTGATACATGGGTCTGGATGTCGAGGGAGGGAGCCAGCCTGGTGATGGAGTTAGATGTCATTGTGTGTGGCTGGCAAGTGAAGCCACAGAACAGATGAGATGGCCCAGAGAAGGGAGAGAAGCACTAATAACCCAGCGGCCTTCTCCCAAACCAAACCACCATGAAGAGAGAAGACAAGAAAACGGGAGGCTTCTGTACATGTAATGATATGCTTCCTTCCCACCACCAATGTGCAATTTTGCATAAGGACAAATGACAGAGACAATTTCCTTTCTATTCAACATTCCTGGAAGAGAAGAGGAAATGCCCTTCATAGGCTCTGGTTACAATGTACAGAAGGCTCTGGACAAACCACACAAACCTGATCATCCCAGAAAAGGCTGATGGAAGAGAGTCAAGCAGGGTATCAACATGAGTCCCCATGGCCAGTGGCTCCCAGACGGCAAGTTGACACACGTCCAGCAGCCTCTGCAGCCTCCCTGGGGCCGGCCAGTGAGGCTTCCAAAGACAGTTCCTGCTCTTTTACAGAAAAGAATGAGGGAGTCACAAACCTGATTCCAGGCAACAATAAAGTGACTATTTTCAGAAACCACAACTAATAAGTAGAACATAAAGACATGGAATTGGGCCAAAGCCTTGGGATAGAAACCGTTTAGAATGATAGGGGCATGGCTTGATTTTCAGTAATATTTACCTGTGGTGTGTCACAAGAGGCGAATGCTGTCTGCAGAACCTTTGCAAGGTAATTTTCCACTAAAGTCCCTGGGGGCTGCTGCTCCACTCTGGGATATTCTGAGATGCTCTGGAGCATACAAAAAGGCTGTGTGTACTTCAGAAACATTACTGGACTAGAGCTGAAGAGGTGGAAATACTCTCCATTCCTCGGATTACAATTTTGTTTCCACGACCACAGAAATGCAATGATGACTCCAATGAACCTCTCCAGGGCAGAGCTGGAAGGGACTGAAGAGATCACCCAGCCCAACCCTTCATCCTACCGATGAGGAAGGTGAAACCCAGTGGGGGAAAGCCACTGGCAGGAGGCCACATAGCAGGACAGTGGAAGGCCGAGACTGAACAGTGCTCTCTAGAATGCTCTGTCAGAGTTCTCCTGACTGCACACCGCCAGGCACAGCTTCACCGTTCATATTAAAATGAGCAAGAATAAAGGACAGTCGCCGCAAGCACGCCACACTGGGCACCGGCCTAGGTCCCTCAGATGTGCTCAATGCCTTAGTCCCCACGACAGCCCCGGAAGGTGGAAGCTACTGTTATCCACATTGAACAGAGGAGGAGGCTGAGGCAAAGACACGTTCTGCCACTCGTCCCAAATTAGAAAGCTGGGAAAAGGGGGATAAGGATTCAAACCCTATAAAGTCTGACTCCAGAGCCCTGCTGATAACAAGCACCCAGTTTACAACCTGGAGAGAATCCAAAAGTTCTAAATTAGCCTTTGTGTTCAGATATTGTCCTAAAGAAACAGGGCTTGCCGAGCATGGTGGCTCATGCCTGTAATCCCAGCACTTTGGGAGGCCAAGGCTGGAGGATGGCTTGAACCTAGGAGTTTGAAACCAGCCTGGGCGACATAGTGAGACCCCCATCTCTACAAAAAATTTAAAAATTAGCTGGGCGTGGGTGTGCATGCTTGTAGTCCCTGCTACTTGGGGGGCTGATGCAGGAAGACCTCTTGAGCCCATAAGGCTGAAGCTGCAGTGAACCATGACTGTGCCACTGCACTCCAGCCTGGGCAACACAGCAAGACCCTGTCTCAAAAAAAGGCTAAAAATCCCAGACTGGCCCACAAGACTTTTCCCACCAGGTAAGAGGACTATAAAACAGATCTGATTTCCTAGCTCTTACTGAGTACCAAGATGAGAAGAGTCCCCTTTGGTGTGCACAAATATCTGCCTGGGGCAGAATATGCCCTTCTCACCTCCTCTCCATGGTCCTCTCACCACTCCTGTGGTTTGTCCCCAGGATCCTCGCCCTGCCTTTGCCCCTCGACTCCCACACCCCCCACCAAACCCCCAGTCCCTTACCTCCACCCCCAGGTTCTGTGAGGAAAGAACTGCCCCCCACACACTAATTCATATTAATGTGTGAATTGCTGTCTCACTGGAAAAGGTGCTGATTATTCAACAGAATCTCCAATGTGAAGAACTTCAGGAGAATAGCAAAGTCAGGTGTGGGAGGCCTGGTGAGGGAGCAGAAGCCACTGGAAGATGGGCCACCACTGCCTGGAACCTGTCCTCAGCATCGTCTTAAGACAATAATAGCAGCCACTGGAGAGTACTGACTCTGTGCTAGCTTAAGTGCTTTACTTGTATCACCTCATTTTGTCCTCATAACACCTTTCTGAGGTGGGTACAATTATCATTCCCATCTTAGAGAATACAGCACTGAAGCACAGAGAGGTTAGCCTCACAGCTGTCAGGTAACACAGCATGTGAGCCAGAGTGGTCAGGCTCTGGAGCCTACGCTCTGAACCACCGAGCAACACTGCCACTTGATGAACGAGCACACACACGAGAAACAGGCGTCCCATGAATGAGCACACACACATACGTGTAACATGCACCCCATAAATGAGCACACACACGAGTAACGCACACCCCATGAACGAGCACACACACACATGAATAACAGGTGCCTCATAAATGAGCACACACACGAGTAACACACACCCCACAAATAAGTCCATACACGTACGAGTAACACTCACTCCATGAGCACACACACATGCGAGTAACACACACCCCATGAACGAGCACACCAAACACACAAGTAACCCGTATCCCATGAACCTGTGCCCCATGAACGAGCACATGCATACAAGTAACCCACACCTCATGAACGAACACACGCATGAGTAACCCGTGCCCCATGAATGAGCACACGTGTATACGAGTAACACGCGTCCATGAACAAGCACATATGCATACGAGTAATGCACGTCCATGAACGAGCACACATGCATACGAGTAACACACGTCCATGAACGAGCACACATGCATACGAGTAATGCACGCCCCATAAGTGAGTACACACATACACACACCCCATGAACAAGCACACACACACACACGCATAACACGCGCCCCATGGATGAGCACACAAGCATATGAGTAACACACACCCCATAAATGAGTACAGAGGCATATGAGTAACATGCAATCCATGAGTACACAGGCACAGAAGTAACGCACGCCTCATAAATGAGCACACACGTGTATGCGCAACACGCACCCCGTGAACGAGCACACAGGCACTTGCGTAACACACACCCCATAAATAAGTACACATGCATATGAGTAACACGCACTCCATGAGTACACATGCGTACAAGTAACACACGTTCCATAAATGAGTACACACATGTGTACTATCACGATGCCTGGTCATTATAACTACCATTTACTTAGCACTTACTATGTGTGAGTTACCCTAAGACATTTGATGTGCATTATCTCAATCTTCGCTTCAACCCTATGATCCAAATACTAGTATTATCCCCATTCTACAGATGAGGAAACTGATACTCAAAAAGATTTTTTTCCCTTGTATCAAGGGTTGTGAGCTCAAGCATAAGCAGAGCTGGATCAGAACTCAGGTAGTCTTGACTCCAGAACTTACATCTAAGTTTTTATATTTTTGTTATACCTTCCTTGACTTCTGAATCCTGCCATGTATCTTGCTGTCCAGGAGACTGGCTGTATTTCATTGTTTTCTCTGGTTGGCTGTTCTTTTCACAATGGCTCCCACGGTATCCAGGGTTTGCAGGTGGGGAGGGAGGAGGAGGGTGTAGGGTTCAAGGCTAACCAGGGCAGTCTATACTACAGCCAAACTCACTACGCTAGCAAGTTCATTTTGAGTGATGGGGTGCTACGAAGGTTAGATTTAGGTGAAAGAACACCTTTGCCAATAAAAGGACAATTCAGAAGGGTGCTCAATCCTAAAGTCATGATGATTAAATTGTGAGGGGCATTTAAGTGATTTTCTCTCCTATTATATTCTGAAGGAATCTGTATTCCCTGAACATGTAGCAGCTATATGGAGAGAAGAATGAGTCAGGGGTGGGCCTGGTGGGAAGGAAAACACAAGTAGAAATCGGTTATACGTAACTCACAAAGTAGGATAACCCTAAGAGGCTGGTGGAATTGACTCTCCTCTTCCCAGACAGTTTTCACACTGCTGCCAAAATGACAGCCGCCACAGAACACCTGACATCAGGTGCAGCAGCTCAAATTAGCCTGACTCAGGCAACTCCAAAAAACTTCCACCAAGTCCCATTAGAAGGGCACACCAGGTGACAGATGATGTGGATAAAACTGCTACAATCAGCCTTCAAAGAGCTTATCATTGGTTCACCCAATGACCTCACCTTGGCCTTCCAAATGACCCCCAGCCCTGGCCTCCATCATAAGGTCTCCAAATTGCCTCCCATCCAAGCACCACAACTGGCTTTCTCAGTAATGGCTGAAAATGGAAATGCCCTCACTGTACTTCATCAAAAATACAAGCAAGCAAACCACGAAAGGGGTTGTAAATTAAAAATTCAACAGAAAACGCTTCGATTCATTTATTCTTTCATTCTCTCAGTGAATCTTCACTGAATGATTACAGTGTACCAGGCGCCTTGCTAGTTGCTGGGGACTCCCAGCAAGGAACAAGATGGACATGGTGCCTCTCCCCTGAGCCTTATAGTTTACCCTTAATAGAGGACAGAGTCCCTAAAGGAAAGGCTCTGCGTTGCAATGTAAAACGATTCCAACCCTGTTAGTTCCATGATGCAAAAACAGAAAAGAGCACCTTCAGAGATAGATGTGAGAGGTGAACTTTGCAGTAACTTAGTCATTAAGCAACTGGATTCTAATAAGAACAGTTCAGGAGGGCAGGAGGGAGGAAATGTCTTCAGACTTTCCAATGGAATATTCTTGGAATAGAAAGTTGCTCTTTCTGTAATAAAAAAAAAATCAAACGTGAAAAAAAAAAAAGGTAGCAGCAGCACCTCGCTCTGGGCCCATTTCCCAAGCCCAGTAAAAAGTGACACTTCTGGGGTCTTTGCAGCTTCAGATGTTGCCAGGGAAAGGCGGACGTCTTAGTCTGCTTTTCCAGGCAAATATACAAGTAGCCTTCTGCCATAAACAAATGAAAAAAATCAAAGCCAGAAATAAAAGCCTGGTGACAGGATGCCAGAAACCTTCAAAAGAGGACCTTCAGAATAAGTTCAGGTTAACTCTCAGCATCTCTGAACATAATAAGCACTATCAAGTCTACATTGACTATTTTATAGCAAGGACAGCGTTGATGCCAATTATTTTTTGCCCTAGTCAAGAAAGCTTGTCATCCTTCTCACAACAATTATCTATAGGTGCATAATAGTGAAAAGCTAAATTCTTTCCCCAATTCAGTACAGGAAAAGTGCTGCTCACAGCAATTTAACATCATTCCATTAGATGGGATTCATTTTTAAACATGTTATTCTAACAATTATGCCAAGTACCATGTAATTAATATTCCAACTGACTTTACAAAAATTACAAAATCCCCTAAAGAAAATAATTAGTCATTAGGCATGAACGAGACTTTTCTATGGCCAACAGCACATAAAACAGAAAGTTCATCTCATAATGGATGGGTATCAAAGCCTTTCTCATATGTCCTTCAATTCTTAGCCAATAGTGCATAGAGCTGACATTGGCAAGTTACCCCAAACTTCACTTAACCCATTAACGCACTTACTGGTTTAAACTCTTTGAGGGTAAAATGATGAATGATGAAAGCTTTACCAATTAAAAAGCTCTTTTCATTTGTAGGAAAGGCAAGATAAACACATATAATTAATTGTTTGCTTCTTCCATGTTCCCAGCTGGAAATTAGAGTACTGGCTTATTTCTTGAGGCTACTTTTTGTGTTTATTAAAGAAATGTATATAGACATCCTCATCCTTGTTCTCCCTCTTTTCTTTCAGGGTTTTGTGTATTCTTATAATCTACTTTAAATCCCTTCTAGAAAAAGGTAAGGTATAAATAAGTAATAGTCACATAGGACATTATCTGCTATAACAGAAATAAAAAACATGTTTTCCTTGCCGCCCTCCTCTGAATAACTGGCAGTGGCTGCCTAGCGCCAGAACAGAGAGTTACAAGGATTCTAAGCCAACATACACACAGCCTCAGCAGGAAAGAATGCAATGGTTGATTAGTGATGTCTGCCCTAGAAAAAGCAATAGGTTAAGAATCCATGTACCATGTATTTGCCATCTCCACCCTTTGATAAATCACTAAAAATTAGAAAAATACATACAGTTTCATGAATAAAATATAATGTGAATTGTTTCCAGGATGCAAGTAAACGGGGAAAAAAATTGTTTTCTACAGTTGAAAACCTTAAGCAAAACTGGACTAAAACATCAAGTTTTAGAGGAAAGAACATTGAACCAGGTCAGGAAACCCAAATTCTGGTCTAGCTTGGGGAGCTATAAACAGGTCAGTTTACTGGGCCTCAGTTTGCGCACCTCTAAAATAAGGGGCTGAGTCTCTTAACTGTTCTCTTGTGCTGGTGAAAGAACATGGTTCTTTTACAGATGCTTAACCTCAGCAGGCCGGGGGCATGGCTACAACCTCGACACCTCCTCACATTGCTCATATGAGATTTATAATCTGGGATAAATGCATACGGATATTTTTAACCTGTAGCATTTCCAGCACAAGAAGTTCCACATACATAACATTTCTTTTCCTTAATACAACCTATTTTCCACTGTGGGGCAAGGGTGGGGGTTGAAGTAGGAACTTCTAATAGTAGAACAATTCAGTGATTAAACTACCTTCATTCAAAAGTTCAGTGTCATCACTTCAATGTAAGACTAGTCATTTCCACGAAGTGTCCCACTCACTCATGGTTTTGAGATCAGCCTGAATCTTCTCACCACTGAATAGCCCTTGTCACTGTAGCCTATTTTGAGAACTTTACCCATGGAATACATCAACATGGCTTCCTTTTCCAAACACCTATCTGTGTAGAGCTGGAACAGTCCCACGTCTGGCCTAAAAAACTGCAACAGACATCTGTGATTTCTCCAACTGCCCTGCATCCATCCCTTCCGGGAACTCCCTCTCTCCCAACTCCAAGGAACCCCATTTCCTGTGTTTCAGGTGCTCTGAGCTGAGGATCCCACCCACGGGTGCAGTGAATCATCTCAGAGGGCACCTATCAAGTTTGGGCCAGAATCCTTTTTCAGAGCCTGACATGGACACTGGGAGGTCACCAGGTATAAGAACTATGTATATCCACAGCTGCTGAGTCATGTTTTTTATCCCTTGGAGAGCATCAGGACAACAAAGGAAAGCAGTCCTAGAGAGGGCAGGAGAGTGATGTTCCTGCCACCCACCCAAGCACCCTGATCCTCCTGAGTTCAGCCACAGAGAAGTAACTCCCTGAACATTTTAGTTCCTTGAACCAATGAAGGCCCCATGCTTTTTTTTTTGGCTAAATCTAGACCCAGCTGGGTTTCTGTCACTGGCAGTCCAGAGTTTTGGGGAAAGGCTTTACAGGCTAAATGTATGCATTCAAGGTTCAAGTTCTTTCTTTAGTAACCCATGATAAATCACCTTCCTGAATCACAAAGCAGCTCCCACGGTTCCACTTCAAACCAAAGAATACTAAAACACCCTCAAAGAGAAATTCAAAGAAAAAATTCTGCACACCAGAAAAACTCTCAAGCTTTAGCTCTTACTCAAGACCTAAGGGGAAAAAAAACCACAGAAACGAGGAAAATGACAATGGATTACTGGAGGGGGCACAACCCTGCATACAGTTAAACAACCAACAATTCTAACAACAATTATTCAAAGAGGCAGCACAGTATAATAAAAGAGCTTCCAAAATCATTCCTAAAATATATATTCTAGTTCCCAATCAACAAAAAAAGCCCATACACACATGTACGCCACACCACATAGCACCCAAACAAAAGGAACTTGTTAGTAAACAAACGAACCGTTTCCAGATTCATGAGCCTAATTGTTTCTGTTATTTTTCAGCTACAGTTTAGTTTGCAACTTACAGCTGTCCTAGGGTCTCTGCCACAGGCCTGCCTGCTGAAAGAAACCATGAATATCAAACTCTACAGAGCATGTTAAGAACAATCTCCCTTAGGTGGCATCTAAGTAATTAGAGAGTCATCTAACAAACGGTATTCTAGTGATGCTCATCCATCTGTGACAGAGGAAAAGACAATACAAGAACATAATGTGCGCAGCTAAACATTTAGACACCTCCTGGGGGCCACAGATTCCTCTGCGAACCTGACAAAAGCTAGGAAGCCTTCCCTAGATATACATGCACATACCACAACATACTGCATATAATTTTAAGGGGTTCATAAGAGTTGCTCCCTATACCCAGTCTCCAGGTTAAATACACCTGAGTTAGAATTTTTAACATGTAATCACCTGAACATCATGAATCCCCAAAGACTTCAAAGGACTACAAAATAGGTTACAGAAAAATTCTACAACTTCCAACTCTATAACCCCATGCTGAATCAAGAACATAAAAAGCAATAAAAACATACTCTTGCTTTCTGCATGTATGGAATATAAGAAAACTTGGTTTTCCATATATTAGCTCCGTTTATTACATCTCCCTTACCTTGTTTGACCACTTATATGCTTGAAGGAGTTGACTATAGAGAGGAGTTTTGTCCTGCACAGGATCCAGGCTTAACAGCCCACTGTTATGAAGAGGATGGTTCTCAGATGGCTTGCCTACCAGATTGCTCAGACGTTCCAGCTCACTGAAAAGCAAAGAGACAAGGCAAATAAACCTAAGCCCATTTACACTCCAGGGTAAAGCCAGCCCCCAGGATCAAAGACTGCTCTTCAAACCATCCATCAGAAGTCCCTTAAGAAGAAATACTTTTTGAAAGGTTAAAAAATACTTGGGACACTTAAAAAAAAAAACCCTAAATGAGAGTTTATCTGACTTTAAAACAGAGCTTCTGGTGCCATTCCAAAGGAGGAAAAAAAAGGTAAGGGCAGTAGAATCAATAAGACCCCCATAATCAGAAATTAACAACTCAAATTCATCCCTGCAGTGGGGAGGAGACTTTCTGGAATTTTGAAATGTGGTATAACACTGCCTCTCACTAAGAGTTTTCAGACCCACGTGCAGATCATTACACTTGGCAGAACAGCAAGTACCTGATTAAATGATGATTATTTATCATTCACATAGGGATAGATTTGTACATGATGCTTCACAGATGGTAAAACTTAACAAAACAAAGAAGAGATAAAATAAACAAATGGAATGGGAAGACACCACTGAGGTGGCTGTGTCAAACAAACACACTTCAGTCTAGCAGGAAAACCCTAGAGAAGCTTGGGAAAGCGAGCCAACAAGAGCACATTCCAGGAGTACGTTCTGAGGGGCCAGTCCCAAACTGCCAACAAAAGACTCTCTAGGAACAGCTTCTTATGCCACATTCATTTTGGAATCATCAGCCACCTTCTTCTTGGCACTACTGTACAAAGATTTAAGAAGGCAAAAGGATAATGTCAGCACTCTTAAAGTTTCTATTTAAAATGGTGAAGGGTTATAATATCCTGAACATTACAAAGGGAAGTAACTCGGAGAGAAAATGGAAAGAAAACAGAAGATAGGGAAGAATAGCCAGTGCATCCCCTGAAGCAGAGAAAGTATTAACTGGTGCTCGGCGCGGTGCCAGAGAACAGCAAGCGGATGTGGGCGTTGAGGAGGGCTGTGTGATTTACGGCAACTACTTAGGGGGAAAACAAAAAGGCACCCATCATTTGGCCACCTCCTCCTCCTCCTCCTCCATCCTACCTCCTCTTTCCATCTGGTTACTAAGGAGACCAAGTTGAAAAAACAAAAATCCAACCAGTCCAGAAATCAAAGGATGACTAGCTCACCAAATGCTTTCCCCTACTCAGGTCAGTTCTGAGAAGTAAAAGGCAAAAATCCTGAAATTCTAACCTTCCTGGGAAGGACTGACTCTCTTATAAAACAGAAGGCAAGTTCAGGACCTAAGCAATCAAGAAGTGCCTACTATGTGCCAGGCCCTTTACAAACATCCTCTCATTTAATTCTTACAACACTTAAAAAGTGTAAGTGAAGAAGGTACTTTGTAAGGAAGAGGAGGAAAAGTGGAATCCTTAACCCTAAAAGACTACAAATTAAGAAGCAGGGGCGTTAAGCATAAGTAATTAAACTGGTTAAGAGATTAGAGAGTAGGTCTCTACTGCGGAAGGAACTCCCACAGGAGTGGGAGTGAGGAAACTGATCAGGTGGTTTGGGAGCGGTTAGGGGAAAAGGTGAAGACAGCTCAAGGCCTGGCCGGTCCGTCGTGGTTGCGGGTGGGTGGTGGTGGAACTGATGAAGTCCAAGTTCAGGGCCGGGGAATTGGGGCTAATCAGATCGGGTGCACTTGGGTTTGGAGCCGACTGACCAGGTCCTGTCTGTACTATTACTACATTCGGATCAGACGTGATGGGGCACAGAGGGCCTACAGGTGAGAAACCTGCCAAGCTCAGAGAAGTGGAAGTTCATGGGAAAAGCATGCCTCCTTGTTAGGAATGGAACCGCCACAGAAGAGGTCGAGGATGGCGGAAGACAAACAGGACCAGGAGGCCAGGAGAAGCAAGACGAGAAAGCGGGGATGGTGTTAAGATGTCCCTGAGGGACAGGCAGAGGCTTGGAGAACAAGAAGAGAAAGAACAGGGATCAAGGGAAACGGAGAACAGCCCCTGCCTGGGAAGACTCGAGCGACGTAGGGGCAGGGTCGGAGCGGGGCCGGTCCCCGACCCCGGCCCCTTCAGCCGGTACCTACTTGAGGTCCCGGTTGACCGAATGTAAGTTGTCCTGGAAGTGCGCAATAAAGGCCTTCTCCCGGCCCTCCAGCGTCTCCTTGTTCCGCATCCCATCCTTCAGGCAGTCGAACACCCTGCTCACGCTGGAGCGCAGCGCCTGGATGGCACTAATGGCCTGGGAAAAGGCCTCCAGGTTCACACTGACATTTATCACGTCCGCCATGTTGCCGCCGCCACAGCAGCTCTCCAAAGCCGGCTTCGCAAGCAAAAAAGCCGCGCTCGCTGATGACGTATCTCCGAAGACCTCTGGGAAATGCAGTTCGCGCGGGGCTACCCAGAAAGCACTTTCGAAAAAGGGTTTCCCCTTGAGCTAAACTAATGCATGGGCAGGAAAGTGATTTTTCTCAACTTGGGGAAGTCAGGTTGCACTCCCGGTTTGCTTAATGGTGACAAAGAAATACAGAAAGTTCCCGCATTTCCCCAAACTTGCACTCTGGGGAATCATAGGGAAAAGAATTGCTCAGAGCAATAGTGTAAAAAGGAAAGGAACATAGCCCATTCAATAAAATGAGTCCATATTCATAAATAAAGCGGGGAGAAGGAAAGTTTCTTCTTTCCAATAGAATGCCAGCTCATAAATGCAGAAAGAGTGATGGAATTAGAAAATTGCCATTTGACAGCCATTAGAATAATTGATTCAGATAGAAATCGATGGATGCTAAAACTAGTGGGTGAAAGTGTCAGAAAAATAACAGGCTTTTTAGGTAATCTCAAAGTATCGTCCCCCAAGATGCTTATTAATTAAGAAGAGGAAAATAATGATCCAGAGATTCCACTTCTGGGCATATACCCAAAAGAAGCGAAAGCAGGGACTCAATACCTGTACACATGTTCATAACAGCATTATTCACCAAATAGCCAAAAGGCAGGGGAAACCCAAGTGTCCATAAACTGATGAATAAACAAAGTGTGATACTGGCATACAATGAAAAATTCTTCAGGCTTAAGCAAGAAAATTCTGACATATGCTACCTGGAGGAAACTTGAAGACATTATGCTAAGTGAAATAAGCCAGTCACAAAAAAACAAAATTCTGTGTGACTCCACTTATATGAGGTGTTTAGGGTAGTCAAAATGTTAGAGACAGAAAGTAGAATGGTGGCTGGTTTACAGTGAACACACACCTCTGAAAATAACATACATAGCATAGAGGTTGTGGAAGAAAGAGAAGGTTTGGGATTTAAATAAAACCAACAAAATGTTGGCCAAATCTGGCTTTATGGAAAAATTCAATGTCTCTTTGTCCTGTTGGCTATAGACAGGTTTCTGAAAATTTATTATCTTTTTACTAAAGGGAACCTGCCCAAGTCCTCATGTTCTTTCCTTAGAGGAGCTGGGGTTGCATAGCTTGGAGCAGAGAAGAGGAGAGCAGGAGGCAGATCATGATTGTGACCTTCAACTCACCTTCATGTCAACCCAAGACAAGAGTCCTCCTTGGTTAACTAGTGGCAATAACAATAACCAGTTGTAGGAAGGCTGTAGAGAGGAAGATTTCAGCATAATATTGCAAAGGGCCATATTTAAGTCTGTACTTAAAGAGTACAGACTTGGAAAAGTTTTACAGCTGGATGGTGGTGATGGCCATACAACAATGTGATTGTACTTAATGCCACAGAACTGGACACTTAGAAACAGTGAAAATGGTTGATTTTATATTATGTATATTTTACCAAAAAATTTTAAACAATTCATTAATGTAAACATAAGGGGGGATGGATAGTGACTTAATAGTGACTTCACAGTGGAGAAACATGGCAGACACCAGCTTAACCAAAAGGCCAAGGTCAACATCACCAGTGACGGGACATGTTGTGCACCTCCTGATACAATGCACTGGAAAGAGCACAACATGACCTCCATGATATTCTTGCCAGCAGTGCATAACCTGAATCTAATCAGGACATCAATAGAACTCAAACTGAAAAACGTGACAAAATAACTGACTGACCTATACTTTTTCAAGAAATATCTGTGTCAGGCCATACACTGTGGCTCACACCTGTAATCCCAGCACTTTGGGAGGCCAAGGTGGGTGAATCATTTGAAGTCAGGAGTTCGAGACCAGCCTGGCCAACGTGGTGAAACCCCATCTCTACTAAAAAGACAAAAAATTAACTGGGCGTGGTGGTGGGCACCTGTAATCCCAGCTACTTGGGAGGCTGAGGCAGGAAAATTGCTTGAACCTGGGAGGTGGAGGTTGCAGTGAGCCAAGAGTGCATCATTGCACTCCAGCCTGGGCAACAAGAGCAAGACTCAGTCTCAAAAAAAAAAAAAAAAATTACATATATATATATATATATGTCTGTGTCACGAAAGACATGAAGGTTGAGAAATTCTTCCAGATTAAAGGAAACCAAAGAGCTGTGACAACTGAGGGCAATGTGTGAGCTAGGATCTTCTTTTGCTGATACAACTGGGACAATTGGTGAAATCCGAGTAAGATCTGTAGATGAGTTAACAGTATTTTATCAGTGATTGTATTGGTCTGTTCTTGAACTGCTATAAAGAAATACCTGAGACTAGGTAATTTGCAAAGAAAAGAGGTTTAACTGGCTTATGTTTCTGCAGGCTGTACAGGTACCATGACTGGAGAGGCCCCAGGAGGCTTTCAATTATGGGGGAAGGTGACAGGAAGCAGGCGCATCTTACATGGCTGAAGCGTGAAAGAGGAGGAGGTGCCACACACTTTTAAACAACCAGATCTCGTGAGAACTCACTCACTATCACGAGAACAGCAAGGGGGGAATCCACCTCCATGATCCATCCGCCTCCATGATCCAATCACTTCCCATCAGGCCCCTCCTCCAACACTGGGGATTACAATTTGACATGAGATGTGGGTGGGACATAGAGCCAAACCATATCATTGATAATTTCATGATTTTGTTCATTGTACTGTGGTTATGGAAGAGGATGTCTTTGTTTTGGGGGAAATACACCCTGAAGAGAAAAAAGATCATCATTATGTCTACATGAAAAAGAAAATAAAATGAATATGTTTATTTAGAGAGAGAAGGCGAAAGCAGATGTGGTAAAATGTCAACAGACACGGAATCTGGGTGAAGGGTATACAGGAATACTTTGTATTATTCTTGCAAGTATGAAATTATGTCAAAATAAGTTTGTTTTTGTTTTTTTTTTTTGAGACGGAGTCTCACTCTTTCGCCCAGGCCTGACTGCAGTGGAGCTATCTCAGCTCACTACAAGCTCTGCCTGCCGGGTTCACGCTATTCTCCTGCCTCAGCCTCCCGAGTAGCTGGGACTACAGGCGCCCGCCACCGCGCCCGGCTAATTTTTTGTATTTTTAGTAGAGACCGGGTTTCACCGTGTTAGCCAGGATGGTCTCGATCTCCTGACCTTGTGATCCGCCCACCTCGGCCTCCCAAAGTGCTGGGATTACAGGCGTGAGCCACCGCGCCCGGCCAATAAGTTGTTTTAAATGGCCATCCAGGCCAGGCGTGGTGGCTCATGCCTGTAATCCCAGCACTTTGGGAGGCCAAGGCGGGAGGATCACCTGAAGTCGGGAGTTTGAGACCAGCCTGACCAACGTGGAGAAACCCTGTCTTTACTAAAAATACAAAATTAGCCGAGCGTGGTGGCACATGCCTGTAATCCCAGCTACTAGGAAAGCTGAGGCAGGAGAATCGCTTGAACCCTGGAGGCGGAGGTTGCGGTGAGCCGAGATCACGTCATTCCACTCCAACCTGGGCAACAAGAGTGAAACTCCGTCTCCAAAAAAAATAAATAAGTAAGTAAATAAAAAGGCCATCCTTAAGAGGCAGGGAAAGTCTAAACCACCGTCTAGGTGGTAAGAAAAATCTTCAGTTCAGCCAGACTGTGCTGACAAGGATTTTGAAATTGGGTAGTTCACCTCAGTTCCACCTCCTTAATAATTCCCCACTTCCCGGCCAAGTGCGGTGGCTCACGCTTGTAATCCCAGCACTTTGGGAGGCCGAGGAGAGCAGATCACTCGAGGTCAGGAGTTCAAGACCAGCCTGGCCAACATGGTGAAACCCCGTCTCTACTAAAACATACAAAATTTAGCCGGATGTGCACAAAACTTAGTCTGGCGTGGTGGCACGTGCCTGTAATCCCAGCTACTCGGAAGGCTGAGGCAGGAGAATCGCTTGAACCCAGAAGGTGGAGGTTGCAGTGAGCCGAGATCGTGCCACTACACTCCAGTCTGGGCGACAGAGCCAGACTCTGTCTCAAAAAAATTCCCCACTTCCTCCCAGCCTGACCGCACCACCTCGGTTCAAATCCTCTAGTTCTGGAAACACAAAGATGAATTCTGCTAAGAAACTGGACCCCGACAAACCAACTATTAAACACTATTTAAATTAATTGTCTCTTGCAAGAAAGCTGTTTTGTCTTGAGATTATATAGTTGCTTCCATTTCCTGACATCTAGCTCACCTTTACAATGTGGTCATTTATAGCTTTTCTTAAGGGAAGGGATGAAGATAACAGGAAACTTCTAGCTGTGGAGCTTTAACAAGTTATTGAACCTCCCTGAATCTGTTTCCTTGTCTGTAAAACAGACTGGTAATAATACCTATCTTCATAAAATAGCTGTGAGGTTTAATAACACCTTGCAGGTGAAGCTTTTGAAATAATGCTTGGTAGATAATAAACGCTCAGAAGAGCATAGCTGTTAGGAGAAGGTGTCTGTGAATTATGCTTCTCATCCCACTGAGAATTCTTTACATAGACTCAAGCAAGGATTAGCAATGGGATTATTAGTTCAAATTATCTCTAATGACATGATCTTGTTGCTAATAGCTGGTCAATGAATTTTATCCCATAATTCACTATATTTGGTGGTTTTTTTGTTTTTGTTTTTGTTTTTGTTTTTGTTTTTGAGATGAGTCTCGCTCTGCTGCCCAGGCTGGA
Organism: Homo sapiens; assembly: GCF_000001405.40. Lineage (NCBI taxonomy): Eukaryota > Metazoa > Chordata > Mammalia > Primates > Hominidae > Homo > Homo sapiens. The sequence continues at coordinate 132,084,574 of NC_000009.12, forward strand.
GTACAGTGGTGCAATCTCAGCTCACTGCAACGTCCGCCTCCCAGGTTCAAGCAATTCTCCTGCTCAGCCTCCCAAGTAGCTGGGATTACAGGGGCACGCCACCATGCCCTGCTAGTTTTTGTATTTTTCGTAGAGATGGGATTTCACCATGTTGGCCAGGCTTGTCTCCAACTCCCAGCCTCAGGTGATCCGCCCGCCTCTGCCTCCCAAAGTGCTGGGATTACAGTCGTGAGCCACCGCCCCTGGCCTTGGTGGCCTTTTTGTCACCTTTGGAATGTAGGGGTAAGGCTTTTTCCTAAGGTTTTGGTAGAAAATATTTTTTAACTTTACAAAAGTAAAGGAAGTAAAAGTAAAGAGAAATATCTTTGTTCGTTGGCTTGTTTTGGTTTTGGCTTTGGTTTGTTCATTCTTTCTAGGAAAAGAGTAGAGGAGGCAAATTCTATTATCTTAGGTACTTACCTTTTGGGGGTTCCTGAAGGATTAGAAAATGTGACTCATGTGGTATATTTTGTCCCCAGGAAAAAAAAAAGTACCAATCTATTTCTACCCTCACCCACATATGCCCATAAACATGAGATTTTATGTACAATTTCAGGGGGTTCATAGCACCACCCTCCAAAGCCCAAACATGAACCTCTCGTTAAGGATCATACTCTAGCACAAACACCGTTGGGTGTCCAATGCCTGGGACTCAATAAGCACTCAGTATAAGTTGGTGGAAGCAATTAATTAATGCAATATGTTATATTTACTTTCTTGGATCCTCTCTCCAAATTATTCCATCTCTTTGTGTATGCAGATCCCATCTCTGCCTCATGCTTAGTCTCACACATACAATAAGATTTTTCTTTGTCTCACTGTCTGATTCAGTGGTTTAGACTCTGATTGGTGCAATAAAGTACAAATAGACTTTGCTCCCATAGCCATTAGTTTTCAGGATTTCTCTGTGGCTCCCCTCTTCTGGGAAACTCAGAAATTGATCAGTGGAAATACACATTTCCCCTGAACATAGTAAGGAGTCTTTTATCACATCAACAGAAAACTTTTCATTTTGGAAAGGAATGGACAGAGTTTCTCTAAGGGGTCGTAAATTCTTGGGAATGTTGGCACTTACACGCCTGCATCTGTGTGTGTTTGTGGGATATAAATTACTTTAAAGGAGTTCATTTCGAGCAATATCAGATTTTAATTATTATGATCTTATGTTTGGGTAAAAGGCAGCGCCCTGCTGTTAATATCTTCCAAAATGAACAAGCCATTAGCTTGGTGCTATTAGCTCAGGAGTATTAGAATGAGCAATCAGAATTAAAGTTGTCAGTATTTAATTAAAATATGCTGCAACTCCCATCATATTCGGAGAGCATGTGGTTTAAGCATTCAGACTGAGAAGGCACCCTCATTAATTAATAATTATTAAGGATTCGCTAGGTGCAGAGCAATGCATTCGACGGTTGGAATGTCACCAGAGAGATTTAAAATCAAATCTGCCTCAGATAAGCCACAACGTAACTAAGCCACATGTCGTAATCAGTGTGGCATAACGCTTAAGACCTTGCAGGTTGTTCTGATGATTAAATTAAGGAAGCATCCAGTTCTGGGGACATAGTAGGCATTCGTTTTAGTCCTCAACAAATATATATTGAATGTGCCCAACATTTTGCTAAACCTCTGGGGAGTCAATGGTACAGCCCAATAAATATCACCGAAAATATCTGAAGTGGGTTTTGTGTTCTTCCATGTTTACCTGGTTAAGGCTCAGAACAACCAACATTTTTAAATTGCTTAGAATCAGGTTTATTATAACTAATCTAAAACAAGTATGGTAAAGAATCCTCTTTTAGTCCTCTCTGAACTTTTCCTCTTATTTCCTTCCTATGATGATTTTGACACGATGCTGATGCTGACGATGGTTACCATGAGGACAATGACCCACATGATCCCAGGGACAAAGCGGACCCTGGAAGTCAGAAAATCTTCATAGACTAGGGCCTTGGCCCCACTGGTATTTCTCAGATGCATAAGTTAACCCTTCCAGGCCTCAGTTCTTGCAGCTAGAGAGTAAGAAAGTGAATCCCCTCTGGGGCTAACAATCCAAGGGTAGGTGATTCAGAGGAACTTGTTCAAGAAGGAGGACAGGGAGGGAATCCTTAACCGTCAACCCTGATCATAACCACCATGCCAGGATTCCTGCATTCCTGATTCATTCATTTATTAGGGAGTATCCACCCAATAAAAGGATTAAATAAAGATCCAGGTAGAACGTGTTCCTGTTCTCATGGCACCTGCCCACCAGCTTGGTAGGGTAGGCAGACACAATCAGAACATGAAACACAGTGAGGTTCAAGTGCAAGGTAAGAGACATACATGGAGAATTGTGGAGTCCCTAGACAGTATGGTCAGAGCATCCTCCTGGAGAGGGGAGGCTTGAGCCATACTGCCAAGGTACATAGGGGCTGACCAGGTGAAGTGGGGGTAGAGGTAAGGGAGGACCATCTGGCCAGGGCAAAGTCTCCAGAGTGAGAAGCCGCATAGAGTGTGGAGGGGCGGAGCTTGCAGCAAGGAGCCAGAAAGGCCTTGGATGGCATTTAATAAATAAATGGAATAACTGTTGTGTATCCTGAGCTTCCCTCTGTAGGTAGGGGCGGGGCAAGTGCAATAGATGGTTAAAGCAGGGGGTGTCATGTGATCAGATCTCTTTTTGCAAGTCCACTGTCTAGCTATGGAGAAAGTGGGCAGATGTGCGCGAGCTCAGAAGCAGAGAGATCAGAAAGGCAGGGGAGACCTCCACCTGCAGAACAGCCAATGAAGGACACACAGGAGCCATACTCTTCCCATCACAGGAAGCCAGAAGGTATTTTAAATATTTTAGTAAATTATTGATTGCCCATTTGGATGCTCACTTAATCAACCACTGGGTATGTTGTTAGGGGCCTCCACTCTCTGCCATGTTCATACGTAATTAAGTACAAGACGTCTCAGGAACGGACCCTTTTACCAACACATTAGGCCAAATCAAAGTGAAACAAAACACGCATTGTTTGTGCAGCCTCAACCGCAGCCCATTTGAGGGAGGAATTGCCTTCTAATTCTATTACTGAGTTATGTGGATGGTGCATTTTAATCAAGAGGGTCAGTGGTCTGCCAGCATCAGAAGCTACTAAACCTGGAGTCTTCACCCAGCACCTGAGTGCAAAGGGCAGATGCCTGGCTTCCAAGGCCCCAGGGAAGGCCAGGGCACATGGGGCGGTAGCAGCTCTAGGATTTTTGTCTCAGGAGCTCCTATTCAGCTCTCCCTACCCCTCCCAACACCCTCTCTAGCTTTCCCTCCCCCAACTCTCCATAAGATAACAAAGGGAGCTAGTGAGATTCCAGACAAAGCAACAGTCCATTCGCCTTGAAACAAGAGCCTTATTTTTCTTAATTTTCCTGATTACAAAATACATGCTTACTTTGCAATCTGGGAAACCATAGAAAAAGCCTACATAAGAAAATTAAGACCGGATGAGGTGACTCACACCTGTAATCCCAGCATTTTGGGAGGCGAAGGTGGGAGATCAATTGAGCTGAGGAGTTTGAGACCAGCCTGGGCAACATGGTGAAACCCTGTCTGTAGAAAAAATACAAAAATTAGCCAGATGCGGTGGTGCCCGCCTATAGTTCCAGCTACTCAGGGGGCTGAGGTGGGAGGTTCACTTGAGCCAGGGAGGCAGAGGTTGCAGTGAGCCAAGATGGCACCACTGCATTCCAGCCTGGACAACAGAGTGAAATTCTGTCTCAAAAAAAAAAAAATGGCCAGGCATGGTGGCTCATGCCTATAATCCCAGCACCTTGGGAGGCCAAGGTGGGTGGATCACTTGAAGTCAGGAGTTCAAGACAAGCCTGGCCAACATGGTGAAACTCCATCTCTACTAAAAATACAAAAATTACCTGGGTGTGGTGGTGTGAGCCTGTAATCCCAGCTACTTGCGAGGCTGAGGCAGGAGAAATCGCTTGAGCCCAGAAGACAGAGGTTGCTGTGAGCTGAGATCAAGCCACTGCACTCCAGCCTGGGTGACAGAAAGAGACTTTGTCTCAAAAAAACAAAGAAAAAAAATTAAGTTATGCATAATCCTACCACTCCACATTTTGATTATTTCCAAATATACATTCTTTTACAAAATTAGAATCATACTATTTGGAGACCTCCATCTTTCATAATATAGATTAAATACTCTATCATTAAAAAATCATCTTCCAAAACATCATTTTAATGACCATCAAAGATTCTATTCAATGGCTTTGCAGAATTTATTGAATTCCCTGTTGCTGATGGCTTAGGTTTCCTACCTTAAACGATACAGCCAGCTGTGGACATGCTAATTTGTAAGTCTGTGTGTGTGTAAAGTAGACACATTCCCTGCAATTGATGCGTGGTCACCGTTTGGCTAGAAAACACCTTCCCTGTTTGGGAGTAATCATGCAGAGGACAGCCAGGAGCCTGGTTTTCACCTCACTGGTATCACCAGTCCATTATTGGGAGGCAGTGGGTGGTAGAGGTGGAGAGAGAGATGATGATATGGTTTGGTTGTGTCCCCACCCAAATCTCATCTTTACTTGTAGCTCCCATAATTCCCACATGTTGTGAGAGGGACCTGGTGGGAGATAATTGAATCATGGGGGTGGTTTCACCCATACTGTTCTCATGGTAGTGAATAAGTCTCATGAGATCTGATGGTTTTGTAAGAGGTTTCCCCTTTCGCTTGGGTCTCATTCTCTCATTCTCTTTGCCTGCCACCATGTAAGAAGTGCCTTTCACCTTCTGCCATGATTGTGAAGCCTCCCTAGACACGTGGAACTGTGAGTCCATTAAACCTATTTTTCTTTTCTTTTTTTCCTTTTTCTTTTTTTTTTTTTTTTTGAGATGGAGTCTCACTCTGTCACCTGGCTGGGGTGCAGTGGCACGATCTCGGCTCACTGCAACCTCCGCCTCCCAGGTTCAAGCAATTCTCCTGCCTCAGCCTCCTGAGTAGCTGGGACTACAGGCATGCGTCACCATGCCCGGCTAATTTTTGTCCTTTTAGTAGAGACTGGGTTTCACCATGTTGGCCAGGATGGTCTCGATCTCTTGACCTCACAATCCGCCCGCCTCGGCCTCCAAAAGTGCTGGGATTACAGGTGTGAGACACTGTGCCCAGCCAAACCTCTTTTTCTTTATAAATTACCCAGTCTTGGGTATGTCTTTATCAGCAATGTGAAAACAGACTAATATAGATGGAGAGGCTTTAGGAGACAGACAGACAGACGTGTGCTCAAGTCCCAGCTCTGCCACTTTTGGAGTGATCCCATTATAGAAGTGTGGCCACACTAACAAATGCATAAAAAGCTACAGGTGGTTTGAAGGGAGAAGAGTTTATGGTCTTGCGTGATGAGTGGTCTGGAGATACATAATGAGAGGCTGATGCCAGGGTTCATCAGCAAGTCTCCTCTTTCATCAGTCTGCCCCACCACCCTTAACCTCATCCTCATTTCTGTCACTTCATGGTTGCAGGATGCATCATAGGCAGGAAGAAGTAGGAAGCAGAAGAGGTGGCACCGGCAGACATGCTCATGCCTCGCTGGCCAGAACAATGTCACATGGCCACCTCTATCTGCAGAAAAGGCCAGGAAGTCAAGTTTTTCTTTCTTTTCCAGCCCCCATTAGCACGGCTGGCAAGAAGAAATAGAATGTGAGCTACATGTTTTCTAATAGTCATGTTTAAAAAGGCAAAGAGCCTCATACCCACTAGGCCAGCTATGATCAAAAACAAAAACAGCTGGGCGCAGTGGCTCACGCCTGTAATCCCAGCACTTTGGGAGGCTGGGGCGGGTGGATCATCTGAGGTCAGGAGCTTGAGACTAGCCTGGCCAATATGGTGAAACCCCATCTCTACTAAAAAAAAAAAAAAAATTAGCCAGGCATGGTGGAAAATTAGCTATGTGTGGTGGCACATGCCTATAGTCCCAGCTACTCGGGAGGCTGAGGCAGGAAAATCGCTTGAACCCAGGAGGCAGAGGTTGCAGTGAGCCAAGATCGCGCTACTGCACTCCAGCCAGGGTGAGAGAGTGAGACGCCATCTCAAAAAACAAAAACAAACAGAAAGTAACCAGTGTTGGCAAGGATGTGGAGAAGTTGGAACTGTGTGCATTATTGGTGGGAATGTAAAATGGTACAGCCACTGTGGAAAACAGTATGGCAGTTCTTCAAAAACTTAAAAATAGAATTACCATATGATCTAGCAATTCCACTTCTGCATATATACCCAAAGAATTGAAAGCAGGGTCTAAAAGAGATATTTGTATGCCTATGTTCACAGCAGCGTCATTCACGGAAGCCAAAAGGTCTAAGCCACCCAAGTGCCCAGCAAATGAGTAAACAAAGTGTGGTCTAGCCACACAATGAAATATTACTCAATCTTGAGGATAAAGGAAATCTGACACATGCTACAACGTGGATGGACCTTGAAGACATTATGCTAAGTGACTAAGCCAGGCACTAAAGGACAAATACCGTATGATTCCACTTATGTGAGGTACCTAAAGAAGCCAAATTCATTGGCCAGGCAAGGTGGCTCACGCCTGTAATCCCAACAGTTTTGGAGGCCCAGGCAGGTGGATGATGAGGTCAGGAGTTCAAGACAAGCCTGGCCAAGATGGTGAAACCCCATCTCTACTAAAAAAAAAATACAAAAATCAGCCAGGCATGGTGGCAGGCACCTGTAGTCCCAGCTACTTGGGAGGCTGAGGCAGGAGAATCGCTTGAACCCAGGGGATGGAGGTTGCAGTGAGCTGAGATCGCGCCACTGCACTCCAGCCTGGGCAACAGAGTGAGAAAAAAGAAGTCAAATTCATAGAGACAGAAAGTACAGGATGGTGGCCACCAGGGGCTGGTCTTCAGTGAAATTCATACATCTGAAAAGAACACAGCATAGAGGTTGTGGAAGGAAGAGAAGGTTTGGAATTTAAACAAAACCAACAAAATATTGGCCAAATCTGTCTTTACAGAGGTTTAAGAGGTCCCTGGAGTAGTCAAATTCATAGAGATAGAAAGCAGAATGATGGTTGCCAGGGGCTAAGAGTAGAGAGGAATAGGGAGTTGTTGTTTTATAGGGCAGAGCTTTGGTTTGACAAGATGAAAAGAGTTCTGGAGATGAGTGGTGGTGATGGCTGGACAACGATGTAAATATGCTTAATGCCACTGAGCTGTACACACAAAATGGGTCAAGATGGCCAATTTTATGTTATATGTATTTTGCCACAATTTTTTAAGAAAGGTAAAGAGCCACAGTGATGTGGTTTGGCTGTGTCCCCACCCAAATCTCATCTTGAATTATGGCTTCCATAATTCCCAAGTGTCGTGGGAGGGACGAGGTGGGAGGTAATTGAATCACGGGGGTGGGGCTCTCCTGTGCTGTTCTTGTGATAGTGAATAAGTCTCATGAGATCTGATGGTTTTATAAATGGGAGCTCCCCTGCACAAGCTCTCTTGCCTGCTGCCACGTAAGATGTGACTTTGGTCTTCACCTTCCGCCATGATTGTGAGGCCTCCCCAGCCATGTGGAACTGTGAGTCTATTAAACCTCTTTCCTTTATAAATTACCCAGTCTTGGGTATATCTTTATTAGTAGCATGAGAACGGACTAATACATACAAGAATTAATTTTAGTAATATATTTTAACCCAATATATCCAAAAATTATTATTTTAATCTGCAATCAATATAAAAATTACTAATGAGATAGTTTACATTCTTTTTTTACACTAAGTCTTTGAATTCTTTGTGGATCTTACAGCACATCTCAAATTGGACATTAGCTACCCTTTAACTATTGTGCCACATGCAGCTAGTGTCTAGACTATTGGACAGCTCAGCCCTATAATAAAGATGGGCATGGGAGAACCAGGAGTGGGAAATAGAGATTAGGTCAGCCAGCCTGACCCGTCTTTGAACCTTGGTTGGGACACTCAAACTCCTTGAGCTGGGAGATGGTGGATGGGTGGGTGATAATAAACAACTTCTATGGTTGACGCAAAGATTTTATTGGAAAATATGTGGAAAGCCCCCAGTAAACTCTCCGGCACACAATAGCTGCTTTTGTAAATAGTGGCAATTGCTATTCATGTTTCCATGGAGAATAGAGATAATAATAAAAAGGACATTATATAAACTTTTTTTAAAGTTTGTAAGATAATAAGAGAAACTTGAATATGTTTTGTATGTGTGTGGGTTTTTTTGTTTTTGAGACAGGGTCTCAGGCTGCCACCCAGGCTGGAGTGCAGTGGCTTGATCACTGCTCACTGCAAACTCTGTCTCCCAGGCTCAAGTGATCCTCCCACCTCAGCCTCCCGAGTAGCTGGGATTACAGGCGTGTGCCACCACACCAGGATAATTTTTGTATGTTTTGTAGAGACAGAGTTTTGCCCTGTTACCCAGGCTGGTCTCAAACTTCTGAGCTCAAGCAATCTACCTGCCTCGGCCTCTCATGCCTGGGATTACCATGCCCAGACATGTGTGTGTTTTTAAAGAGTCCTCTTTCAGAAGTACATACTGAGATATTGATGGGTAAGATTATATGTTATATGGAGGAGCAGAGGTAGATGGGGGAAGGTGAAATCAGATTGGCTATCAGCTGAGAATTATTGAGACTGGGATTCATTCTACTGTTCACTCAACTTATGTTTGATAGTTTGATAGTTTCCATAATGAAAAGTTTAGAGATTTTTTATTTTTTATTTTTGTTTTTAGGTACGTTATGTGGGTACTCAACATGCCATGAGTTTTTCAGATCCTAAGTTGTTATTTTGGGAATTTCTTGGTTCTTTATTTTGTTGTTAGAAATGAGGTCTCCCTCTGTTGCCCACAAGTGCAGTGGCACGATCATAGCTCACTACAACCTCAACCTCCTGGGCTCAAGCGATCCTCCCAACTAGCTGGGAGACAGGTGTGTGCCACCGTGCCCAGCTCAGGAATTTGTTGGTTATGGTGACTGCCTGGTAGAAATAAACAGGCCGTGCGGACTCTTGGGCACCATAAGCAACCTGTCCACTGTCCACTGTCCAATGTGATGGTCACTGCTGGAAAGGATGAAGATAACATGATACTACTAGCAATCACTTTACTTCCTCTGCATAGTATCAACAGGAAAATGACTTCTGTTTTTATCTTTGCCCAAAACATTGATGTCTTGTGTTATTTGCACTGGGAGGAGATAGTTGAAGTCTGTCAAAATGGTAGTTCATTCTATTCAACTGCTTGATTTGTGTGTGTGTGTGTGTGTGTGTGTGTGTGTTTTCATAACAGATGTAAATATGTAAAAGCTACCTATGGTAATCACTTTTATCAATTGTTTAATTACTTAAAGGTGAAGACTAATTTTTTAGAAAAATAACAGCTACATTGAGCTATAATTTACATACTATAAAATTTACCCTTTTAAAGTGTGCATACTTTATATATCCACAAAGTTGAGCAGCCATCACCATTATCCAATTCCAGAACACTTTCTGTCCCTCTCAGTCTCTGGAAACCACTTTTGGTCTCTATGGATTTGCCCATTCTGCAAAATTCATGTAAATGGAATCATACGATATGTGGTCTTCTGTGTCTGGCTTCTTTTACTTAAAATAATGGGTTTTTAAAAGTTTCATCCACGTTGTAACATGTATCAGAATTTTATTCCTTTTTATGGACAAAAAAAGTGGATAGACCACATTTTGTTTTTCCATTCAACAGTTGATGGGCATTTGGGTCATTTCCAATTTTTTGACTATTATGAATAATGCTGCTGTGAACATTTGTGTATAAGTTATTGTGTGGACATATGTTTCCAATTCTCTTGGATATTTATCTAGGAGTGGAATTGTTGGGTCATATGGTAACTCTGCTTACATTTCTGAGAAACTGCCAAACTGTTTTTCACAGTGGCTGCACCATTTTTTATTTCCACCAGCAATATATGAGGGTTCTTATTTCTCCACATCCTCATAGACACTTTTTATTATCTGCCTTTTTGATTATAGCCATTCTTGTGTGTGTGTACTGGAATCTCATTGTGGTTTTGATTTGCGTTTCTCTAATGACTAACATATTAGTCAGGGTTCTCTAGAGGGACAGAATTAATAGGATAGATGTATATATGAAAGGGAGTTTATTAAGGAGAATTGACTCACACCATCACAAGGTGAAGTCCCACGATAGTCCATCTGCAAGCTGAGGAGCAAGAATGCCAGTAGTGGCTCAGTCTGAATCCCTAAACCTTAAAAGTAGGGAAGCCAAAAATGTGACCTTCATTCTGTGGCTGAAGACTGGAGAGCCCCTGGCAAACCACGGTGTAAGTCCAAGAGCCCAAAAGGTGAAGAACTTTGAGTCTGATATTGGAGGGCAGGAAGCACCCAGCACGGGAGAAAGATGAAGGCCAGAAGACTCAGCAAGTCTGCTCATTCCACCTTCTTCTGCCTGCTTTCCTTTTTAAAAATTTTTTATTTCCATAGGGTTTTGGGGAACAGGTGGTATTTGGTTATATGAGTAAGTTCTTTAGTGGTGATTTGTGAGATTTTTGTGCACCCATCACCCGAGCAGTATATGCTGAACCCAATTTGTAGTTTTTTATCCCTCATCCCCCTCCCATCCTTTTCCCCAAGTCCCCAAAGTCCATTGTATCATTCGTATGCATTTGGATCCTCATAGCTTAGCTCCCACTTTGGAGTGAGAACATACGATGTTTGGTTATCCATTCCTGAGTTACTTCACTTAGAATAATAGTCTCCAGTTCCATCCAGGTTGCTGTGAATGCCATTAAGTCATTCCTTTTTATGGCTGAGTAGTATTCCATCATATATATATATATATATATATATATATATATATATATATATATATATATGTATATATGTGTACATATATATACATACATATATGTGTACATATATATGTATATATGTATATATGTGTGTGTGTATATGTATGTATGTGTATATATATATATAACATTTTCTTTATCCACTCATTGATTGATGGGCATTTGGGCTGGTTCCATATCCTGGCAATTGCAAATTGTGCTGCTATAAACATGCATGTGCAAGTATCTTTTTTATATAATGACTTCTTTTCCTCTGGGTAGATACCCAGTAGTGGGATTGCTGGGATTGCTTGGTCAAATGGTAGTTCTACTTTCAGTTCTTTAAGGAATCTCCACACTGTTTTCCACAGTGGTTGTACTAGTTTACATTCCCATCAGCAGTGTAGAAGTGTTCCCTTTTCACTGCATCCATGCCAACATCTATTTATTTTTATTTTTTTATTATGGCCATTCTTGCAGGAGTAAGGTGGTATCACATTGTGGTTTTGATTTGCATTTCCCTGATCATTAGTGATGTTGAGCAGTTTTTCATATGTTTGTTGGCCATTTGCATATCTTCTTTTGAGAATTGTCTATTCATGTCCTGAGCCCACTTTTTGATGGGACTGTTTGTTTTTTTCCTGCTAATTTGTTTGAGCTCCTTGTAGATTCCGGATATTAGTCCTTTGTTGAAGGTATAGATTGTGAAGATTTTCTCCCACTCTGTGGGTTGTTTGTTTGCTCTGCTGACTGTGCAGGAGCTCTTTAGTTTAATTAAGTCCCACCTATTTATCTTTGTTCTTGTTGCATTTGCTTTTGAGTTCTTGGTCATGAATTCTTTGCCTAAGCCAATGTCTAGAAGGGTTTTTCCAATGTTATCTTCCAGAATTTTTATAGTTTCAGGTCTTAGATTTAAGTCCTTGATCCATCTTGAGTTGATTTTTGTATAGGGTGAGAGATGAGGATCCAGTTTCATTCTCCCCCATGTGGCTTGCCAATTATCCCAGCACCATTTGTTGGATAGGATGTCTTTCCTCACTTTATGTTTTTGTTTGCTTTGTTGAAGATGAGTTGGCTGTACATTTTTGGGTTTATTTCTGGGTTCTCTATTCTGTTCTGCCTGCTTTTTCTAGCCACACTGGCAGCCAACTGGATGGTGCCTACCCAGTCTGAGGGTGGGTCTGCCTCTCCCATTCCACTGACTCAAGTGTTAATCTCCTCTGGCAACACCCAGAAACAATACTTTGCATCCTTCAATTCAATCAAGTCGACACTTAATATTAACCACCACAACTAATGATGCCAAGTATCTTTTCTTTTGCTTATTGGCCATTTGTGTATCTTCTTTGGAGAAATGTCTTTTCACATCCTTTGTCTATTTTTAATTGGGTTATTCATCGTTTTCATTGTTGAGTTGTAAGAGGACTTTTAAAAAATGAGTTCTAAATGACACCTGACAGAGTGGACATAATTGAGCAGATAGTAAAAGTTCTTTGAGATATTAATCATACTGCACCTCAACCCCTCTGCTCACCAGCACTGCCAATTTACTAGGTATGAAAGGCTTTCATTATGAAAAAAAAAGATATTTCGACCTAAATATTTCCAAAACCTTTCCATTAAAGAGAACAGAAGGAGGAGGAGGATGTCATTCCTTTTTATACCTTGTGTTTCCTGAGCACCTGCTGGCATCTGGGTGAGTGATTGCTCTCTGGGAATTGTTCCTAATGAGATATGAATACAAGTTTCTAAAACTCAAGCTGCTGTGAGATCAAGGCCACCTCAATAGTGACCACTGGGTCTGAAGAGAACACATAGAAAGGAGAGTCACTTTATCTAAAGGGTTAGAGAGGGCTCAGGAAGGACATAACATGAAAGCTAACCCAGTCATTCTCAAGTCTGTCTGCAGGACATTCTGAGAGTCCACAAACTGATCTGCAAACATAAGAAATAGAGCAAACATTGATTAATGGAATACTCCATGCCAGGCACAATCTAGGCCTAGGGAACACAGCGGGATACATAGTGAGATAAAGTCCCTGCTTTATGAAACTGACATTTTAGTGATGGAAAGTGGTGAGATATGTTAAGAAGAGAATGAAGTAGGATAAAGGGACAGAGTGATGCAGAGGTGCCATTTTGATAGATAAGGAGATCTTTGAGTAGTCACCTGTGTGCAGTCAGGAATTGATGAGGCTGTGAGGATATCTGTGGGAAGGATATTCCAAAAAGGAAGAACAGCAGGTGCAAAGTCCTCGGGGAGGCTAGGCGTGGCGGCTCACGCCTGTAATCTCAGCATGTTGGGAAGCCAAGGCAGGAGGATTGCTTGAACCCAGGAGTTCAAGCCTGGACACCCATCTCTACAAAGATAAAAAATTAGCTGGGCATGGTGGTGTGCACCTGTAGTCCCAGCTACCAGGGAGGCTGAGGTGGGAGGATTGCTTGACCCCAGGAGGTCAAGGCTGCAGTGAGCTGTGATTGTACCACTGCACTCCAGCCTGGGCACCAGAGCGAGACCCTGTCCCCACCCTCTCCCCACCAAAAAAAAAAAAACCCCAAAAAACGAAAACCCAAAGTCCTTGGCAGGAGTAGTGAGGAGACCAGAGTGGCTGGAACACAAGAGGAAAGGGAGAAGGTGGATGGGAGCTGAGATCAGAGAGGCGAGGGAGGCGGGGTCTCATGGGACCTTTCACTTGACCTTGAACGTCTACTGCAGAGCAAAAGAACCCTTGGGCCACACATCAAGGATGTGCATGCACATTCCAAAAAGTCTTTATTGGAGTTAGCTCATGCTGGGTCTCCCAATCTTGTTGGCGTGTCTTCTTCTCATGGCAGAAGAATGTCTGAGGGATCCCTTGACCGGATGGTGTGTTCTGTAGGCCATTCCCTTTGAGAACATCTCTACTAATCAGAGTCTGGTTTTCAGCAAAGTCCACGCCTCCAAGGAACATACATAGAGGTTGTAGAAGGAAGAGAAGGCTTGGGATTCAAACAAAAACAAAAACAAAAAAATACACTGGCCAAATCTGGTTTTATGGAGGCTCAAGACATCCCCTTTGTCTCTCTGTCCTATCCACTATGGACAAGTTTGCCAAACAGTTATCATCCTTGTTACTGGAGAGATCCTGCCAAGTACTCATGTTCCTTCCTTAGAGGGGCTGGGTGTGCTTAGCTTGGAGCAAGAGAAAGATCATGGCGGTGACCTTCAACTCACCTTCATGTTAGCCCAAGAGAAGATTCCTTCTAGGTTATCTTGCGGCAATAACAAGAACCCATTGCAGGAAATCTGTAGGGAGGAAGATTTCAGCCTAATATTGCAGAGGACTTCCTACAGTTGGAAAGGCAGTGAGTTCCCCATGACTAAACGTATTCGAGTAGACATTAAAAGGACATTAATCTGGGACTCTAGGCAGGAGATCCCTGCACTGCTTGATGAGTTGGACCAGAACCCCCTCAGAGCTAAGATTCTGTAATCATATTGTGCTGTCTTTCTTCTGGGTAAAAATCAAGACCATTTTTGTGACTTCATGAATCTCATCTGTGAAGGAGAACCCTGTGGAACAAGTTGAAGGTCATGTATAGTACACCCTGAGTCTTCTTCTTGGAGTTGTGTGCTGTTAAGGGGGCTTTAATTAAGCTTTCCCCTCCAGGCACAACCAGCTTGTTTTGGTGGGTGCAATATGCCATCCCAGAATATGTCAAACTTCATTTGCAAAATATCAGACTGCTGTTTTTTTTCCAGAGCCAATCTGCAGAGTAATACGTTCAATAACTTTTGCTCTTTTTGCTCTCAAAGATAGGTCTCTTTTTGGAGTCGATAGCGCAATAAATGCGGATCTGGTGCAAATTCCAATGGAAAGAAAAGATATTGTTATTTAAAGGCCAAATAACGGCTTAAAATTAGAGTTGTGAAGGCATTGAAAAACACCAGACTTCCCAGATGGCTTGGAGATAATTCACTTTGCACTCAGTCCACTCACACGCTAAAAAAAAATACTTTGACTCTGTTTCTCCTCAGATTGAAAGTTGGTGCCTGCTTTAAACATATGTGCTTCTCTCTTTAAATTTAGCTCTGAGTCATGTTGTATTACATTAGGAATTCAGCAGGCAGGCACTTGGAAAATGTACATCAATGCGTTTATTTTTAAATTATATAAAAATAAAAATATATATGTTTAAATATATTAGGCTATATTTTTGCCCAATTTCAAAATGGTTGTTCTCCAGAACAGATTAGATAAAACAATAATAACGATGATGACACTATGGTTCTGGAACACTGCCCGTTCCCAAGGATCCCAAATCAACTTGACAAACCCTGTCGCTTCTAGCCCCCAGTCCAGCTATGCGCGGGACTTGTCACAGAAACCTCCGCCTCCGTGGGGGACCAGGCAGCTCCCCAAACAGCTGCAGGGTGGCCTAATTAAGATGCTCCTTCCTCCAGAATGTCAGGTCTCTGGGCAGAAGTCAGCAAAGGCTGGGGGCTGGGGACAGTCAGGGAGGCAGAGGCAGACAGTCTGGAGGGACATCTTTAGCTTAGTGGCTAAGCTCATGGGCTGAAGGCCCCACCAAACAACGCTGGGTGCAAATCCTGGCTCTACCCCTTCTAATCTATGCATCCTTAGAGAAGTGATGGGGCCTCATTTGTGTCTCAGTTCGTCACCTGTGAAATGAGTAATGGTTCCTACTTCCCAGGGTTGCTGTGAGGACTACCAGGGATAATCCCTTTGATTCATTTAGTCATTCACTCACCACATATTTATTAACATCCACACGACAAAGTGGTGAATAAAACAAACAAACCCATAATCCCAGGCCTCATAGAGCCTGTGGTCTAGTGGGTAGAGAGACATGAATGAATAAAAAACCCTGATGATTTAATCAGAATTGTGATGAGCACAATGAGGGAGAATTTGCAAAGTAAGGCCCACCCAGATCAGAAGGCTCCAGAAAGCTTCAGCAAAGAAGGAATGTAGACTGTGGTCCGGTGCCTGCCACACAGTAGGTGCCTGTTAGTTCCTGTATGCATTTCCTTTGGTTGCTGTCACAAATTGCTGCAAACTGAGTGACTTAAAATAACATATATAGATCGGGTGCAATGGCTCATGCCTGTAATACTGGCACTTTCGGAGGCCATGGCGGGCAGATTACCTGAGGTCAGGAGTTCAAGACCAGCCTGGCCAGCATGGCAAAACCCCGTCTCTACCAAAAACACAAAAATTAGCTGGGCATCTCACACCAGTTAGAATGGTGATCATTAAGTCAGGAAACAACAGATGCTGGAGAGGATGAGGAGAAATAGGAATGATTTTACACTGTTGGCGGGAGTGTAAACTAGTTCAACCATTGTGGAAGACAGTGTGGCGATTCCTCAAGGATCTAGAACTAGAAATACCATTTGACCCAGTGATCTCATTACTGGGTATATACCCAAAGGATTATAAATCATGCTACTATAAAAACACAGGCACACATATGTTTATTGCGGCACTGTTCACAATAGCAAAGACTTGGAATGAACCCAAATGTCCATCAATGCTAGACTGGATTAAGAAAATGTGGCACATATACACCATGGAATACTATGCAGCCATAAAAAAGGGTGAGTTCATGTCCTTTGCAGGGACATGGATGAAGCTGGAAACCATCATTCTGAGCAAACTATCACAAGGACAGAAAACCAAACACCACATGTTCTCACTCATAGGTGGGAAGTGAACAATAAGAACACTTGGACGCAGGGCTGGGAACATCACACACTGGGGCCTGTCATGGGGTGGGGGGCAGGGGGAGTGATAGCATTAGGAGAAATACCTAATGTAAATGACGAGTTAATGGGTGCAGCAAACCAACATGGCACATGTATACATATGTAACAAACCTGCACATTGTGCACATGTACCCTAGAACTTAAAGTATAATAATAGTAATAATAAATTAGCCAGGCATGGTGGCTCATGCCTGTAATCCCAGCCACTCAGGAGGCTGAGGCAGGAGAATCACTTGAACCCAGGAGGTTGCAGTGAGCTGAGGTCATGCCACTGCACTCCAGCCTGGGTGACAGAGCAAGACTCTGTCTCAAAAAATAATAATAATATTAATAATAACATTAATAGTATCTTGCAGTTCTGGAGGTCATAAGTCTGAAATGAGTCTAATTTGGCAAAGAGCAAGGTGTTGGCAGGGCTGGGTTCTTTTTTGGAGACTCAAAGCAAGAATCTGTTTCCTCGCCTTTACCAGCTTCTAGAGAATTCCTTGGCTTGTGGCCCCTTCCTCCACCTTCAAAGCACATCACTCCAACATCTGCTTTCATGGTCATATCTCCTTTTTCTGACTTTGACCCTCCTGATTTCCTCTTATAAGAATCCTTGCGGCCAGGAACAGTGGCCAACACCTGTAATCCCAGCACTTTGGAGGCTGAAGTAGTAGGATCACATGATGCCAGGAGTTCAAGAGAAGCCTGGGCAACATGACAAGACCCCGCCTCTGTAAAAAATTAAAAATTAGCCTGGTGTGGTGGCACTGGTGACCCCAACTACTCTGGAGTCTGAGGCTGCAGTGAGCTATGATTGCACTACTGCACTCCTGCTTGGTTGACAGAGCAAGACTTTGTCTCAAAAAAAAAAAATCCTTGCTGTTTGATTAAACCCAACTTAATCTCCTCATCTTAAGATCCTTAATGTAGTCACCTCTACCAAGTTCCTTTCACCTGTCAGGTAACATATTCACAGGTTCTGGGGATTAGGATGTGGAAATCTGTAGAGGGGCATTATTCTCTCTACAACAGTCCAGGAAGTTCAATATCCAAAATGAGGAATTCCAGGTCAAAAAAAAAAAAAGAGATAGAGAGAGAGAAAATAGAGGGGCAGAAGTTATCAAAGAAAAATAATACATGACAATTTCCCAAAACTTTAGGGCAAACATTTCCAGATTTAAAGAGCCTTCAGAGTGCCAGTGTAAAATCATGTCAAAAGCTTCCAAAGACAGAATGTCATACACAAAAGATCAAGGATCAGGCACTGGACTTTTTTTTTTTTTTTTTTGAGACGGAGTCTCGCTCTGTCGCCCAGGCTGGGGTACAGTGGTACAATCTCGGCTCACTGCAACCTCCGCCTCCCAAGTTCAAGCAATTCTCCTGTCTCAGCTTCCCAAGTAGCTAGGACTACAGGCATGCGCCACCGTGCCCGGCTAATTTTTATATTTTTAATAGAGACGGGGTTTTGCCTTGTTGGCCAGGCTGGTCTTGAACTCCTGACCTCAGGTGATCTGCCCACAGGCATTGGACTTTCTAACATCATCACTGGAAATTGGAAGAAGGCACAGGCCTTCATAATCTTGCGGAAAAATATTTCCAACCTAGAACTTATTGATAATCTTATTTTATTTTTAGAAAGAGGGCCTTGCTATGTTACCAAGGCTGGAATGCAGTGACTCTTCACAGGCACGACTGTAGTGCACTAGTCAGGCTTGAACTTCTGGCCTCAAGTTATCCTTCCACCATAGCCTCTCAAGTAGCTGGGACTAAAAGTATGCACCACCATGTCCAGCTGATAATTTTTTTTCTTTTAGAGATAGGGTCTCACTATGTTGCCCAGGCTGGTCTTGAACTCCTGGACTCAAGTTATCCTCCCACCTCAGCCTCTCAAAGTGCTGGGATTACAGGTGTGAGCCACTGCACTCAGCCTCCAGCTGATAATTTTATCAATCAAGTGTAAGTGTGGACTAAGTATGTTTCAGACATGCCTGGTCTCACTGAATTTTCCTTCCATGCATCTTTTCTCAAGAAGCTACTAGAGGACGTGCTCCATCAAAATGAGAGAGTAAACCAAGAAAGTGGAAAACAGAGAATCCAGGAAACAGGGGATGCAACAGAAGAGAGAGGTAAATGTTATTACAGAGGACCCAGACCACAGGTGTGCACAGGGCCCAGCACAGCAACCAGGCTGATTGCAGCCCAGGATAGAGGGCTTAAAGCAAGACACAGAACTAATAGGTTCTGAAGTTTTAATTATATTAACAAAAGCTTTAGAGTTGTGACAGAGATAAATTAGCAACTACATTGAAAATATAAAAACCCATCAAAATTACTAACTCTGAGAAAAATGAAATTGTACCAAAAAACGCAATCACAGTGCATTGGGTAGTCAGTGGCATATAATATTTTCCCAAGTCATAGGACAGTAAACACTGAATATTGGTTTAACTAGAACCTGTGATCTTGGGGTGGTGAGATAAGATAAACGTGTGTGTGCCTGTGCCTAAGAACTAAATCCTCATTTTCTATAGCAGGTAGTCGATTATATGATGCTTAAAGCTGAAACATCAAGATAAAGCTAAAAGAGTTGAAGGTGGCTGCCTCTGGGACAAGGGATCAGCACCAGTGAGTAGGGCTATTTTTAGAATAAACCTTATAGGGCTACTTGATTTTTTAAACTATGTACATGCATTTCTTTATATATCTATATATATATATATATATACATACACACACATATATATACACACATATACACACATATGTATATATATGTGTGTATATATAGTGTGTGTATATATAGTGTGTGTATATATATGTGTATATATATATGTATATATATATATTTTTTTTTTTTTTTTTTTTTTTTAAAGGGAGGAGAGAAGGGAAGAAAATCCTCTCTGAAAAAGGAGGCATTGGCGGGTTTTGGGAGGAGGCGGCCCCTCTGGCATCTTTGGGTTTTCTCTGACTTCAGCCTCATTAAATCACAGGAGGGAGATGACCTCAGCAAAGGACATCGAACCTGTGGGAGCACCTGTGAGGCAAGAAGTCCTCTGCCCTCTACCCTCACCCTCCCCAGCCATCACAGTGCGGTGGCAGACAGGCCCTGTGAGCGGCAGGCACCTGTCAGTGCCAGAGTCCTCCCAGCAGGCCTGGTGGCCCTGGTGAAGGGGTCAGCTTGGGAGAGACGAAGCTTCTTGGGATGGAGCTGGGTGGGAGAGGTGGAGAGGAGGACTTCATGGCTACATAGTACATTACAATCATGCCTGTGAATAGTCACTGCACTCCAGCCTTGAAGGGAGATGGGGCAGGGGGTGATGGAGAAACTTCCTTGCAACATGGACCTGAGTGGATCCCACCCTCCTGACACCCAATGGGAATGTTAATATGGCTCAGCTTGCTCCGGCAGCCAGAGACACCCTCTGTCCTCTGAGGTCCTCAACTCTCTGCTTCAGTCTCCAACTCAGAGAAAATCTCAAGAGAGGGGCATGGCTCCTGGCAGGGGGGTTGGGGAACAAAAGAAAATGTCGCCTCCCATCAACAATGGGTATGTGGCTCCTGAGAGGGCTGACTCCTGGCACACCCCACCCCAAGTCATGTAGGGTCACTTTGGGTGGGGCTTCTGGGTTCCTAGAGGTAGGAGGGATTTGAGCAAGACCCCAGGCAGAACTCAGGCTCTGCAGCTCTGACACCCTGGAGCTCAGTACAGTCACAAAGAAAAGTGGTGAAGAGTTCAAAGAACATGGGTCACTCCTAGCCTGAGAACAAGAGAATGGCAGGTGACCCTAGATGGCGTCCTCTATCCTCTTTTAAAATATGGCCGGGCGCAGTGGCTCACACCTGTAATCCCAGCACTTTGGGAGGCCGAGGTGGGAGGATCACCTGAGGTCAGGAGTTGAGGACCAGCCTGGCCAATATGGTGAAACCCCATCTCTACAAAAACACAAAAACGAGCCAGGCGTGGTGGTGGGCGCCTGTAATCCCAGCTACTCAGGAGGCTGAGGCGGTAGAATCACTTGAACCCGGGAGGCGGAGGTTGCAGTGAGCTGAGATCGCACCATTGCACTTCAGCCTGGGCGACTGAGCGAGACTCCGTTTCAAAAAAAAAAAAAAAAAAAGGACGGTCACCATCAAATTGTACTGGGCTTTCAAGGGAAAAAAACATGTGAGATGTGCTATCAAAACACTGAAAGAGTAGACTTTAAGTGATGAACGTTCTCAAAGGGAGAAGGAAATTCAGTGTGGAGCTCCGTGAACAGCGGACGTCTCTAATTTGAACCCAAGAAGGAATAAGCTTATTCCCCAGATTCTCCACAGAATCAAAATCCACATCGTAGGGAACTAACTAGCATTGGTGGATGGTAACATGTTAAAGAGCAGGTGTGGGGACAGGGTGTGTCTGGGGTCAAATGTTTGGAAAATGCTGAATTAAACAAAGGAAATGGGCAAGAATGCTCAATAATGTTCATTGTAAACATCCCAAAGAAGTTTATATCTTTTGACAGTTGCACCTGTTTTTAAGAAGCAATGGATGGGATTATAGTTCCATGGAACACATTTTGGGAAACACTGGCCAAGTATCTCAAGCCCCTGAGGGCTTGGCCATCCCTAGCACCTGTGTGCAATATGCTTGGCAAGAACACACATCTGTGAGCTTCTTTGCTCCCCAAACCCCCACCTAGCTAGGAAGTTCTGAAATATTTGCAGGATGGACTCCATCTTTTTGTCATGCACAAGTCATATAGTTTATGGTTTTTGCAAAAAGGTGTGTCTTTCATTAATTTTCTTAGACATGGGGAAGAGCCTTGGAAAATAGGACCTTAGCTGACTCGATTCTTCTAGTTCTTACTTTTTTTTTTTTTTTTTTTTTTTGAGATGCAGTCTCATTCTGTCGCCCAGGCTTGAGAGTGCAGTGGTGCAATCTCGGCTCCCTACAACCTCCACCTCCCAGGTTCAAGCTATTCTCCAGCCTGAGCCTCCTGTGTAGCTGGGATTACAGGTGCCCACTACCACTCCTGGCTAATTTTTTTTTTTTTTTAGTTTTCACCATGTTGACCAGGGTGGTCTTGAACTCCCTTTCTCAGGTGAGCTGCCTGCCTCAGTTTCCCAAAGTGCTGGGGTTACAGGCATGAGCCACCAAGCCTGGCCTGGCTCTTTCTTTCTTGATTCCGTGGGTCTCTCTTCAACCCCACACATCACCCTGAGAATCACCTGTTTTCATGCCCTTGTTCCAAGAGCTGTTTGTCAAGCCTTAAATGACTTATGTATTTATTCAGGGTCCCTTTACCTTTTTAAAAGGTGGAATGCCACAGGCCCACTTGCAACAGGGGCTTCTCATGCGATATTGGTGCCCTTGAGGGTGTGGAAATGCGCAGGTGACAAAAATCCACTCTGTAGTCCATTCACCAAGTCTTAGTTGATTAACGCTACTATGATACCTGAGACTGGGTGTCTCATAAATAACAGAAATTCATTCTCTGGACGTTCTGGAGGCTGGGAGGTTCTAGGAGCCTGCAGGTTCCGTTGTCTGGTGAGGGCTGGTCTCTGTGTTTAAGATGGCACCTTATTGTTGCATCCTCCGGGCAGGGTGGGGGGCAACGCTGTGTCCTCACATGGCAAAGGCGGAAGAGCAAGGGAGCTGAAGGCTGTGTGAAGCCTCTTTAGTAAGAGCCTTAATCCCATTCACAAGGGAGGACCCCTCATGGCCTAATCACCTCTTAAAGGCCCCATCTCTCTTAATTCTATCACACTAGCAACACCTGAATTTTGGAGCGGACACATTCGAACCACAGCACCAATTCCAACAACATGGTTTGGGGCTGCATCTACCTGGTTGGGGGGCGGGGGGGCGAGGAGCACCTTTTGCTCACTGGCACAAAGGTGCTGCTGAGTGGGCCAGTGGCAGCTCTGACTTCCTGTAAGGTTATAGGGTTTACAGATTTCACCAGATTAGCATAACCTGGGAGTAGCCTCGTGTCAATGATTTCTGAGTTAATTAATGGTGTCTTTGAACTCCAGAATTGAGCTGAGCGGTTTTAGACCCACACGAAGCCAGCAGCTCTGCACTGGCACCTCTGAGAAGGGAAGGGAAAAAGGACGTTTGACCAATTATATTAAAATTGCGGGCTGGGCATGGTGGCTCATGCCTGTAATCCCAGCACTTTGGGAGGCTGAAGTGGGAGGATTGCTTGCATCCAGGAGCTCAAGACGAGCCTGGGCAACATAGTGAGACCCTGTCTGTAAAAAAAAATTAAAAATTAGCCAGGTGTGGTGGTGTGCACCTGTAGTCCTAGCTACTTGGGAGCCTGAAGTGGGAGGACCACTTGAGTCCAGGAGGTTGAGGCTGCAGTGAGCTGTGATCACACCATTGCACTCAGCTTGGGCAACAAAGTGAGACCTTGTCTCAGGAGAAAAATAAAAAAAGAACTGCTGCTACTTCCTTCCTAAAAACAGGCCCCCTCTTCCTTCCACTGTGGAACTGAGCATTCAGCCTCAGCCACCAATTTTGTAAATACAAATTTCCCCTTCCCCTCGCACACTGACCCTCAAATCTCTAAGCAGCCTGAATAGCACACGAGGGTACTATAGGGCACATCAGCATGCCCTGAAGGCAACCTGGACGTTTAATTTTTTAAATTTTTTAAATTTTGTTTTTTGAGACAGAGTTTCCGTCTTGTTGCCCAGGCTGGAGTGCAGCTGTGTGGTCTCAGCTCACTGCAACCTCTGCCTTCCGAGTTCAAGCGATTCTCCTACCTCAACCTCCTGAGCAGCTGGGATTACAGGTGTGCACCACCACGCCTGGCTAATTTTCGTATTTTTAGTAGAGACAGGGTTTCACCATGTTGGCCAGGCTGGTCTCGAACTCCTGACCTCAGGTGATCCGCCTGCCTCAGCCTCCCAAAGTGCTGGGATTACAGGCATGAGCCACCATGCCCAGCCCAACCCGGCCTTTTAAATTTTTACCACTTCAGTGTTTTCTCACTCTGGGTGGGAGGGAATCTTCTGTATTATAGCATTTCAGAAACACTCTTGAAGACAGGATGGAGACATGTAATGAATCTTTTTGATTTCCAAGGTATGTCCTGTGTTTGTGAGTGAGATTGTTTGGGGGTATGAGTTCCCTGGCTCAGTGCTTCTCAAATTTGAATGTGTAAATGAATCACCTCAATACTTATTAAACATGCAAATCATGATTCAGCAGGTGTCTTTCTAACAAGCGGCCAAGTAATGTTGATGTGGCCAGTCCACCGGAGGTGCAAAGCATGGCGATGGTGCTGCCCGTGCTTTGGGATCAGAGACCCCCGTGTTACAATCCTGCTTCTGTCTTTTACTCACTGCTTGACCTTGAGTAAGTTATTGACCTTTACGGAGCCTTAGCTTTTTCCTCTGGAAGAGACAGAGAAATGGATATCCACTTCCAAACACTCTTGTTAGAATCACATGAGATCATCTACCTCTTAACATTCTTGTTAGAATTACGTAAGCAGCATGGCTTCTGGCATGTTGGAGGCTCTCATTCAATGGTGGGAATTCCATATTTTTTCCTCTGCCTTTTAAAAAACAAATATCAGAAAAAGAGAGAAAACTTCGTTAAACAAAACCTCAGTTGTAACGTTTACCTGGTCTTTGCCACCGAGTTTAGACCACAGGGGCTCCCAATGTTTTTGTCTCGTCCCAGTCCACCTGAGGGCCAGGACTGTGCCTGCACGTGGTTAACGCTCACTAACTGGTTGCTGAATGAATGACTAATGCACTTCCGCCAATAATAGTAGCTGTAGCTGGCAGTGGGGCCCACTTCTCCCTAAGGCAGCAAAATTAGAATGTGTGGGAGGTGGGGATAGAAAGTAGATGAGAAAAGCTCTCTCCAAGACTCTAATACTCCCCCAAGGGGGCATCCCTTCTTCCCATTTAGGAATCAATAGTCCAAAGGAACTTCCAGAAAACTTAATTTTACCTCTTCTAAAATCATACGTTGTTTGGTTCTCTTGTTTCCTGTGAGCCCCTACAGAGGAACAAAAAAACAAAACTGCAAGGGCGGCCAGGGAACCATTGTCAGCTGTGCTGGAGAGGAGGGTGGCTCTCTTCAGGTGCTCAGCCTTGGAGGCCCCGTGCTGCCTCGTCCCTTCCCTGGGGCTTAGCTTAGCTCTCTTTGTTGAGTTGGCAGGTCTTTGGCTAAGGATTTGCACATCGTCAGTGTTACAACCTGCTGCCACTGTTGTATCTCGTGGCCGCTCTGCCCTCTGTGCAGCCCAAGAAGTCTTGGCATCCCTCTGCCCAGGCATGAAGCTTCCAAGTCTTCGCCCCACTCTCCAAGCCAAATTGAGCTGTCTCTGCCTTGCCTTTCATTTTCTTTCTCTGTGGGTATAATTGTGTTGACAGCCACAAGAAACCAAATGTTTCCCTACATCATTTAGAGATGTGTGGCCTATGAAATTCCTTTCCATTTTGTTGTTTTCACCATGACTGCAATGAGCACAGTTGTCAGGAGAAAAACCTCAAAACATTTTGGGGAAATAGAGAAAACTTAGCATCCTAGCAATGTGTTGCCATTAGACTAATGAATCAATCAGGCAGCCAGATCACAGTGACTGCCTGAACAGAATGCACCTAGCTCCATGCAGATGTAACCTGTGATGTCACAGCCATGGCCTGTCCAGTGCATCCCAGGGCTGAGTGAAACACAGACCCAGTTGGGAGCTGAGAGGAAGGATGGGGTGAATAGCCAAGGGGGTGTCACAGGGCAGATGATGAGTAGGTAAATTACTGAAAGGTGCAGTTAAGATCTGAGACTAGGAGTTAGAAAGACAGCGAAGGTGGCAAGAGACACAAACATGGGATCTCCCTAAATCCATCACACGGATTTATTTTTTGTCTTAAAGGGATATTTTCCCCTGATTATAAGAGTTCTATTGACCTATTAAAGACAACGTAGAAAATATAAAAGTAGTTGGATGCAGTGCCTCATGCCCTTAATCCCAGCCCCTTGGGAGGCTGAGGTGGGTGGATAGGTTGAGCCCAGGAGTTGGAGACCAGCCTGGGCAACATGGCAAAAGCCCATCTCTACAAAAAAATTAAAAAATTAGTTGGGCATGGTGGTGCATGCCCGTAGTCCCAGCTCCTCAGGAGGCTAAGACAGGAGGATTACTTGAGCCCAGGAGACAAAGGTTGCAGTGAGCCAAAATCACACTACTGCACTCCAACCTGGCAACAGAGTGAGGCCCTGTCTCAAAAAAGGAAGAAAAGGAAAGAAAGAAGAAAGGAAGAAAGAAAGAAAGAAAGAAAGAAAGAAAGAAAGAAAGAAAGAAAGAAAGAAAGAAAGAAAGAAAGAAGGAAGGGAGGAAGGAAGGAAGGAGAGAGGAAGGAAAGAAGGAAGGAAGGAAGAAGGAAGGAAGAAGGAAGGAAGAAGGAAGGAAGGAGAGAGAAAGGAAGGAAGGAAGGAAGGCCAGATGGGCGCAGTGGCTCACGCCTGTAATCGAGCACTTTGGGAGGCTGAGGCAGGCAGATCATGAGGTCAGTAGTTCAAGACCAGCCTGCCCAACATGGTGAAACCCTGTCTCTACTAAAAATACAAAAATTACCTGGGCATGATGGTAGGTGCCTGTAATCCTAGCTAGTCAGGAGGCTGAGGCCAGAGAATCACTTGAACCTGGGAGGCGGAGGTTGCAGTGAGCCGAGATTGTGCCACTGCACTTCAGCCTGGGCAACACAGCAAGATGTTGTCTGGAAAAAAAAAAAAAAAAAAAAAAAAGGAAAGGAAAGAGAAATAGAGACAAAGAAGGAAAGAATAAAAAGAAAAGAAAAATAAAATATAGAAGCTCATGAAAAAGAAAATGAAGATTGCTTACAATTCCACTTTTGGTTAAGTATACTCTTTATATGTATTCTATTAATTTCTATTTACATCCACACCAGCCAGTCTATCTTGCATGGTTCAGAAGGGCCCTGGACAATTGTTAAATAAGTACATCCCTGCCGCTCTTTACCCAACGCAAGCTTCCTGAGGTTGCCCACGTGAGAAGCAGTCCAATTTCAGCCCAACATCTGCATTCTGAACATCACCCTCACGACCTTTAAGGCTGGAATCAAAATTTGCTCTTTGTTTTCTACATTGGCGGTGTCTTATCATGTGTGGCATGTCATCTAATCAGTCATCAAGTCCGGATTGTTCCACCATCCAAATGTATTTTGAGGCCAGGCGCGGTGGCTCACACTTGTAATCCTGGCACTTTGGGAGGCTGAGGTAGGTGGATCGCTTGAGCTCAGTAGTTCAAGACCAGCCTGAGCAACAAAGTGAGACCCCTCCCGCACCACCGTCTCTACCAAAACAAACAAGCAAACAAGATTAGCCGGGTGTGGTGTCGTGTACCTGTGGCCCATTCAACCTCTTTTTCTTTATAAATTACCCAGACTTGAGTATGTCGTTATTGGCAGCATAGAAACAAACGAATACAATCTTAAACCACAGACTTTCAGAATATGAAAATCATAAAATTTTCGAATCCAGATTTTACAGTCATTGGAGATTCCAGAAACCAGTCTAATAACTCCACCGTATAGATGGAGAAACTGGGCCCAGTGGGGCTCAATGACTTGTTCCAGGCCCAAGAGTTAAGGGCAGAGGTAAGATCTCCCCACATCAAGGCAGACCTATTCTTCCATAGCAGTAGTTTTCAAACGGACTTCTCCAAGGCACCAAGGTTCCTTAGAAGTATCATAAAGGTTCCGCCTGCAAGACATTGAATCCCACTAGGCCTAGTTTCTCCATCTATACAGTGGAGTTATTAGACTGGTTTCTGGAATCCTCCATGACTGTAAAATTTGGATTCCAAAATGTTATGATGAAGGGAGGGATGAGGAAGGGATGAGCAGAGAGTGGAGCCTCAAGCCTATAATTAAAACAGTTCTACTTTCACCTCATGTATCTTGAGACCTGAGTAGTTGTCTTTTTTAAAAAAGGGGTTTTCTTCCCCCCAAAAGTTTCAAAAACTCATGCACTGTATATTGTGTTTAATAAATAATCATGAGCAGCAAAAAAAAATTAAACCAAAACCAGAAAATGAAACCCCACACATGATCCCAATGGTAATACAAATGAAATCTTTAAAGATATTGGTTAGGAACACTCAGGTTGATACAAACATCCTAATTTTGTTTCCTGCAGGTAGTGGTTGGGGGTTAGAATGACAGCCGTCTATAACAGAATACAGCCTAGAAATCTGCATCTGAGTTCCTGTCTCAAATAGAGCTGGGCAATTTCAGATTCTGGGTACAGAGAGGAAGAGAAAAGACTGTCCCAAAATGTTCCTCTGGCATCACGTCAGGAACTGCATGTATTTACAAAGAGGCACTCACTCCTGAAAGACCGTGGTTGATAATGACATGCTTGGAGGATTGGATCCTAATTCTGATTAAGACTTTCAGCTACACAAATAAAATATTTTCATTGATCAAGGCTGAATCTTCCACTTTTACTCTCCAAAATGCATGTTTTCTATCCTGGGGAAGTAACGCCCCCAAACTTTAAACAAGGTAACCAGATCAGGATTCAGTCAGTAGCAATCAACAAGGACAAATGGATTAATGACTGGCGGTGGAAAGACATTTGTCCAGGTCTACAATTTAATTTTATGTATGTATATATATATTTAGAGACGGGGTCTCACTGTATTGTCCAGGTGAGTCTTGAACTCCTGGTCTCAAGTGACCCTCCAGCCTCGACCTCCCAAAGTGCTGGGATTACAGGTACGAGCCACTGCACCTGGCATACAATGTCAATTTTTAAAGTTTACAGCATCAGCCAGGTGCAGTGGCTCATGCCTATAATCCCAGCACTTTGGGAGACTGAAGCATGTGGATTACTTCAGGTCAGGAATTCGAGATCAGCCTGGCCAATGCAGTGAAACCCTATGTCTACTAAAAAATACAAAAATTAGCCAGGTGTGGTAGCATGCGCCTGTAATCCCAGTTACTCAGGAGGCTGAGGCAGGAGAATCGCTTGAACCTGGGAGGCGGAGGTTGCAGTGAGCCAAGATCCTGCCACTGTACTCCAGTCTGGGTGACAGAGTGAGACTCCATCTCAAAAAACAAAAAAACAAATAAACAAACAAAAACCTTACAGCATCTTCATAAATAAACTGCTTCCACTCTAGGACACTTTGAATGGAGGATAAAGGGTGCCAGGGAGCACACTCTTTTAGCCCCTAGCTTTATCTTTGTGTCCTTGTTCCTAGTGCAACACTCCGCAATAGGTTGATTAGAAAGACACTCATGTACTTTTTGTTTTGGTTTTGGTTTTGGTTATTTATTTATTAATTTATTTTGACGGAGTCTCACTCTGTCACCCAGGCTGGAGTGCAGTGGTGTAATCTCCACTCACTGCAACCTCCACCTCCTGGGTTCACGCGATTCTCCTGCCTCAGCCTCCTGAGTAGCTGGGACTACAGGTGCGTGCCATCATGCCCCGCTAATTTTTGTATTTTTTAGTAGAGATGGGGTTTCACTATGCTGGCCAGGCTGGTCTCAAACTTCTGACCTCGTGATCTGCCCGCCTTGGCCTCCCAATGTGCTGGGATTACAGGCATGAGCCACCGCGCCCAGCCACTCACTTATTATATAATGGAAACCTCACTTTCACTTTGCCGGGATCAAGGTTTAACTTCACTACAGTTCAGTATTTCCAGGACTGTTGAAAGATTACAGACAAAAGAAGTCTCCTATGAAAAGCTACCCAAAGCAGAAGGGACCTTCATGAGGGATAAGACCCTGCTCTCTTGCTTTCTAGCGGGTTTTAAGGCAACTCTTTTTTGTTTACTTTGTCTTTCTGTTTCTGCTTGTTTGTTTTTTACACACGTTCAACCCAAGGATCATAAAAAAGCTTGGCACTCAGGGCAGTGACAACACCCTTTTATTTCGGTGTGCTTTATTTTTTTCATAACTCAAGTAACGATGTAACTTATGATCCAAATGAGACTATGAGAGAAAAGGGGAATATTAAGAAATACTGTATGTGCATTTACTTTCCCGCATATATTCAGTTTCCATCACCCCAGCATCCGAGCTCCACGAGGGCCGACTTAACCCAGCCCGCCACAGTGCCCTCAGCACCATGGACAGCGCCCAGCAGAGCGCAGGCGGGTGGAGGAGGCTGGGCAGTGCGGTCAGCACCTGGGAAGCAGCTGATGAGGCAGGCCAGAATGTCTACTGTGAGACCTAAAGGATGAGTGCGGGTTTTCTAGATGAACATCGGGGAAGAGAATATGCCAGGCTTCTGTACAAACTCTGAAAAGGGAAAGACGAAGACTTGTCTGAAGAGCTGCCAAAATGCCACCATGGCTACAGTGGAAAATGGAAACGTGAAGAGGGGTGAGACAGACTAGGCAGGGACTCTGGAGGCCTGGACTTTATCCCAAGAGAGGTGGAAAGCCACTGAAGTATATAAAGAGGAATGATGACTCTTAGTTGCTTTTTTTTTTTTGAGACGGAGTCTCGCTCTGCCACCAGGCTGGAGTGCGGTGGCAGGACCTCGGCTCACTGCAACCTCTGCCTCCCGGGTTCCAGTCATTCTCCTGCCTCAGCCTCCTGAGCAGCTGGGACCACAGGCGCATGCCACCACGCCCAGCTAATTTTTTTATTTGTAGTAGAGACGGGGTTTCACCATGTTGGCCAGGATGGTCTAGATCTCTTGACCTCGTGATCCACCCACCTCGGCCTCCCAAGGTGCTGGGATTACAGGCGCGAGCCACCGCACTCGGCTTTTTAAGTTCATCCACATTTAATGATATCAATATACTGCAGGGTATTTTTCTTTTACTTTTTAATAGGTAATATTTTTACATGATTCAGAATTTGAAAGCATTCAGTGATAAGTCTATCTGTCCCCTCTATTTTTCCCTGGAGTCATCTGCAAATGTTATTAATTTCATATTTATGTGTCCAGGGATGTCTTGCAGCTATATAAGCAAATATTTTCAAAAATAATATGTCTTAATATATTTTTGTACCCCTTTTGCTAAAGGTAATGAATGCATGCTTTACACACTCTTCCGCACCTAGCTTTTTTCATCTAATGCAATATGCTGAGGGGATCTTCCACATCAGTTGTATATCTTAGTTTAGCATTTAAGGCATTTCATCTCCTCAAAATTGTTTCCTGCTGTTTCTCATCTTTTTCTGTGAGGCCAGTTCTTGCCTTTGGTCTCAATCTTTAGAGTATTATTTTCTAAACTGTGTTTTATATTCACAGACATTCCTCACCCTACCCCACTCCCAAATAAGTTTGGGAAGTGCCAGGTTAAACAAGGTTCAGCGTGTCTCCTTTCTGCAGAACTTCTCTGGACTGCAGTAGATTTAATGTCCTAGTCCTCACACTGGCTCTCACAGAAAGGACATGGTGTGCAACCTTTCCCATCTGCATTTGTTCCTGGAACCTTTTCCCTGAGCATCTCAGGGGAATGTTGTGCTGTAGAAGGGATGTAGGAAAATGCTGCTTCAGACAGCGTTTCTCTCCCTAGTCCAGTACTCAGTAAAGACTGACCAGTTCCTGCTGTCTATCTATCTTTTATGCTTGATGCTGACCAGTACTTTTCTGTTAATAATTCCTCTCCAGACAGGTTAGAGCAAAATCAATTAGGTTACCACTTTCTTAGTCAGTGACCAGATATACCCTGGTCACCTTGATTAGATTTGAGTGTTTCCCAAGTCAGCAAGGCATCCACAGGCTACTTCTCAGAGAGAGCAAATTTCTGTGTTTATGTGTCCTATGCTGATTCTGACTAGGTCTGCATTGTAAAAGGGACTTCTGCTCCAAAGTTGGAGTGCCTTACCCTAGCTCCCTAATGACCGACCATAGACCAGAGGACCCTGGGCTCCATCTCCAGGCGTCTGTCTCCTATCCCATGGCCTCCTCAGCCCCTGTTCCCATACTCAGTTGTATAGGATATTATATTGGGCACTGATCACTTTTCTCCAGCAGAATTGCAAATTTTTTCAAGTCAGAAACTTTGTTTTCTTCTTAGTGTGTTCCATATCAACCTCTCCACCCTCCCCCAGGGCCAGGCACACTAGAACTCATTATTTTTGAAATAACTTTATGGGAAAAATAGGTACCTGATATGGTTTGGCTGTGTCTCCACCCAAATCTCATTTTGAACTGTAGACCCCGTAATCCCCACGTGTCGTGGGAGGGACCCAGTGAGGGGTAATTGAATCATGGGGGTGGTTGCTCCCATGCTGTTCTCCTGATAGTGAGTGAGTTCTCATGGGGTCTAATGGTTTTATAAGGGACTTTCTCTCACTTCGCTCTACAGTTCCCCTTCCTGCTGCCATGTAAAGAAGGACGTGTTTGCTTCCACTTCCGCCATGATTGTAAGTTTCCTGAGACCTCTCTAGCCATGCTGAACTGTGGGTCAATTAAACCTCTTTCCTTTATAAATTACCCAGTCTTAGGTGTGTCTTTCTGAGCAGCATGAGAATGGACAAATACAGTACCTATAATCTCTCTCTTCACTTGTCAAGCAAAAAAATGTATTGCTCAATAGAGCTCTGCAAACCAGTGGACTTGTGGGTGGGGATGTGTTCTGTCTGCACCTGCCCTCCGTGTCCTCACCTGCCCCGGCTCACAGCCAACATTCAGTGAACACTGGGGGTGTGGGCCACAGTCCGCCCATTATTTGAATATTCACAGAACCAATGATGATAAAGGCTGGGGGTCCTTGGAGATCATGGAGTCTGACTCCCCTCATTTTGCTTATGAGGGGCTAAAGATGGCTCTGGCTTGCCCCAGGACACACAGAACTGGGACTCAAGCCCAGGTCTTCTGCCTTCCCTGGCTCTGCCACTGGCAATATTGTCTCCTTGGTAAAACGGGGTTAATGATATCCACCTTGCAGGACTACTGTGAGGCTCACTCTGCCGAGAGGGTGCATGTAGGGTTCTTGGCACAGTGTCTGGTGCTGTTACTGATCAATGTATAGTGGTTATTGTGGCTAAGCAAATATCCTTCCCCCCATGCCTTAAAAGCTCAAAAGAGTAAGGCTGATTTCTCTACATTTCTAATGTCTATCAGTGTCTTACGGTTAATAGAGCCCAGCAAGTATTTGATGATGGTAACCGGTTACCTGGTTGCTTATGTAACTTTTACCTTATAGCCCCAAGAGAAATTGGCCCTGTCCCCTTCTGAAGGATGATAGGTGTCCACTCTGGTAGAAAATTGAGTTCCTATGTGACTTTGGTTAGACAAGACTCTTCCCCTTGCCTCGATTTCCCCCATCAACTCACTAAGCTTGGCCTGAGGAAGAAGATGCAGTAAACCTTGATTTATGGATTCATTAGGGCTTGGAAAAGGTCCCTAGTCCTCAGAGCCAAGCACTGTTATTTAAAGAACACTGATGGAAGAGTGGAGTTAGGTACTCAAATCGCCCTCAGAGGACTGACAAGGCAGCCAGTCATTGTAGGGCATTTAGAGAGCTAATTCCTTGTTTCAGTATTTAAGGCCTTCGAAAAAGCTACATCCATCTTCCATGAAGAAAAAAAAATGTTCTTGCATCTTCCTGCTATCTAGAGATTATTTAGTACTCTGATATTGACACCACTTCTGTAGAAAGATTTAAAGATAAAAATGCAATGTATTCAAGTGCTGATCATTTTTCATCGTCACTTAGTGACAGTACAGCCTGGAGTCAATTGCAGCAGATTTATCTTTTGTGATATTGATTGCGTGCATGTGTGCTGAAGCTGTTTGCAAATACCTGGCTTCATCTATGAGGGGGCACTGCAAGCGCTGGGGGTGGGAGGCTTGGACAAAGAGACAGGGCTTGGTGAGGACCCTGCCTCTAGCTTTTTGCACTACAGGAGAGTCTGGATGGGCACTGCTGAGAAAGAACTGGACCAGGAGTCCCAGAAAAGGCTGATCATTAAATGTCTGGGGAGGAACCTACTGTTTAGTCATCATGCAAAGTCCCTGAGGTGTTAGGAGCGAAATGGTCGGGAGTCATTTGTGTCCTGAGGCTTATAATAAACATGCAGAGCTGGAGTTCCAGCCTTCTTTGAAATTTGTGTCTCCTCCCTAAAAGTGTATGGGTCAACAGCTCCCCAGTTGGGGAGATGTGATCCCAGTCAAGTCATTCAAACTCCCTGGTCCTCAGTCTCCCCATCTGTCAACAGCTCCCCAGTTTGGGAGACAACTAAGCCCTAGAATGACACCATCTTCCCTTCATAACAACAGGGCTACGATTTACACCCACTGCACTGGCCATTTTCCACACTACCTTATGAAGAGCAACCCTGGGAGCAGGGGAGGGAGGATGCTGAAGTCAGGGTGGGTGGTGGTGATCGGTATCCTTCATTTTAGAGGACACAGCTGAATTTTAAGGAGTCAAAGACCTTGCCCTTAAACCACCTGCCTTTCGTGCAGTCATTTCCTTCCATCTTATCCCCACTGGTGGCCACTTCCTGGATTATTTTCTTTCAAAGCCAGCTTCAAATCCTACACTGTCTGCCTATTAGGGAGTGGTTCTCACCAGATCTCAAGTCCCCATTTTAAAAAATGACAGTAGAGTATGGTTCAAGAAAAAAAAATAAAAAAGAAAAGCAATGGGTTGGAAAATAAAAAAGTAGAATTCTGGGCCTGACTCTGCCACTAGCTTATTTGGTGACCTTGCTACTTATCCTCCAGAGACCTCAGTTTCCTCACCTGTAAAATGGATTAAAATGAAAGCATATTGAGGTAAAGGCAACAAGAGCTATTCCTTAGTTCATGTAATAAATATTTGTTGAGACACGATTCAGGTTGGGGCACCTGCTTTGCTCTGTACAGTGTTGATATGTCTTCTAAGGCAGTGGAAAGTTCTTGGTTTCAGGGTCAGAGACCTGGGTTTGAATCCTGCTTCAGCCTCTTGCTCATTGTATGATTCCAGGCAAGTCATCCAAACTCCCTGGCCCTCGGTCTTCTCATCTGTAGCATTGAGATGGTGATATGGTTTGGCTCTGTGTCCCCACCCAAATCTCATGTTGAATTGTAATTCCAAATGTTGGAGGTGGGGCCTGGTTGGAGGTGATTGGATCACAGGGGTGTTTCTAATGGTTTGGCACCATCCCCCCAGTGCTGTCTTGTGATATAGTGCTCATGAAATCTGATTGTTTAAAAGTGTTTGCTTCTCGCTTTCAGTCTCTCTCTGTCCTGCGCCTGCTGGCCATGTGAAGATGTGCTGGCTTCCCCTTCACCTTTTGCCATGATTGTAACTTTCCTGAGGGCTCCCCAGAAGAAGAAGCCTGTGCAGCTTGCAGAACCACGAGCTGATTAAACCTGTTTTCTTTATAAATTACCCAGTATCAGGTATGTTTTTACAGCAGTGTGAGAATGGATGAATACAGACAGTCACTCCTGCCCCACAGGGCAATTATGGGGAGAGGAGAGCACTCATATGGCCCAGCAGGGTGTACATTAGAAGCACAGCTGATACCAGTTACTCAAATGACTTTCAGTGCATGTTTGAGGTCTCAACTCTCTTCTAACCCATGCCTACCACTTGCTGGTGGAAATGGGAGCTCCCAAGCACCCCTCCCCAAGCTCCCCACACTGAAAGCCATCATGGGCTTTAAACACCTTGGGTCCCATAGAAGCCCAAGCCCCAACCAGCAAAGGTCTATTTGAGCCCCACTTCAGGATGGCTGGTCATCCTGGTTGTAAATGCCAAGAATTTCCAAGAAGGCCAATCTCTCAGTGTCAGGGAGCTTTTCCTTGATATTTAGTCTACACTGACTATTCCTAAATTTCATCAATCATGCCTCCACAGACCCAGCTAAATCATTCCTCCCCTCCTCCCCATGACTCTACACTTTTTAATTCTGGTCTACGTTTTCCACCTGATACCTATTTTGATGCTTCAAAGACATCAAAATAGGGATAGAACCAGGAAACAAGGTTCCCGTTCCCTGCTCTGCCCCAGTCATGGACACCCAGACTTTTGGAGATGGGAAGGACCTTAGAGATTATTAAGAATTTACCCTCTTACTGTCCAGGTAGGAAAACTGAGGCCCAGAGAGGAAATAACCTTGACAAGGTCACAAGCCCATGCTTTCATCCTTGGATTTTATTGGATAAAAGAATGCATATTACTGTCACGGGCAAGGTCATTTGCCAAGAGCTATTAGCTTGGTCACAACTTAATACTGTTTACTGAGCACTTCTCTGCTGGTCAGGAAATGGGCTTCCCAAGGCAGGTGATTTATCTCATTCAGTCCTTGCAGCAGTCCTTGGAGGTGGGTACTATCACCCCCAGTTCCCAGCTGAGAACACTGAGGCTCAGAAAGGTTAAGTAACTTCTCCATGGGTCACACAGCAAGCTAGAGGCAGAGCTGAGTTTCAACTCCAGGCCTTCCCAACTCAACATCCATCACTTCTCTCTCAATAACACTTGAGATCAGAAGTCAAGAAAGTGGCAATAAAGCATCAAGAGGTTCAAATTCCACAGATAGGGAAAGAAAAGGGAAAGTGTTACCTCTAGGAACCAAGCCACTTGGCCTGGGACCTAAGGAAATAAAGGGCAGGACATTTTATTGAGTTGTTTCCTCTGCACTGGGAGCATCCAGTGCAGACAGGGGGCTTATTTATCTCTGTATCCACAGCACCTGGCACAGAGAAGGTGCTCAATAAGTGTTTGGTGAATAATAATGGAAGAGTGTGGAAAATGACCTTACCAAAGGGAAGGCCAGGAGGGAAAAAGTGCACACAGAAAGAATATTATTGTCTATGCCTCTCCAATATTACACACCTGGGAGAATAGGAGTGTTGACATCACCCCAGACAGGAAGTACTAACAACTAGCTAAGATTCTACCCCAAGATATTCAGAAAATTCCAGTTTGTTGCCAATTGTCTTGTGTATAGTAATAAGGTCAGAAGAGTTACCATTTACTAAATCCTTACCAAAGGTCAGACATAACACTAAACGCTTTAAATGCATCATTTCATTTAAGCCTCACACCAGCTCCCAAGAGGTAGGTGTTATTGGTGTTCCCATTTTGCGGAGGAGAAAACTGAGTCACAGAGAGGTTAAGTGACTTGCCCAAGGTCACACAGCTAGTGAATATTGAAGCTTGAACTCAAAGCTCAGTCTGCTAACACCAAAGGTCCACTAACTCAAAGTTAACCAGTTGACTTGAAGTCAATGGCTGGTTGTCCTTATCACTGAATCATGGACTTGAGACTCCAAACAGCCACCAGCCTGGAAGCCATCATTTAAAAATATTGTTCTAGCATCAGAGTATTAGAACATGCTGGTGATCCACACGTTACTTTCTTGTTCTTATTATTTATCTTCATCATTCTAGATCCTCTCCCAAGTTCTTTAATCATTGCCTGTCACCTGCTGACCTGTTTGTTTATTTTTTCTGTGTACAGTGTTTTGGATTTGTACAATCGTCTGGAGGATATCTTCCTAGAAAGGAATTTAATCATGTTCCCACCCTGCTTTCTGTTCCTGGAGAGGCAGGTGGCCACCAAGGCCCAGTATGGTTCCTAGCATGTACACTCCAAGAGGGCAGGCACCTGTCAGATTGGATGCCTGGCACTGTAGTGGGTGCTTACAAAACGTTTTTTTGAGCAAATGGATTTCATATCTCTGTTCAGCAGAAATGGTATTGGCATCTCCAAGCAAGGTAAGGTAATTTCTACCATGCAGAGCATCAAATCTCCCTCATCTCATAGGCCCTGGGAAATCTTTCCAGAAGCTGTTACTTCTCTTTCTCTGGTCCAGAAAACTGCAAAGCATCTGCTTATTGGGCCAGCCTGACTGGCCTGAGTCTAGTGGCCTTCCAGGGACCATCCTTTCCTGGCCCGCAGTACCCTCCCCAAGGATAAAGTTTCTGGGAATTGGACATCTAGCCTCCGAGGAGCCAGGATGACCTCACCAAGGAAATTCCCTTTAAGGACACTTTTCCAGGCAGAGGCTCTGGGCCCTAGTGACCTACGTGACCCAAGATGGAGCCTCTGGAGTTTTCGAGGTGGGTGAGGAGCCAGGGCAGGGATCCTAGCATTGGATCGTATATCTCCTTTTCAAATGTATTCCATAATCTTGGCCATTTTCACCACATCACACCTCCAGCTAAGATCGCTCTCTGCCTGAACCTCTTTCAGTATTATTTTTGCATTGTTCTTCTCTCCAGGGAATATCCTGGTTTAGACTTTCCTCCCAATTGAATTTGCCTTTCTCCCCTCTGAGCCAAATCCTATTTTGTTATTTTCCATTGGTATCTTTAACCCTCTTTGAGACATCTGCATTACCTCTCTGCCCTTCTTGGTGATAGCAACACCTCCCAATTAAGGATCTTATGCAAATTTCATTAGCGTGCTGTTGACTCATCTTCCAGATCATTATTAAGGATGTTAAATAAGAGCAGAACAAACACCGGTTTCCACACACCTTCAGGGAGGCCGTGCTGTGTCATTTTTCTTGGGTTTGGGTGTGTGCACCATTTCATCTGCAAAGTAAGTTCTTTTCCATTCCAGTTTGAATTTATTTCATGAGGAAAGTTTCATAATATATTATAACCAATGTTTTAATAAAAATCTTATAGCTATCCATGGTACCCCTGCATGTGTAGTCCCAGCAGATGAATGAATGAGCTTAGGTGACCTGCTTGCTTTCAGTAGAAACTTACATTGCTGGAGAGCCCGCAGTCTTCAGGGTGCCCTCTGAGTTTCCTTGAATATCTCTGCATTCCTTGCTGGCCTGGCCAAGAACATGTACTAAATACCTACTAGATTCAGGCTTCCACCTGTGCTGGAAGAGATGCCAAAATGGAAAAAGGGGCCCTTGTCCTCAAGAATCTTATGTCTGACTGAGTAGAAAGAACATTCCCACACACAGACCCTCCACACACAAGGAAGTGAGCAAAGCAAGATTCTGAGGAAAGCAACATTTAATCAGGTACAGGCTACAGTTTAAAATGTTTAAGCATGGCATGCATTTTAAAACTTTAACTTTTTATTATGGAACGTTTCAAACATACACGAAATGGAATGAGTCCCTGTGCACCCATTATCCAGTTCGAACAGTTGCAACACTTTGCCATTTTTATTTCATCTCCCCACCCCCCTTTCTCTCTCTCTCTCTTTTTTTCTTGGAACACTTTAAAGAAAATCCCAGGCATCATATCACTGCACCAGTAATACTTCAGAAAGCAACTCTAACAGATAGGCTTTTTTTTCTAACATAACCACAATGCAACTAATACATCTAACATTATTAAGGATAACTCCTTATGACATACAATCTATTAACTGGTTCTTGTTCAACTTTTCCCCTGATTGTCTGAAAAATGTCTTTTTACAGTTGGTTCATTTGAATCAGGACCCAAATGAGGACCACACATTCTAGTCCTTATTTGAGGCATCTGGTGGACCTGCCTGTTAAGTCTCTTAACTTGTAAAATATCCTTTCTAAAATGCCATTTATTTATTGAAGACACTAAGTCATTTGTCCTGTAGAATTCTAAGTGTAGTTCATTTTAAAGGACACTTGTTATATGAAATATAAACATAGAAAGATAAACCAGGAGATAAAGTAATATAAACTATGCGTGCCAAAACATTTGAAACATGGACCCTTCTAGTTGGAAGGAAGCCTAGAATTTCTTCACACAAACCCAGCCTCCACCCCTTTCCCTATCTTTGCCCCAGACACAAAATCCTCCTCAGCAATAACGTGATAGATGTACATTCTCTTCACTTTGTAGAAGAACCCACTTTGGGATTCTTTTCTATACCAAATCCTTCCCATGCAGATTAAAAAAAAAGTTATTCAACTTAGCAACAATTAAAAAATCTATTCATACAAATCTATAGCAAAACTCTATTGCCCAAAATGTGCTACACCTGGGAAGAGCCCTGAAATTAGAAAGAGAGAAAAAGGGAAGGAAAGGAAGAGAAAGGAAAGAAAAGGAAAGAAAAAAAGAAAGAATGGCTGGGCACAGTGGCTCAAGCCTGTAATCCCAGCACTTTGGGAGGCTGAGGTGAAAGGATTGCTTGAGCCCAGGAGGTCAAAACTGAAGTAAGCTATGATTGCGCCACTGCACTCCAGCCTGGGTAACAGAGTGAGATCCTGTCTGGAAGGAAGGAAGGAAGAAAGGAAGGAAGGAAGGAAGGTAGGAAGGAAGGAAGGGCAAAAACAAAACGAAACAAAATAAAGGGCCATAGACACAAGAAATTCCAGCTAGAGTTAGAGATGTTTAGGAGGCTAAAGGTAGATGATGGTTAAGAGCAAAAGATGGCTAGGCACATGGGTGTAATCCCATGTGGCCCATGCCTGTAATCCCAGCACATGGGAGGCCAAGGTGGACTGATCACTTGAGCCCTGGAGATTGAGACCAGCCTGGCTAACATGGCGAAACTCCATCTCTACAAAAATTAACCAGTCGTGGTGGTGTGCACCTGTGGTTCCAGCTACTTGGGAGGCTGAAGTGGGAGGATCGATTGAGCCTGGGAGGACAAGGCTGCTGTGAGCCATGATCACACACCACTGTACACCCTCCTGGACAACAGGGTGAGACACTATCTCAAAGATAACGAGCAAAAGATGATGGAAGTTTGTTGGACTAGAACATGACCCTACCCCCTTCTACTCTTTTGTCTAAGACTTGATGGCTCACTGAGGTGGAGAGGGAGGCAAAGCCAAGTTCTGGATGGGAATGTTGTCTCTGTTTTGAGCAATGGTTTTAACTTTCTGAGCCCGAGTCCCCGTCTCAGTGACCTGGGATGATAATTCTTACCTCCAGGTTGTGTGCACGAAGCCAATAATGTGGGAACGGGGCAGGCCACCCAGTGTCTGGCACGTGGCTGGAGCTCAATGGGGGAGGGTTTCTGTTGTGTGCATGGTGGGGCTAAGCTCCACCTGTAACACTCCAGACAGACAGCCTGTTCATTCTGCCTGATGGCAGGTCATTGCACTGGGGAAATCTATCACATTGATTGGCTCTCCTAACAGGCTGATTGGGGGAAAATAAAACATTCGACATAAGTGAAAAAACGGGAGTAGGTGAATCCGTGAGCCCTGTAGGGAGGTGGCCCCATGGTGAGCATTCCAAGTGCAGGTGAGTGAATTTGAGAACAGCTCTTCTGTTTTTTTCTGAAGTATTTGTACCACATTCAGATCATTTTGCATTTCCGGTCTCAGCTTTATCCTTTATAATTTTCCCCAAATACTAAGTAGGTTATACAATTCCTCCAGGGCTGTCGGATGCTCACTGCCCTGATGTGCTGATGGTGCATTTGTTTACCAGAAGGGATCCAGGTGAGGGGAGGGCCTCAGCCCCTCTCAGCCCGCCTCCTGCCTCCCCGCACCTCCTGGAAAACCTGAACCGCTTGCATTCATAGTCAGCAGGTGCTCCCTTTGTCATGCGACAGGAGAAGGACCTCAGCCTGCACCTTCAGGCCCCTCCAGCCCCTCCACAAGGGATTTCCACCAGAAAGTTTAAAGCTCACATAAGGATCTGAGCCTCTCCCAAGAGAATGGCGAAATAAACACAAGCTGTTATTGGCGTCATCTCAGTATTGATCAGGGCTCATAACTGCTTAATTCTTCATTTTTATCAAGTCTTCCCAAACTCCCAACCATCTTCAGTGCTTGGGCATTTCGGCTTCGTGTTGAAACGAGGTTGGTGCAGCAGCTGTTTCTGCATCAGGGGCTGCATCTCCCACCTCCCTTGGTTATGAGCAGACTCTCAGCCCCTCCTGTGTTCTCTTCTCCATGGCTAATCTGCAGCTGATGGTTTGGTTTCCAGAGATACAACAGAGCTTTCCTGAGTCCATTAGAAACCCATTATTTAGGGCGGTCACCCCTACTTCCTTCCAGAACCCTCACCCCGCTGACCACAAAGATCCCTTATCAGGAAAGTTGGTGTTTGGTTTCCTGAGGGGGAAAAAGCCCATCTACATCCAGAAATGACTCCATGTGCCACCCTCGGAAGGAAGGCCTTCCTGTTTGGATGCAGGAGGGCAACGTCACTGCTTGCACAAGGCCCTGTCTCAACTCCAAACTCACCTGTCAGCCAACAGAGCTCTCCAAGTCCTGGCAGGGAAAGCAAGAGGGAAAGAAAACAATCTCTGAGTCCTTCAAAGACAGAGCTCTCTTTACGACTACGATTTCCAGCAATCGATCACTTATTTTCAATAAGCAAGCCTCTTATTCCACCCTTCTATGCACGAACCCCCAAAATAAACTGCGCTAGTCATTAACGCCCCCTCCCCCGTTCTTGTTCTCATCTTTTCCAGTGCTGACTTGAGTTTCTTTTTTAACGTGGGGATTTCCTCCACCCCCTGCCTGTGACCCCCTCTTAGGAAATGTAAAATCGAAAGCAGCAATAGAGCTGCGGTCTTCACGAAGAATAAAATCAGTGACTGCCAACCTGGCCCACGGCCTCCCGAAGCAAGCTCACCGAGGACTCATTCTAGCTGCGCCAATCACATCGTGATTTTAATAATTTAGCCCCAGGTGGGGTTGTCTCTGCTGGTGAGTGGCTTCGGGACCTCAAGTTATCAAAATATTAATGCTACTGATTTGTCAGCCCTCACTGATGGAGCGTCAGAAGCTTCTGGTAGTTGCAGGGGAGGCAGATTTGTAATAATAGAGACAACGCTGGCCAAATGGGAATCTCTGAGTGAGGAAACACAGGCGGGCGTGTCCTCTGCCCCTGGCTGTCCTGGGACCCCGAGGGGAAGACTGTGGCTCAGACCTTGCAGTCAGTTAGACCCTCCAGGGATCAAGGGCGAAAGGGGGATGGATAGTGTCGCAAACCTGGTGATTCAGATTTTTGAAATCTGGCATAGGGACTCCCAGTGGAGTGTCCTTATGGATTATTTTGCTGTCTGCCAACACGTGGGTCGCATGGCCCTGGTGGTTAGTGGAAGGGCTTTACTGGAATCAGGCATGGTGTTGAATAACATTAAATCACCTCATGAGAATGACTCCCTTTTCCAATTCTCTTTCAATTTTCACATTGCTTAAAGGGAAATTTCAGGTGCTCCGGGTCTCTAACGCCTCCCTAGTACTTACGAATCTTCTTCCTTAACAAGGAGAGCTGTCCTCAGGCTCCCAGCCTCTAGTGGGAACACAGCTCTAGAAATTGACAGCATTATTTGGTTTTCATTATATTTATTTTTATAGTTACCTTATGTTTGTAGCAAGTTGTACTGATTTTCCATTTAACGAGGTGATATAAAGTTTCCTTTTAAAACACATGTTTAAGTTAATGTTTAAGTTAAACATTAGATAATTCCAAATAAAACTATTAAGAAATAAGAGTTAGGGTGGGTGCGGTCGCTCACACCTACAATCCCAGCACTTTGGGAGGCCAAGGCGGGTGGATCACCAGAGATCAGGAGTTCGAGACCAGCCTGGCCAACGTGGTGAAACCCCGTCTCTACTAAAAATACAAAAAGTGTTAGCCAGGCATGGTGGTGCATGCCTGTAAGCCCAGCTACTCGGGAGGCTGAGATGGGAGAATCGCTTGAACCCAGGAGGTAGAGGTTGCAGTGAGCCAAGATCCTGCCACAGCACTCCAGCCTGGGTGACAGAGCAAGACTCCAACTCAAAAAAGAAAAAAGAAATGAGTCTGGGTGGTATGTGGATAGAGCAGTACATCTGAAAGTGAGTTTGGGGTGAAGGGTCTACGGTCAGCGGGGAGAGCAGCTCTCCACAAGCAGGGAGCACTTTTCATTCGAGTTCCCATGGTGCTCATCTCATGCTAGCCCCCAGGAGACACTCACTGCCCACGCATCTCTCGGGGGCTGATGTGAGCCGAGGCCGGGTGGGGCGGGGGAAGCCGAGGCTGGAGAGCCAGAGGGAAGCACAGTTTCCCTCTCGGGGCCTCTGCTTGCACATGGGGATATTTAGGTTACTTCAAAAACAAATGAGAAAAGTCTGGGGAGAGTTCTGGTAAATGGGGAAAGTACTACTAAACGTACGTAACGGACACGTTTAACAATGTCACATACTGGATCTCTGACTGCCAACTGGCCTCGAGTCCCCCAGACCCAGCTCCCTCCCAAATAGAGCAAAAGCTTCAGGCTCAGAAG
Organism: Homo sapiens; assembly: GCF_000001405.40. NCBI lineage: Eukaryota > Metazoa > Chordata > Mammalia > Primates > Hominidae > Homo > Homo sapiens. The sequence goes on from NC_000009.12 coordinate 132,128,251, forward strand.
GCAGAGTGGGTTCCCATTTGTGCCACTGTGGGAAACGTCCTTAGACACTCACTCACCTTCCAGCAACCCCAAAGGGGGTGGGGTCTGCCTCAGCCTCAGAAGGAGTGGAGGCCTAGCAAGGGGAGGTCCCTCCACCAGAGATCATGGCCACCATGTCACTCAGCCCAGGAGTCTGACACCAAAACCCGCCCTCCTCCCTTCTCTGCCCTCCTGCCTGATCTTTTAACAGCAGTAATTACATGGTTCAGAAATCAGACTAGATAGGAAGGTGTTCACTGCAAAGGCCGGCTTCCACCCTCCATCCTCCACTACCGGGAAGCATGCTATTACCTTCTGATTTAGCCTTCCAGGTTCCATACACAAATAAACACAAACAAACGGGGTGCATGTGGCATTTTCTGTATGTATAACCTTATTCCACCCTTCTTTTTAACTCTTTTTTACTGTGATAAAATCACATATATATATATATTTTCCATTTTAAGTGTACAGTTAAGTGATATTAAATATATTGTAATGTTGAGTTACATCTCCAGAACTCTTTTTTTTTTTTTTTTTTTTGAGACAGCATCTCACTCTGTCACCCAGGCTGGAGTGCAGTGGCGCGATCTTGGCTCACCACGACCTCCACCTCCTGGGTTCAAGTGATTCTTGTGCCTCAGCCTCACGAATATCTGGGATTACAGGCAACCGCCACCATGTCCAGCTAATTTTTGTATTTGTGGTAGAGACCGGGTTTCACCACGTTGGCCAGGCTGGTCTCGAACTCCTGACTTCAGGTGATGCACCTGCCTCGGCCTCCCAAAGTGCTGGGATTACAGGCGTGAGCCACTGTGCCCGGCCTCCAGAACTCTTTTCATCTTGTAAAACCGGAACTCAGTACCCATGAAACAATAACTCCACATTCCCCTCTCCCTCCAGCCCCTGACAACCACTGTTCTACTTTTTGTTTCTATGAATTTGACTATTCTAGGTACTGCATATATGTGGAGTCATACGGTCTTTGTCCTTTTGTGACTGGCTTACTTCACTTAGCATAATGTCCTTCGGGTTCATTTACGTTGTAGCCTGTCACAACGTCCTTCCTTTTTAAAGCTGCAAAACATCAGTATCCAACGTGTGATGCAGTGGTGCTAATTAGAGCATGGCTTACTCTGCCTGCGACCTCAGTGTGACTTAGCTGTGGTCGACCCTTTTCTGGGAAGTCACAGAGTCCACTGCTGTGGCTAGAGCTGGAGGGAGGTCAGAGAGGTGGGTGGGAAGGAAGGCGGGTGGGCTGCAGGCTCACTGAAGGTGTCTGCTGTAGTGCTCCTGGTAGACCAGGTGTCTAGGCACACTTCACAGGCTGGAGGCGGGTCCTCAAAGGGCCTCAACCAGAAAAAAGTGAGTGTGCCGCCTGGTGCCTGCATGACAGGCACCGTGACAGTGCAAAATGCAGTTCCCGCCTGGAGATCTCACACTAGGTAAAGTGGATGTCAGGACGTGACTGCGTATCTGTTCAAACACGCTCAGCATCCTGCTGGGGACCATCACGTGGGGGAGACGGGCATGAGGACAGGGGCCTTTGACTCGGCGTGGCGTGAACAGGGTGTACCTGCAAGCACTGGTCACTTCCAAGAAGCCTGACACAGCCTGCCCAGGGGGACAGCCCTGTCCTGCACCTGGGCAAGGACACTCCCCTTCTGCAGCCACCCCTACCTCGGGGCCTCAGAGCCTGCTAGTGATGTCAAAGAGCAGAAGGAGTCCCTTGGTCCTGATAGGGGCTGAAATCATCTGTTGGAGTCCTAGGTCTCAGTACTCAAAATATGACTATGTCTGGGGAGAGGGACGTTAAAAGGGGAATTAAGTTAAAATGAGGTCATTAGGGTGGGCCCTAATCCGATATAACTGGTGTCCTTAAAAGTAGAGGAGAGTGGGGCCGGGCACAGTGGCTCACGCCTGTAATCCCAGCACTTTGGGAGGCCCGGGTGGGTGGATCACCTGAGGTCAGTAGTTCGAGACCAGCCTGACCACCATGGTGATACCCTGTCTCTACTACAAATACAAACATTAGCCAGGCGTGGTGCCTTGTGCCTGTAATCCCAGCTACTCAGGAGGCTGAGGCGGGAAAATCACTTGAACCTGGGAGGCAGAGGTTGTAGTGAGCTGAGATCACACCACTGCACTCCAGCCTGGGTGACGAGTGAGACTCCATTAAAAAAAAAAGTAGAAGAGAGTGGGACACACAGATCCTGTGACGACGCAGGGAGAAGATACCGTCTATCAGCCAAGGAGAGAGGCCTCAGGAGAAACCAGCCCTGCCCACACCTTCATCTCTGGCTTCCATCTTCCAGAACCATGAGGCAATACATCTCTGTTGTTTAAGCCACCCAGTCCCTGGTCCTTTCTTGCAGCAGAATAATACTGATCTGGCCTGCTGTGCGATACCGTGAGCTGCGGGAAAGAAGCCTTGCTCCCTGCTCTGCCACCCTCTCTGTGCCTCACCCCGCCCTCTTCCCAGAGGGTACCTGGGAAGTCCCAGCCCCATCCTTCCCCTGCTCTGAGTATTTTCAATCTGCCTTTGGACATCAAGGTGCACATTTCTGGCACCCATGGCCTCAGCTGTAGAGTGAGGCCAGCCCCACCTCACTGGAGAGTGCAATTGCTCAGGCCTGGATTTTAATCCTGCCAGAAGGATTAAATCCTCCACAGCTGGTGGCCGCAGATGAGCTTCTTCACCTCTCTGAGTCTCCATTTCCTCGTCTGGAAAGTGGGGGATATGTGGGCTTACTGTGGGGATCACGCAAAAGGTGAATGAGATGCAGTGCAGTGTCCAGCACATGCTTCAATAAATGGCCGTTCACCCTTCTCTCTCTTTCATCTGCCAATATTTACTGAGCTCTTACGATGTGCACAGTCCCAGGCACTGGGACACAGCCGGCAAGAACACAGACAAAAACCCCTCAGGAACATCCTAACTGAGGGAGACAGAAAACAAATGCAATAAGTGAGATGTAAGGTCCGTTAGACGTTCAGCACAGTGGAAGGAAAGTTCAGCAGGAGAAGGGATGGGGAGCAGGGTAGGGGGTGGGTTTGGGTTGCTCCACTCCCTGACCCGCAGAGCCATTTGGGGTTACGGCCCAGGATCGAGGGGTGCTTCCCTGCTTCCCTGAGCTGCTGAAACAGCCGATTCGAACAGGGATAAAGGCAGGACAAGACGAGCTGACCGTCTCATGGTGGGCAGTGGTGGGGAGCATTGGTGGGGGAAGGGTGGGGCTTTCCTCAGGCTCACACTGGCTTCTTTCTCCCCTACAGATGGTGAGGGGACGGCAGAGGAAAGGAGGTCTCACTGGTGCACACGACATTCCTGGATTCTCTCCTTAGTGGTTGTTTTTGTTGGTAATAGTAGAAACAGTAATAGTAGCAACAGCAGTGGTGGTAAACGTAGCATGAACGTTAAGGAGATTCCTCTGGGTGCCTTCTGGCTTCAAGTTCCTGAGCAGAGCTGGGCTGCATGGAACAACCAGAGCTGTCTTCCTGGACAGCTGACATCCCTTTTGTTTTTCTGTTTGCTCAGATGTCTGGTTAATTTCTGCACGGGAATATCATATCCGGAGCTCCCGAGGCCCTTCTAGAATGTTCTGTCTTGCACTTAGCAGATCTCCTTTCCCTTGACAAATGGACTCCATCTCCTCTCTTTAGACTGGATTTCGCTGATTTGTGTAAATTTGGCATTATAAAGTATTTATATGGCTCGGTGCTGGCAGTGGCCTCTCTCCAGCCTCCTGGCTCTGTTCCTTCCTGGGAAGATGAGTGACTGGGCTGGACAGTGACTGGCCACGACTGTGGACACTGCCCTGAGTAACTCCCGGCACCTCCACCCTTTCAGTCCAATTCCACGAGTGTTTACTGAACGCTCCCTCTGTACTCCGAGTTTGCTCCATGAGAAATTCAGACATGAACAAAAGGTGGTCCTGCCACGGAGGGGCTTGCACCTGGCAGGTGAGGCAGGGATGGAAACAGCTCCACCTGGGCTGGTGGCGATAAGTCATAAGAAAGGGACACATAGAGCCCTTCAGAGTCCCAGTTTCAGGAGGGGCAGGGAGGGCTTTCTGGAGGCCATGGCACATGACCCCCGTAGAATGGGGGCACGTGGAGAGGAGGGAGGGGATGTGGAGTGAAGGGAACAGCACAGGGAACAGCAGAGGCAAGTGTGCAGGAAGCAGGGTGGGCGCCACAGGGCTATGTGCTTAAGCAAAGCCTCCGCCCATGAGACAAGGTAGAGGGGCAGATGAGGGCCCCAGGCTGCAGGGTTTCCTTTTGTTTCTGAAGCCAATGGAGGGGTGAGGGACGGGGATGGGTGAGCCCAGACTGGAAGTGACAAGAATCAGGTGGAGCTTCAAGTGGATCATTCCAGGAGCAAGAGATGGAAACCAGCTCCTACGGAGCATCTACTCTGCGCCTGTGTATTCGTTTCCTGTTGCCACTATAGTTTGTTATGGGGTAGCAAACTACCCCATACACTTAGTGGCTTGAAACAACACACATTGGCCAGGTGCGGTGGCTCACGCCTGTAATCCCAGCACTTTGGGAGGCCGAGGCGGGTGGAACACCTGAGGTCAGCAGTTCGAGATCAGCCTGGCCAACATGGTGAAACCCTGTCTCTACTAAAAATACAAAAATTAGCCGAGCGTGGTGGGGCTTGCCTGTAATCCCAGTTACTTGGGAAACTGAGTCACGAGAATCATTTGAACCCAGGAGGCGGAGGTTGCAGTGATTGCACCACTGCACTCCAGCCTGGGTGATAGAGCAAGACTCCATCTCAAAACAAAACAAAACAAAAAAATCAACACACATTTATTGTCTTACAGTTCTGAAGGTCACAAGTCCAAGATCAGTCTCTGTGAACTAAAATTAAGGTGTCAGCAAAGCCAAGTTCCTTCTGGAGGTGCTAGAGGAAGGTCAGGAGCCACCAAATCAGACTGAATCAGGTCTAAGCTTGGGGCCTTCAGTGATGGAGAATTAACAGAGCTGACAAAAGAAGTGAGGAGATGAGGTTGAGGATAGGGGGAAGGCTAGTGGCTGCATTCGGGGCCAGATGGAAGGGCCCAGCTGGAAGCTTACGCCAAGGGAGGGGTTGGGCTGGGAACAGTTCTGAAGGTCAAGCATAGACTCGGGGAGTCCCTGAGATGGGGTTAAGGGAGAAAAGGGTTGGGCATAGAACCAGAGCGGGGAACAGGGCCAGGACGCAGCAGAAAGGCTCCCAAGGTGTCATAAGGAGGGGAGAGGGAGGGAGTGGCCAGCAAGGCTGGTAGTGTCTAGGAATGTAGTGTCAGACACCAAAGGGAGTGAACAGAAAGATGGTCAAATGCCAAGTGAAGCTCTTGGGTTCAGCAACTTGGAAGTGTCTCGCAGCAAAAATGCAGGGGTTCCCACCATCACCAGCTCTCAGGTGGTCTTGAGAAGGGCTGTGTTTGGTGCTGTCCAGGCTAGGCTGGCTGTAAAGACTGCAAGACCTTTGTGAGATGCTTAAGCTCCAGGAAGATCCTTCTCAACCCAAAGCAAGAACCTCCCGGCTGAGCCCAGTTAGCCTCCACCCTGTGAGAGACAGCAATAAGACTCCGATGCTGTTTAAGGCACTAGGCCATGGGGCAGTTTGTTATGCAGCCTTAATAGCATGGGTCAAGGATAACATTGGTAGTTTCGGGTGGAAATTTGGCAGGAAAATCAGTGGTCTGTTGGCAGATATTTTAGTTCCAAATTGTCCACGGGTACTCTAATTGGAGATGGGATTGGGAAGAAGAGAATTTTTATCTCCAGAGCTGCCTCTTCCCTCCCACTAACACACCAGCCCCTCCTTTCCCAAGGCATTCTGCTCTTGTTGTACCCTTATCATTCAAGTCTACTTTGGGGGAATCAGCGTGTTTTTCTTTCCAGGGCCATTGATGCCTATAACCTGAGCTCTTCCTCTGAAAGGAAAGACTTGACTCCCCAGTTTCAGTGGCTAAGGGTTGGGTCGGCACTGCACTGAAGCTAGGTCATAGCTGAGGGTTGAGTCGGCACTGTACTGAAGCTAGGTCATAGCTGAGGGTTGAGTTGGCACTGTACTGAAGCTAGGTCATAGCTGAGGGTTGGGTCGGCACTGTACTGAAGCTAGGTCATAGCTGAGGGTTGGATCGGCACTGTACTGAAGCTAGGTCATAGCTGAGGGTTGAGTTGGCACTGTACTGAAGCTAGGTCATAGCTGAGGGTTGGGTCAGCACTGTACTGAAGCCAGGTCATAGTGGCTTGAGAGAGCCAATCGTTACATTTTAAAGAATTTGGTGAGATGATTATTGTGATGGCTAATTTTAGGTGTTTAGGTGTTTTGACTGGATTAAGGGATACCCAGATAGCTGGTAAAGCACTGTTGCTGGATATGCCTGTGAGGGTGTTTCCAGAAGAGACTGGCATTTGAAGCCATGGACTGAGTAAGGGAGACCCATCTTCATCCAATGTGGGTGGGCACCATCCAATCAGCCGAAAGCCCAGGTAGAACAAAAAGGCAGAATAAAGCTGAATTCATTCTCTCTTCTGGAGCTGGGACACCCTTCTTCTCTTGTCCTTGGACATCAAACTCCAGGTTCTCTGGCCTTTGGACTCTAAGACTTGCACCAGCAGCCCCCCTGGGTTCTCAAGACTTTGTCCTTGAACTAAGAGTTACACCATTGGCTTCTCTGGTTCTGAGGCTTTCAGACTTGGACTGAGCCCAGCCTCCCTGGGTCTCTAGCTTGCAGATGGCATATCATGGGACTTCTCAGCCTCCATAATCACGTGCACCAGTTTTCCTGAATAACCCCCTCTCAGATCTCTGTATATACCCTATTGGTTCTGTCTCTCTGGAGAATCTAGACTAATATAATCATTAAACACAACCATTATTAAAAATTAAATTACAGCTGGGCATCATGGTTCATGCCTATAATCCCAGCATTTTAGGAGGCCGAGGTGGGGGCAGATCACTTAAGCCCAAGAGTTCAAGACCAGCCTGGGTAACATGGCAAAACCCTGTCGCTACAAAAAATTCACTGGGTGTGGTGGTGCATACCTATAATCTCAGCTACTTGGGAGGCTAAGGCACAAGAATTGCTTGAACCCAGGATGCAGAGGTTGCGGTGAGCTGAAATCATGCCACTGCATTCCAGCCTAGGTGATGGAGCAAGACCCTGTCTCAGAAAACAAAAACAACAACAAAAAACCTTTTACCAACATGCCACTTCAACTTTGGGACAGGTTTGAGAGGGAGCCAGAATGGCCCCCTTAGCCAGATCCTTGTAGACTTTTGTTTGGAGCTTATGACATCATACTGTTCTCACCAAGGCTTGTGGTATCTGTTTGTCGCCAACAAAGCTGATTTTTTTTTTTTTTTTTTTGAGACAGAGCCTGTCTTTGTCTGTTGCCCATGCTGGAGTCCAGTGGCACGATCTCGGCCCAGCCTGAGCACACAGCCAATTCAAGCAGGTCTTCATCAATTTGTTGTAGAATTTTTTTTTTTTTTCTGAGACCCTCTTGCTTTGTTGCCCAGGCTGGAGTGTAGTGGCACAATCTCGGCTGACTGCAACCTCCGCCTCCCAGGTTCAAGCAATTCCCCCATGTCAGCATCCTGAGTAGCTGGGGTTACAGGCACCCACCACCACACCCAGCTAGTTTTTGTATTTTTAGTACAGACTGGGTTTCACCATGTTGGCCAGGCTGGTCTCGAACTCCTGAGCTCAAGTGATCTGCCCGCCTTGGCCTCCCAAAGTGCTGGGATTATAGGCGTGAGCCACCGCACCCAGCCCATTGTAGGTTTTAAGATCACTGGTATCATCCATAGTAAAAAGAGAGAGGGATGGTCATGTTCATAGACCTTAAAGTGGAAAGTCACCTACACCTGGAGGCAGAGGCCTGGAAACTTCCAGCCACATGACCTCAGGAAAGTCCTTTCCCTTGTTACGTCTCAGTATCCCCAACTGTAAAGCAGGAGGGAGGACCCTGATGTCAAGGCCCCTCTGGCGCAGGACTGTGAAGTGCCTAGGATGGGCTCCCATGGACCGGCTGGAGTCCCCAGATCCCCTGGGGTCCACCAACCCTGCTCCGGCAGCACACCCTGCGGGCTGCGGCTCCCTCCCCTGCCCAAGTGGGTGCTTCTGAGGGAAGGGTCCAGATAGCTCTCCTGCCTCTCCTCCTGCCTTGACAGGGAGCAGGCTGCATGGAGAGGCTTTTAAACCTGCCTGGCTGCTGTGAGTATTGATCAGCTTTGTTCCTTAATGGGATTCTTGCGTGCTCGCTGCCGGCCGCCCCTCCTCCAGCCCCCATTATTCTGGGCCATCGCTGCTTCAGGCCTCCTTCCCTCAGCTGAACAACACCAGAGAGTGGAAGAGCTGAGAGCGGCGCTCCTCTAAGGGGGAACGAGGGGACAAGCAAGCCACAGTGCTAGCTGGGGGCTGAGAGCTGAGCCACTGCCTGTCACAAAGGATGGCCAACTGCCGAGCACCTGTCCCAGGAGCTGCGGGCTACTTGGTGACCCCCACGCTGGGGTCAGGTCCTGGAGCCCTCTCCTGAGCCCAGCTGAGCCCCTCCTTCCTCCCTCATGGGTCCAAGCAAGTGTGGCCCTCAGGTGTGGGTGGCCGTGCCCTAGCCTCTCTCTCCCTGTTGTTGCCAAAGAACCCCCAAAAATGTCACCTGTGAAAGTTCTGGATTTCCTCGACTTCGGGAAATGGCAGTTTTCAGGCTGGTCTGTTGCTATGGAATTCAAATTCATGGCAACTTTGTGCCATTGTGTTGGCTGCCTGCCTTAGCTCCTCTGACTTCCTTTACAATCAAGTCAATAAAAGTGTCACCTCGCCCTCATCTTTTTAGTATTTATATTTCAGATCAATGTGAGGCCTGAAGCCCATTGATTACCCTCCGATGAGTTGCAAAAAAGTGCAGTATTAAAAAGGGCTGGTTCTGAGATGGAGCCGGGGAAGTTGCTGGTCATGTGAGTCAAGTTGTTTTCACATACAGCAACATCTTTTATTTATACGATTGCAATGTCTACCTCTGTTGTAGCTGTTCCTGCCTTTCCCGTGACACCGGGGCTGCAGTTCCACGCCCCGACAAGTTGCCTGGTTGTTGCAAGCACCCCACAGTGGCCTCCAGCCTGTCCTGGGAAACCAGCTCTGAAGAGCAGGGACCCTGCATTACGCCTTCCGTGACAGCCCCGAGGGGAATCTTCAAAAAAGAGACACACTCGTGGCACTTAAAGGAAGCTGAATGTGCCTGTTCCTGGCTGGTCTGGGAGAACAGGCTTGTGCTGGGGACATGGAACACACTTAATGGCCAATCGATACCCAAGTCACGGTATCTGCTGCCCGCGGTTTACGTTTTCTAATAGGCGCCTCCTCGGGTCATCAATACAGTGGTAGAAATGTCATCTTCAACTTCATACTGGCCCCAGGGCTGCTTCCAAGGCAGCCAGCACAGCCCCTTACAGCCTGGAAAGGAACACAACCACTGGCAAGCTGGGCTTACGCATCCCCAAAGAGGACACGGGAACAGGCCAGAAACACACACGGCAGAGACTGCAAGCCCCATGGCAGCCCCTACCCATTTCGTCCCTGACTCACAGCTTGATGATGTAGCAATGAGGGTGAAAAAGAGGCCCGTGCAGGCTTTTTTGTCTTGTTTTGTTTTGTTTTGAGACAGAGTCTCACTCTGTCTCTTAGGCTGGAGTGCAGTGGCGTGATCTTGGCTCACTGCAACCTCCGCCTTTGGGTTCAAGTGATTCTCCTGCCTAAGCCTCCCAAGTAGCTGGGATTACAGGCACGTGCCACCAAGCCCGGCTAATTTTTGTATTTTTTTTTTAGCAGAGATGGGGTTTCTCCATGTTGGCCAGGCTGGTCTCAAAGTCTTGACCTCAAGGGATGCCCCCTGCCTTGGCCTCCCAAAGTGTCGGGATTACAGGCGTGAGCCACCGCGCCCGGCCTCGTGCAGGCTTTTGAAGCAGAGGGAAAGCATCTCAAAGCACGGCAAGAGGGGACAGAGCTGGGCCAGGGAAGGAGTCCGTCATTTTTAATAGTTTGTAATTTAGGAAGTAATGGAGTGGCATGACGAGGGGCTTTGAATTTTCACACCCAGCTACTCTGCTTCATAGCTGTGTGATTTTCGGCAAATGACTTAACATATCTGAGCCACAATTCCTTATGCATAAACTGGGGATGATAACAGTGCCTGATTGGTGGGGCAGCCTGCTGGGAGCTTAACTGGGATAACACAGGTGATGAGTCTGGTCCAGGCAGCTGGCACAAAGGAAGTGCTCCCTCCTTCTTATTACTAACTCGTGTTATTGTTACTGTACAAAATGCCTGACCCTCCATCAGACATTGCACCCCATGGCACGCTGGCCATCCCCAAGCAAGGCCTCTACACGTGCCTGCGCATGCCTTCTCTGACAAGGAGGGGCTGTGTCGGCTCCGGCCACCCCTGTATCCTCAGAGCCCAGTACTCTGTTTCACTCGTCACCAGGCTCTGTTTTAAGTACTTTTCTGTGCACTAGCTCATTAGATCCTCAATAATATGATGGCTAGCCATTCATCACAACAGTTTCTAGAAAATTCCTTGCAGATGTGAGAATGTGGCTGGTGTCATTGTGGAGTTTGACGGCATTTCTCTTGGTGGGTGATGTTGGGAGTTTAATTAGAAATGGTGGGGCAGACCAGTTGTGGTGGCTCATACCTGTAATCCCAGCACTTTGGGAGGCCAAGGCAGGCAGATTGCTTTAAGGCCAGGAATTCAAGACCAGCCTGGGCAACATGGTGAAACCCTATATGCACACAAAAAAAGAATGAGCCAAGTGGGGTGGCATGCACCTGTAGTCCTAGCTACTAGGGAGGCTAAGGTGAGAGGATCACCTGAGCCCAAGGAGATAAAGGCTACAGTGAGCCATGATTGCACCACTGCACTCCAGCCTGGGCGACAGAGTGAGATCCTATATCAAAGAAGAAGGGAAGGGAAGGGGAGGGGAGGGGAGAGAAGGGGAGAGGAGGGGAGGGAAGGGGAGGGGAGGGGAGAGAAGGGGAGAGGAGGGGAGGGAAGAAGAGAAGGAAGAGAAGGGGAGGGGAAGGGAGGAAAGAAGGGAAGGGCTAGGTGCAGTGGCTCATGCCTGTAATCACAGCACTTTGGAAGGCTGAGGAGGGTGGATAACCTGAGGTCGGGAGTTCGAGACCAGCCTGATCAACATGGAGAAACCCCATCTCTACTAAAAATTCAAAATTAGCCTGGCATGGTGGCACATGCCTGTAATCCCAGCTACTCAGGAGGCTAAGGCAGGAGAATCACTTGAACCCGGGAGGTGGAGGTTGCAGTGAGCCAAGATCGCACCATTGCACTCTAGCCTGGGGAACAAAAGCTAAACTCCATCTTAAAAAAAAAAAAAAGGGAAGAAAGGGGAGGGGAGGGTGGGGGAGGGGAAAAGCAAAGCTGGGGCAAGTGACCAGACCATGAGAGTGTCGAAGGACCCCTTGCTGGGGGCGCCTAAAGACCGCGTGCAGCTCGTGTCTTCTTGCCTGGCTTCTTGCTCACTCTTTTTTGTCTTTTTTTTTTTCCTTTAAGGTGAAATTTACATAACAAAGAATCAGCCACTTGAAAGTGACCATGGCATTTAGTACTTTCACAAAGTTGTGCCACCACAACCTCTAACTAGTTCCAAAATATCTTCATCACCCCAAGGTAAAACTCTGTATCCATTCATTAGCAGTTACTCCCCACTTCCCTTCTCCCTCCTGCAACCACCAATCTGCTCTCTGTCTATGGATTTACCTATTCTGGATATTTCATATAAATGGGATCATATAATACATGACCTTTCGTGACTGGCTGCTTTTACTTAGCATAATGTTTTCAAGGTTCATCCTGGTTGCAGCACGGATCAATACTTCATTTCTCTTTAAGGCAGAATAATATTCCGTTGCCTGGATAGACCACATTTTGTCTACCCATCCCCTGTCGGAGGGCACTTGGATTGCTTCTACCTTTTGTCTCCTGAGAATAAGCTGCTGAGGACACGGGTGTACAACTCAAATACTCTTGATTTGCATCACAGCTGGACTTGCAGCTCTCAAAACCATCCCCTCTCCTGGTTCTGCCCTGGTGCTCCCATCCCCCTGGTTGACTCCTACTCAATCCTTAGGGCTCAGCTTCATGCCACTTCCTCCAGGAAGCCTCCTTGCTGTGCCTGGACAAGGCTGGTGCTCCTTTTCCTGAGGGGCTCCGTGACACTCTGGACAACCCCCAAGCAAGACCTCTGCACATGCCGATCACTGCTTGTGAATGTCTTCCCTGATGAGGATGCAGCTGTGCCTGCGCCAGCCACAGCTGTATCCTCAGAGCTCAGCACAATCCTGGGTGCACAGGAGGCACTTTAAAATGCTTGTTGATTACCTAGGTGGCCATCACCTCTGCAATTACTGGGACTTTGTGGCAGCTTCATAGGTTTTCTGACCCAGGAGTGATCATCAGATTGCAGGTTGGAGCGAGGTTCGTTTAATAGACGGGAGAAGCCACCTCCAGTGATTATCCCCAGTGGTGAAAGGCCCTTGGGAGACTTGTTGATAAAACAAAATGCAGTATGAAAATGGGAGCAGGCCGGGGAGCGGTGGCTCACGCCTGTAATCCCAGCACTTTGGGAGGCCAAAGTGGGTGGATCGCCTGAGGTCAGGAGTTTGAGACCAGCCTGACCAACGTGGTGAAATCCAGTCTCTACTAAATCTACAAAAATTAGCCAGGTTTGGTGGTGCATGCCTGTAATCCCAGCTACTCAGGAGGCTGAGGCAGGAGAATTGCTTGAACCCGGGAGGCAGAGGTTGCAGTGAGCAGAAATCACGCCACTGCACTCCAGCCTGGGTGACAAGAGCAAAACTCTGTCTCAAAAAATAAAGAAAGAAAGAAAGAAAGAAAATAAAAGAAAATGGGAACAAAGCTGCCATTAAAAATGATTAATTAGAGCCCTGCTCATAGGTCTATGAGGAACAACACTATTAATATTCATGACCCTTAAACATTCTCCATGCACAGCCACTTACTCTTTATTTCTGTACTTGCTACTGTGTGGGCTCACCCTTTACCCTGAAGCTCTCCGAAGCATGAATTCTTCCCCAGAATGATTCCCTCTGGAGGGAACTGGGCCAGAGTTTCTGCCACTCACTTGCCTAAGGACTGTCACCATTGTTTACCCGCTCCCCAGACGCCTGCGCCCGGGCAGCTCAGAAAGTGCTTCCCCTCCCACCCCAGCCAGGTAGCAGGCAGAATGAGCCTTTTTTACGGTTTTATTTTGTAGCTGAACGCCACGGTGGTTTCTGGGAAGAAGGGGACAATGCCTGACCCCACGGGAGAGGGCTTAGCTTTCCCTAATAAGATGGCAGCAGAGAGATGACACAGAGAGAATGAAGGGACCGCTTCAATAGGGCAGCTGAAAGGAAACCATTCACGAGGGAAGGCAGAGTGAGAAGCCCGCAGGGGCAGGCGCCCCAGGAGCCCGTCAGCTCCACGGCAGCTCCAGCTGGGGAACATGCCAACCGCAACCTGGGAAAGCGCCAATTAAAAATATTAACCCCTGTGCAGGGCTCCGGACGCGGGCGCTGGTCATGGCGGAGCAGCGGCTCTGTGCTTTGAGGAAGATGTGTAGGAGAAGGAAGTGCAGAGAACCCAGTCGGGCTCATTGTTTTGCCTGTCCCGGTGGGAGCAAAAATCACTCCCTAGCACTTTTTACCTGTTTCTTGCCCCTGTGGCATCTTTGCTCTCCATCTGCCTCTTAGGAAGGGCCTCCTTTCTGCAGTGCCATCAACCCTTAATGAGGGCTCCGTGAGGATAAAGACCGCGTCCACTTTGCTTGCTGGGGCCCAGCACACAGCAGGCGCTCAATAAATGCTCGATGAAGGATAATTCGGTTATTTAGCCCTATTTAATTACAAGCAACTCTCAATTGTCTTTAAAAATGATCAGGAGGGGAAGAGAACATTCAAACATGTCTATTTGTCTTGGGAGTGGGGTTCTTGGGCTGATATTTCATAATACATGTGATTACACCGGGTATTTTGCAGGAATTTTCTTCTCCAGGTCTGAGATGTGTTACGTAACTTTTCTTCTTTAAATGTAATTGACATTCACTGGGTGCTGCACAGGCACTGGGCGTGGTCTGAGGGCTTCATCCTCACATGCTCCGGGATGGAAGTGTGATAGCAGCTGCACTTCCCATCACTAGGAGCATGACTTCATCAGGTATGTCCCGAATAATAACCAGCCACACACACCACACACACACACACACACACCACACACACACACACCACACACACCCCCCACACACACACCACACACACACAGCACACACACACCGCACACACACCGCACACACACACACCACACACACACCACACACACACACCACACACACAGAGCTTCATGGCCATATTTAGTGATTAGCTAATATAAAAAAGTTTGTACAAAGCTGACTTTACCCAGCAGGTACATTCCTTACCTTGTGATCTTGATGGGGAAACTGAGGCTCAGAGAAGTGAAGCAACTTCCCAGGTTCACACAGCTAGAGACTGGCAGACTATAGGATATGGTGTTTACGTAAATGCAAATGTATTTGAAAGCTTTTGATTCTGAGGCTAGAAGTTCATTCAAGAGGATCCGACTATCTTCTGCTGCACATAAACGGGATCTCCCGCTTTGCTCTTACGTGGCTGTGACTGGCTTCGACCCCTGTTGTGGAAGCGAGCTGGTGCTCCCTGCACCGCCCTTGCCTGGGGCAGCTACAGCTCAGCCTGGCTCAGCACTCCCCATCTTGCCAGACTGCCCCAGTCCCTCTAGACAATCAATCTGGTCTTCCCCAGCCTCCCAGCTCTGTCTTCAGTGCCCTTTAATTAAACAGGAACTCTCTGCAGAAAGCAATTGAATTATCTAATTATGCCCTCCTAACCCAATTGCCGTCGTTAACACCAGTGACTTGGCAAAGCAGGTGTCTATGGGGCTCAATGGGAACCAGCAGTGACCCCCAAGCCACTCCTTTCTCCCACCCCACCCAACCCCAGACCTTGTCCTAAATAATGAATAGCCCAGAACCTGATGGCTGTGCTGGCCGGGACCTCAGATGCTGGCAGGAGCTTCAGCTGCCCTTAAATGCTCCTGAGTGGCTGCAAAGGACAGGGAGGGTAGAACATCCATCCGAGAGACCTCCTCCTGCCCTGGCTGGGCCCCGAACCGCTCTGTGGCATCCAAAGCATCTGGCTTCATATCCACTGGTTTGTTTTGTGTAATCATCCTGCAGCTCCCGAGCGGGCATCTCCTGTGTGAGGGCACACTGCCAGGGGCTGGGCATCAGAGATGAAGTCTTACTGTCACCTGGCTATAGTCCCAGGACATGGCCTTCACCCTGACTGAAGCTGGGGCTGGCTGACTCACCCCCACCTTTTCTGGGGCCCCCAGCTCAGAGCCCCTCTTGGAGAAGGATTCAAGGCATATTTGAATAATAACTATTAAGATAAAATTCTAATATTGTGTGCATAATATTTAATGTGCTGCCTATGTAGCAAACACCAGGTTCTTTTAATTTAAACGTAATTCTTACTTTTTTTTTTTTTTTTGAGATGGAGTTTCGCTTTTGTTGCCCAGGCTGGAGTGCAATGGCATGATCTTGGCTCACTGCAACCTCCGCCTTCCGGGTTCAAATGATTCTCCTGCCTCAGCCTCCTGAATAGCTGGGATTACAGGTGCCCACCACCATGCCCAGCTAATTTTTGCATTTTTAGTAGAGACGGTGTTTCACCATGTTGGCCAGGCTGGTCTCAAACTCATGACCTCAGGTGATTTTCCCACCTCAGCTTCCCAAAGTGCTGGGATTACAGGCGTGAGTCACCACGTCTGGCCTTACTTTGTAATTTGAAAACATGTCAAACCTATGCAAGTATAGCAAAATTAATTCCTGTGTACCTTTCCCTCGATTCCCAGTTTGTGAGCACCTTGCCACATTGCTGTCTCTCTCCACACATAGTCTATACTGTTGTAGTTTTGTTGACTCCTTCTAGAGTTAGTTGCAGACATCATGTCCCTTCACCACAAATTACTTGCAGCTTGTGTCATCTAAGAATGGGACACTTACAGCCTCAGGACAATGATCAGATTCAAGAAATTTAATACTGATAGCATACCACTGCCCTATGCGGGAGATGGTCCCTGTGCACGTTTTGCTAATTTTCCCAATACTCCTCTTTTCAGTAATTTTATCTTTTCCCTTGACCCAGGGTCCAGTCCAAGACCCCACATTACACTGGGTTGTGCCTCGTCAGCCCCTGTAGTCTAGACCAGCTCCTCAGCCCATATATATATAAAATGTGTATATATATATATATATATAATGTATATATATATAAAATGTGTATATATAATGTATATATATATAATGTATATATATAATGTGTATATATACACACATATATACATATGTATATATGTATATACATATATGTGTACCTTATATATACGTGTGTGTGTGTATATATATATGTATTTTAATGTTGGAAAAATTTTAGATTTACAGAAAATTTCCAAAGATAGAACAGAGTGTTCTCCATAACCCTTCATCCAGTTCCCCCTAATGTTATCATCTGACGTAACCACAGTACACCTGTCAAAAGTGAGAAAAGAGCGTTGTTGCTGCTACAGACCAAACTCCAGACGTTGGATTTCATCTGTTTTTCCACGAATGTCCTTTTTCTGTTCCAGGATCTCACTTTGTACTCAGCAGCAGCTGTTGATCTTTCAAGAGACTGATGGACGTTAGGTTCTTTCCAAACTTGTGTCATTTTAATTTCCTCAACAACCCTGCAAAGACGGTGTGTTATCGAGGAAACTGAGATGAGAGGAGGTGAAATGACTCACCCAAGGTCACATGGCTAGTAAGTGGAAAAGGCTGACTCAAGCCCTCAGCCTGGCTCCAAAGCTAGCTCCAACTTCATCTGCATCATGAATCTCTCTCTCTGTCTCTCTGTCTCTCGCTCTCATGCATACATCACACTCACACAGAGGTGCACACACAGCGTTTTACCCATATTTAGCAATTGGCTAACATAAACAATTTTAACAACGTGCCAAATATTAAAAGAATCCCTCACTTTATCCAACAGGTATATTCCCAAAAAGTTGACTGTAGTTCTGTAGAAGAGCTCACTAGAAAGTAGCCATGTATCGGCCGGGCACGGTGGCTCACGCCTGTAATCCCAGCACTTTGGGAGGCCAAGGTGGGAGGATCACCTGAGGTCAGGAATTCAAGACCGGCCTGGCCAACATGGTGAAACCCCATCTGTACGAAAAACACAGAAATTAACCGGGCTTGGTGGCGCGTGCCTGTAGTCCCAGCTACTCCAGATGCTGAGGCAGGAGAATCACTTGAACCCAGGAGGCGAAGGTTGCAGTGAGCCAAGATCACACCACTGCACTCCAGCCTGGGCGATAGACGGAGACTCCATCAAAAAAAGAAAAAAAGAAAAAAAAAGTAGCCATGTATCCCTTGCCTGCTATGGGCTCAATGCTTTGCATATATTTCTTCATTTGATCAGTACACAACTGTTGATGGGATGTGCTGTCACGCCCATTTTAGAGATATGAAAATGGAGTCACAGACATGAGAATTGACTCATTCTAGGTGGAACGGCCAGTTACTAGCCGAGCGGGGATTGGAACTCAGTTCCCTTTGTCCCCAGTGCCTCGTCCTTAACCACCAGGTTCAACTCACTCCCAGATGAAAGGGTTCCCGCTGTCCTTGTGCGTCCTCGTGCAGTGGCAGTGGAGAACGCTGGACAGAATGGCTGCAGAGGCTCTGCGGTAGGCCTGACGCCACTCATGATTCCCAGGGACTCCTGTGCCTCGGGCAGCCAGTGCCACCCTGTCACTCACAGGGATGAGGCTGATCCAAGGGCTCCACTTTAATAACGGGTCCAGCTGGTGCCAGCTTTTATTTTAGCGACGTGTGAATGCTGTTGCCATGGAATGCAGCCTTATACCCAGGGTGCAGGAACTACCGAGAGGAGAAGCTGCTCTGGGCTGTGTTTTTCCCTCTATCCAAATTTCATTTCCCTCTGCATGTTCCACCACTGATTATCTTTTTAGTCTGCACAGAAAACTGGCACACGGAGGACAGTTTGAGTCAAGGCGCTCTGTGCTTTATCGTCCCCAGTCCCCATGTGTTTACAAGCCACCACTTCTGAGAAGGGAGGCATATGAAATTGTTATTTTCCCACTGTGTGTGAAAATAGCATCCGAGTAGAGCGTGGGGCAGGATTGGTCCAACATGCCAAACAGCAGCTCTTCCTTCTCAGTAGGACAGCGGTCCCCAAACTGCTCCTCAGACACCCTTCACTCCTGTTAAAACTTGGCTTAAAAAGTCTCTTTTTGAAAAGAGGGGCTTGGGACTCCCAGGAGTCTTTGCCTGGGCATGTACACAAACCAGCGGCCCTCTCGGCCGTGCGGCGCGTGGAGGTTGTGTGAGCCCTGGCTTCCGCGTCAGCAGACCTGGACTTAGCTTCCAACAAGCTGAGTGAACTTGGGCCAGTGACTTAACTACTCTGGCCCTCCTCAATTGCCTCATTTGTTTTTTGTTTTTTCCTCGAGATGAAGTTTCGCTCTTGTTGCCCAGGCTGGAGTGCGATGGCATGATCTCAGCTCACGGCAGCCTCTGCCTCCTGGGTTCAAGTGATTCTCCTGCCTCAGGCTCCCAAGTAGCTGCGATTACAGGCACCTGCCACTTCACCCGGCTAATTTTTTGTATTTTTAGTAGAGACAGGATGTCCCCATATTGGCCAGGCTGGTCTTGAACTCCTCACCTCAAGTGATCCACCTGCCTTGGCCTCCCAAAGTGCTGGGATTACAGGCATGAGCACTGCTCCCGGCCAATTTCCTCATTTGTAAACAAGGGAAACAACTGGTTACAGCTCAGAGCTGGGGGATAAAGAAAAAGGCTGTAAAGCCCAGTGCCCGGCACAAACTAACTGCACAGTGACAGGAGTTGGCAGCGGTATCGCCTTTTCTTCCCATGACCACTCCCTACTTCCACTCCCTACTTCCTTCCTTCCTTCCCCCCTTCCTCCTTCCTAGACAAAAGGACAGGGCATGAGGTTGGGGAAGTGGTGAAGGGGGTGGGTAAAAGTCTAAATGGGTGCTTTTAGCCTAGTAGAAGGCACAATACATATTTCCAAATAGCTGCAATGCCTGTGAGACTGTACTCACGGCCCGTGGTCACCAAGCACAACCTCCACCTCCCAAGTTCAAGACCAAGTGCTTCTGGTACATGTGGTTTTAAGTGCAACCTCCGCCTCCCAGTTTCAAGACCAGGCGCTACCAGTACATGTGGTTTTAAGTGCACTTTGTACATGATCTTTCTTTTCTTTTCTTTCTTTTTTCTTTTTTCTTTTTTTTTTTTTCTTTTTTGAGGCAGAGTCTCACTCTGTTGCCCAGGCTGGAGTTAAGTGGCGCAATCATGGTTCACTGTGGCCTCTATTTCCCTGGGCTCAGGTGATCCTTCCACCTCAGCCTCCTGAGTAACTGGCACCACCATGCCCCACTAATTTTTGTATTTTTTTATAGAGACGGGGTCTCACCATGTTGCCCAGGCTGGTCTCAAACTCTTGGGCTCAAGTGATCCTCCCACCTTGGCCTCCCAAAGTGTTGGAATTACAGGCGTGAGCCACCTCACCCGGCCTATGAGATCTCTTCTAATCCTCAAAACAATCCCATGGGGGAGGGGCTATTCTTATTCCCATTTTGCAGATGGGAAGACTGAGATTCAGAGAGATTCACTAATACATCGAAGTCACACGTCTACGGTAGGGTGGGGGCTGGGGTTTCAAGCTGGTTGTCTGCAGAGCTGTAAGCTTTGTCACTACCACGCCCTTCCCACAAGAGCAGTCCAGGGCCTCAGGGTCAGGGGCTGGCATTAGTTCTTCCAGCGGGGAGAGCCAGGGATGGCTTCTCAGAGGAGGGAGCAGCAGGGTCAGCCCCTGAAGCCCCGTAGGATGTCCTGGAGACCTATGGCGACGGCAGGCCTGGGTTGGGGGCCAGAATCCACCGTTTTCAGTGCCCACTATTTTGTTCCCAAGGAAGAAACGTCCAGGCCAGGGGCATCGCAGGTGTGTATGGGAAACAGCCTGGACCCCCGGACCACAGCATGGAGGGCAGGAGGGAGTAACATGAAGCGGCTGTTGGGGGAAGCTGGGCTAGCGTCACTTTAGGACCACTTGCAGACCTCATTCTCTAGGCAATGAGAAACGGAGGGTGGCCAGGGAATGGAATGAATGGGGCAGAAGAGGTGTGAGGCTCAGATGATGGCATCGAAGGTACAAGTCAGGAACTGGACTGTCTGCTGAGGGGCGTTCATGGTCATCCATTTACTCATCTGTTGTGTCCTTGAACTGTTACATTCTTCCCAGCTAACATACAAGCTCGCTGAGGTCAAGTGGAGGAGCGAATGTTGTGGGTGCTCAGGGGGCCGTGGGGAGTTTCAGCGATTGGGGGCGGCTCACTGCTGTCAGCACCGTCTACCCCCTCCCCCCGACCTGGCCCCTTGTCTCCAGTTGCCATGGTTTTTTCTTCTTCTTCCTCCTCTAGGGCAGGTAAAACCCCAAGGAATACCTGGAAGTGGGAGGAGTGGAAAGCGGGTGGTGAGGGGGGCACCCCTCTTCATCCGCTGTGGGAATTCCAGGCAGCTCGGGAGAACTTGGACGGACTGTTTTCATTAGGAGTCATACCCACTAACCCACACACAGACCTCTGCACTTCTCATCTGAACACGGAGAATATATTTCAGAGCCATGATTGTCTCACTATGTGTGTGAGGGGGAAAAGCTGACAGGTAAGACAATCCTATTCAGGAGAGAGACAGAGAGAGAGAGAGAGGAGAGAGAGAGAGAGGGGAGTGTGCAATAGCAAGAACTAGAAGGAAATGCACTTTTATTATTATTATTATTATTATTTTAAGACAGAGTCTCGCTCTGTCACCCAGGCTGGAGTGCAATGGTGCGATTATGGCTCACTAGGTAGCCTCGAACCCCTGGGCTCAAGTGATCCTCCCACCTCAGCCTCTTGAGTAGCTGGAACCACAGGCGCCGGCCACCATGCCCAGCTATTTATTTTTATTTTTATTTTTTGTAGAGATGAGGTTTTGCTACATTGCCCAAGGCTGGTTGCAAACTCCTGGCCTCAAGCCATCCTCCCACCTTGGCCTCCCAAAGTTCTGGGATTACAGGTGCAAGCCGCTTTGTCTGGCCAAATTTGATTTTAAATATGCCAATTAGCATCGATGCTGATCCTATTAATCCACTAATTACTTAGCTTTACCTGAGCACACAGGAGTCATTTAATATAAACTGCACATACCCCTCTTCTTACTCATTGCTTGTCGGGTCATTCAGCTAGCACACATGTATTGAGTGTCTACTGTGGGCAAGGCACAAGAGGTCTTCACTGAGCCAGCCAGGCAAAGCCTTCCCCTGTGCAGCTTGCAGTCTGGTGGAGGTGTGAGGAGGGGGCCCCAGTAACCAGGAAGTCACAGCATGGTGTGGGCAGGGCTCTGTATCAGGGGAAACATCGGATCAGGTGGGAGCTGCGGAGGCCTGGGCACCCCCAGCATCGGCTCCCTCTGACCCTCTGGCTGTCTGCCTCCTGACCCATCTGGGTTTCAGGAGGGTAGAACTATATCAGTCTTGTTCTGTCATTCTTCTGGATAAGGCACATGGAACGGCCCTGGTGGGTACTTATTAGATGAATAGACATCACTTTTTAACACCTACTCAGGCACAGCCCTTGGCATGACCGGCCTGTTTCATGCTGCATCATTGCTGTCTCTATTTCCTTTTTGTAGATAAGGGGACTTGGAGAGGTGAGATTGTTCGCATCGGGTTATACGGTGAGAGAGTTGTAGAGTGGGGATTGGAACTACTTCTTTCCCAAGATCTCATTCCCCCCATTCCCCCTTCTCCCAAAGCCAGACCTGCTTCCATCAGCACCTGCCACCTTCTCAACAGCCTGTGCCAGGTAGAGGTGAGGGAAGGAAGGGCAGGTGGGAAGGAGGGTAGAAGGAGAGGGCAGTCTGGAGTCAGGAATATCCGCGGCGCCCAGTCTTGGCGTCTTGTGATGCTGAAACTCAAGAGCCCCCTGACTCAGCAGGATATTAATAACCCCGGCCGGTCCTGGGAGGGCACCTCTGCCAGGGAGGAGAACAGCACGGCTGTGCGCCCTCCCTGCCGCCGGTGGCAGCTCACACTCTACTGTGCTCACCTTGCCTGGCTCCCCACACAGGGAGCTCCCTGGAAGCTCCTTGGAGCAGATGCTGCTCTGTATCTCCAGACCCTAACACAGAGCTTGGTGCACTGAAGGCACTCAATAAATAACTGTGGAGAGAATGAATGGATGGACGGATACATAAACAAAGCTTCAAATTTCCCAGAAACATCCCTCCCAGTTCCTCTCCCTACTTTATCATCCAGTTGCACATAATATGTGCTCAATGAACACAGGTTGGCCAGGCATGGTGGCTCATACCTGTAATTCCAGCACTTTGGGAGGCAGAGATAGGAGGATCACTTGAGCCCAGGAGTTCGAGACCAGCCTGGGCAACCTAGTGAGACCCCTGTCTCTACAAAAAATAAAAAAATAAAAAATTAGCCAGGCATGGTGGCACACATTTGTAGCCCCAGCTACATGGAAGGCTGAAGTGGGAGAACTGCCTGAACCTGGGAGGTAGAGGCATGTCCTCACCACTGCACTCTGGCCTGGGCAACAGAGTGAGATCCTGTCTCAAATAGTAGTAGTAATAATAATAATATTAATAATAATAATAAACACACAGGTTGCTTGCTTCATGTTTAACATTGCCCTCAATTGAACACATTTCTCAAGTACCGTGTGTGTCTGGTGTGGCCCTGGGCTGTCTATAGGGTGGGTAGAGACTCATCCTCATCCTCTAAAACAGGGAGAACATGGAGTCCAATGTGCCTCTCCCCCATCCAGACAGACATGACGAATCCATCGCCAGGCAGCCATGACTAGTCAATCACAGCACTCTGTCCTGATAACCTGGGATCCAGCTCAACACAGCCCCCTGGTCAACACTGATACTTGGAATTTTCCCCCTCTTCACCCTCTCTGCCAGCTGCACTTCTCCATCTGAGTCTGAGAGACCACAGACGAGGGCAGCCAGAGAAGAGCCCCCTCTTCCAGAAGCAGAAGCTACTCTCCTCTCTGGTTATAAAATGCAGAGTGGTGGGTGGGCTTAGCTGGGGGAAGGTTACTGGGGACAGTAAAGCATAGGCTCTATAGGACCAGAAGTTGCCTTCCTGCTCTGCTGTGGGAGGACCCCAAGGTGGCCCGACCCCAGTGACCTGGGCCCTGAGGGGGATGCTTGGGAGCGGGGTCTTCCTGAAAACACCCTAGGGAATCCCAAGGGCAGCAGAGAACCACATCACCCCAAACTCTGGGCTGCGGGCATGTGCACATGTGTGTTTGAGGTCAGCAGTGATTATCAGTATACTGAACAACCAGCAGGCCATGGGTGCCGCCCAAGGGGACAGGCAGGTGCCAGGTGAGCGCAGGAGTGAGACCTAGAGGTCCTGCTGCTGTGCCAGGCACTAGCCCAGGTAGCTGCTGGGTTTGGGGGAGGTCTAGCTATCTAGAGGTTCCCAAGGAAGGGTGCTGAGTGGCCTGGGAAGTGGGATGGGGAGACCCTCCAGGGGCCCAGAATAGTGGCTCTTTGCCGACAGTAAATGCATGAAGTATTTCAATGTTTCAACAAATGGGAGTGGTGGCCCTCGTGCAGACCAGCCGGACAGCAGCAGCCCCACATATGGATGCCTCATGCCAAGAGGTTCTTTCTGGAAACTGCCTGGTCATACCTGGTTAAGAGGTTCCAGCCTCACCCTTGGGCTCCCAAGGCCCTGCAGACACAGAGCAGTTGCTCGGTACATGTTTGGCCATTTAGCTGCAAAAGGAGAGTTTTTCCCAGTGTACCATAAGGCATTTCTGGAGCTCACATTGACAAAAATTAAAAATCAAAGCACAGACCAGAAGCTCAGGCCTGTCTACCCGGCCCGCCGCCTCTGTGTTCCCCAGTGGCCGCGCCGCTGGCTGCCCAGGGCGTCACCTGTGCCATGTGCATGGTGTGTTAATGTCAGGCTTCTAACAATCCTGTTCTTGACGCATGTCTCTCCTCTCCTTAGGGAGTTGTCATTGTGTTGATCGTTCAGGGAAACATTTGTACTGGGTGAGCTGAGACTCCTGTGTCAGGAGAGGACCTGGGAGGCCAGCAGCTTATCTGAAAATGTTAGCACTGGAAGCACCCTCAGGTGCCACCAGCTCAAACTCCTCCCTTGATGGATGAAGATCTTGAACCCCAGAAATGGAGTCAGGGACTCAGCTACAGTCCCAAAGCTTTCAGGGGACAGAATTGGGGCAAGAAATTCTGAGAAATGTGGGCGGGGAAGGGTCAAGGCACTGGCCGTGGGGTCACAGGCATGTGTTTGGATCCTGGTGTAGGACTTGGATCAAGTTGTTTCACCTTTCAGAGCCTCAGTTTCCCTATCTGTAAGGAGGGACAAGGAAGAGCCCCCGCTTCCAGGTCTGGCACATGTTCTGTTATGTGGGGCGCGAGTAGGGGTTTGGAAGAGAGAGGTGGTGCTTTTGGCTGCACAGTGAATGGGTGTTGTAAGCTGACCTCAGAGAATGAGTTCATTTGAACAGGAGTTCAGGGATATATCCCTCTATTTGACAGGAAAGTATATTTTCTTTGCCTTCTAATGTCGCCCTAGTTCACCATCTTATGAATTCAAAGCCAAAGGTGGCCTTTCCCCCTTTGAGGTGGGGTGAGCACTCCCTGTTGCTAGAGGCCCAAAGGCTGTGCTAGGTAAGGGGAGGCCCTTCTGCTCAGGCTGGGGACACTTTCCAGGGTCAAGGGTTCACCTGCTGCCGGCAGGCTGATCACATGTGGGGCTCCTACACCCCTCTGAGCACTCTGCACTCATCATTGCATTCTTAACTTCTCACGACAACCCTGAGAGGTGGTGCTGTTGTGCCCATTGTACAGATGGAAAATTGAGGTGAGAAGGCGTGCCCAAACACATAAGTGGCAGCACAGGGACTCTCAGCCCGGGCTGTCAGGTTCTGAGGCCAGGCTCATAAATGTCAAGCTTACCGCGAATGTGGCCAAAGACCATCATATAGGCCACTGGAGGACCATCCTGGGGCCGTCTCAGCATCCCCAGGTGACCACGCCACACGTGCTTGGCTCAGAGTCCCATCGGCCTCAAGGTGATCTCCAAAAGCAGTGAAAGAAGCTGGGGTCATCAGAACTACAGAGAGGGGTCCTGGAGGAGCCTCTGGGCAGGGCAGGGAAGGGAGTGGGCCAGATAACCACAGAACTGCGTCGTGCAGCCAAGTTGGACTCCAGAACCAGCAGAACCAAGAGAGGAAGTCGGGCCCAGAACTTTTGTTTTCCCAGATTCAAAAGAAAAATCTCCTGGGAGTCCTTTTGAATGTGAGAAGCCATGTCCCTCCAACTCCCAGGTGACGCAAAAAGCAAAGCATGTGGCCAAGTGACCCTGGCTGCTTTTCCCTCCCAGCCTGCACGTCTGTGTTTACTCCACCAGTAAAAAAAAAAAAATGAACCCAGTGAAAAAGGAGTGAAGGGTAGGGATGGGAGGCAGAAGACTCTGTGAGGAATCTCCAGGGCCGACAACTCACCGGGACCTCCAGGAGGGGGAGGAGTCCCACCCCCAGAAATGGGGGCAGCATGGGCTAAGTGTGGACATCCTAGAGGTCGCGGGCAATGGCCAGCCAAGTCCACGGAGTGAGAGACCAGTGGCAGCTGGAGCTGTCTCCATCCATTAGGTCGAGTGTCATGAAACAAGAAATCCAAGCTGGTTCCCAAGATCAGGAGTTGACTTTGTGAGCGATGGTACCTGCCACCTTCTAGGGAGCCCTGATCCCAAGGCCTTCCTTTGAATAGAAAAGATCGACCAAGAGGGAGGCAGGACGAGGAAGAGAGAGGGACCCTGTCTCACCGTGTCTTACAGCCTGGACTGCTGGAAAGCACAGATGTGGGGATGTTTGGGGAAACATCACTGTGTTTCCTTTTGGCAGGATTCAGAACAAGGGCCAGGGCCAAGGTCACAGGACTCAGAATTCAGTGCTTTGATGGACCAAGAGTTTGTATGCCAATGGTGACAACTTAATGAGGAAATGGTTGCACACAACAGAGCATGTGTGAATGTGCACGTGAGATCAGGAAGGAGGCAGCCAGGGAATACTCCTCTGTTGATCAGTTTCTCTTGCTGTGGGTCGTCTTTCAGAATTTTCAGCTGCCTTTCGTTACAAAGATCGCTGCGCCCAGCTTGCCTACAGCTGTCGTTCATCTGTGTAGGACTTTGCATGGTTGCAAATGGGTGCTTTTGGGGTGGGGCCTACATGGGGCTCTTTTTGAACGACGACAATGATCAAGCGAGCAGGGTGTGGGGGTGCAGTGCTCTGAAGGCCGCTGCAGGGTTGGTGAGCTCCCCGGGGCAGTGGGAGGCAGAGGGCTGAGGCACAGAGCAGGTAGTTCTATAAGTGGGTCAATTATTTAGTGATCAGCACATGTCTGAGAGGAAGGCCACATCTGCTTTGCTGTCCTGGAGGCCCAGATCCCCTGCCCAATAAGGAAGAAAGATGTTTTCCTCTAGGGGAGGAGTCGCCGGGTGGGAGGGGGAGGCAGCTTCCTCCTGCTGATAATGCATTTTCCCTTCTGATTGCAGCCTTTCCTCAGCTCCTGCTCTCCTTGCTGATGCAAACCTCTTCTCAATCACCTCCACACGCCCCTGCTGCCCCGAGCGGGAGGCTGTGAGAAGCCTGCACACCTGGCGAGAGGATGAGGCAGACCCAGGAGAAAGATTCCATGACTCGGCCAGCTGCGGCTCCTTCCACAACTTCTCCTGCTCCCCACATTGGGAGTCGGGAGAAACTGTCCCAAAAGCAGGAGAGGAATGGGTGGGATGAGGGTGGAAATTCGGATTCGGATTCAAGAGCAGATTCTGAATTGTTCATATGTGAAAAGAGACACTGTGGCTGGGAGGAGAGCTGGGGCTGGTGTTTCCATTTATTTCCCAGGCTTGATGGCCAGGTGACACTGGTTAGTCTAACCCCATTACTCTTCTGACACGGAGCAATGTTCCCCTGGACTCCCCATCATCGTGGAACAGAGAGCCTTGGCCAGAGGAGAGACTCGGCCAATGACGACTAATCAGAGCCGACATTTCTTGATCATCTACTACCTGAAATAATTCCTACACATTTTCTCAGTGAATCCGTCCAACAATCCCAGGAGGTAGGTGCCATGACTATCACCACTTGACAGGTGAGGAACTGAGGCCCAGAGAGGTGGGAGTGGAGGTCTGGGTTCCCACCAAGCCTGGGGATTGCTCTTGGCGCTCCTAGTTTGAGCTTTCCTTGTCTCCTATCCTGAGAGGTAGGACTCGCCTCCACCATTGACTTTGTGTTGTCTAGTGTTTTTGGCAATACTGCCACATGCCTGCATGCATGTGTGTGCATAGGCATACACATACCCACTCACACTTCCTCAGACTGCACCGCCTCCCTGGTTTGGCCTGTGTCTGGCACATAGTAGGTGCTCAGACAACCTTTGTGAGGTGCACAGGCAGCCTGGTCCATGAGATGTGAATAATCCCACTAGACTTGCTGCACCCCAAAGGCAGGACCCAGTGGATCTGTCACCATGGGCATCCCCAGGGCTGGGGGATGCTGGCCCACAGTAGGTACTCAGTGGGTAGGCCACAATTGCCCAGAAGATGCCCCCTGAGCTCGAAGCTGGCAGGGCTGGGCAGTTACCCGCTCTCACTGAAAAAGGGGTGCCAATGCTCCTTTGCATCCTGTCTCCTGAGACTGAGGAGTCCTCAGGGACTCCGGAATTTATGGCAGTGAGCAGCGATGGGTCCTGCCTCTGGGGCTTCCAGACGAGAGACCGGCTGCCTGCCTGGCTGTCTGCTGCTCCATGGAGTGTGGAGGAGGTGGGCTTCCTTCTCACAGCAGCCACCCCTCGCCAGGGAGCTGAGCAGCTTTGCCTGGAGGAGCCTGGGCTCTTCTGGGCTAAGCTTTGCTGCTTTCCTCTCCCTGTCATGCTGCTGGAACTCGGGAAAGAGACATTTCCATGGGAACTCACGGATTGGAGGGATCCCAGCCAGGCTTCTGGTGGAAGAAACTTTGCAGACAAAGGCACAGTGGCACAGTAGTATTTCCACCCAGTCCACAGGGGCTGTTCTCACCTGCCCAGGGCTCACTTGCCATGAAACCTGGAGAAGGCACCAACTCACTCCCAGCTCCCAGTCCCTGTATCTTTTTTTTTTTTTTTTTTTTTTTTTGGCTCTGTCACCCAGGCTGGAGTGCAGTGGTGCGATTCAGTCTCAGCTCACTGCAACCTCCACCTCCCAGGTTCGAGCGATTCTCATGCCTCAGCCTCCCAGGTAGCTGGGACTACAGGCACGCACCACCACCACGCCTGGCTAATTTTTGTATTTTTAGTAGAGACAGGGTTTCACCATGTTGGCCAGGCTGGTCTCAAGCTCCTGACCTCCAGCGATCCACCTGCATCAGCCTCCCAAAGTGCTGGGATTACAGGCGTGAGCCACCGCGCCCAGCTAGTCCCTGTATCTTTTGCTGGCAAGTGGAGACTGCGATGCCGGTTCCCTCCCAGGGCTGTTGGGAAGAAACAATCTTGGAATGATAAGCTTGGGACTGAGACCATATATCAGCGAGCCCAGCCATGAGGCCTGTATTCAAATAGGAGCCCTGCCTTCCCGGAATAACCTAGGACACATCCTTCAACCTTGGTATTCTCGTCTGAAGAATGGCCAGGATAAGAGTCTCTTTCACAGAACGGTGGTTAAAGCAGAAATTGGAGATTGTAGTAAACTGCTGTGCTTGGTGCCTGAGTGTGTAATACCAGAGCCACCTTGTGTTAAGCACTTTCTAGAAGCCAAATCGATTTCAAGCATTAGTTCACTAAATCCTTAGACCAAGCCTAGGTATTGGAGACCATTCTAACCTCCATTTTCCAGGTGAAACAAATGAGCCTTGGCAAGGTGAGTCACATAGCCGGGAATGGGACCCCAGGGCTGCTTGACTCTGAAGCCCCAAATTTCAACTGTGACTGTATTAAGTGCTCATTTAAGATCTGGAAGAACCAACAAGGTTCAGCCACCATCCCATTTCACAGCTGAGAAAATTGAGATCCAGAGCAGGGAAGAGCCCAGTCGAGTCGCAGAGCTGCTGGTGCTGGAACCAGGCCTAAGGTTCCACAATGGCTGCTCACATTTATTGAGCACTTACTGTGTGCCACGTTCGAATTGCTTTCTGTCCATCATTTTATTTGATCTTTACCATAACTCTAGGAAGATGGAGACTATTACAATCCCATTTTTCATTTGGGTAAAGTGAGGCAGAGAGGGAAGTAACTTACTCAAGGTTGCACAGCTAATTAGCAGGAGAGGCACGACTCATACCCAGAGAGTCAGGCTCTAGAGCCCTCATCCAAGCCGCTTTGTGGCACTGCCTCCCAGCCGGGGCAGGCTGGCCTTGCCCGGCAGCCTGGGGCCTAGGTCGACTTGCCTGCCAAGGAGGTGGAGTCTGCACGACTCCTACGGTATGGCCGCCACCGGGAAAGGCAGGGTGCCGCTGAGCTGCAGTACTCAGGGAGATGGGCACGGAGCTGGGACTGGCAAGCTCAGTGTGCTCGAAGGCCATTAGCCCCCTGCGTCTCCGAAGAGAAGTTTATCCAACAAAATGCAGGCAAGCAAAGAACACGTTCCACTTTATGTGTCTCTTGTTGTAGGCAGTACACATCTTGGGAGATGTGTGGATGAAAGGCGCCATATAAAATGCAATCAATTATGAATCACCATTACTGAATTAATCACATGTATGATTAATACAGTCATAATAATTAATGGGAGTATGGTCTAGAGATTAGAGCTGAGGACTGACAGGGAGGGGTCAGAGTGCTTCTAGTAGCCTCTGCCACTGCCTAGAGGTGTCACCTTGGGGAAGGCAGGTTCCCCCTGCGCCTACCTTGGCAGTAGAAGGGGCCCCAGGATGTCTTGAATACCCCTAGATGGTCCTGGGCACAGCATCTTACCACCTCCCTAACAGCTGCGTCTCAACTGCTCAAGGTCAAGGGGACAAAGAGTTTGTCGAAGAATCAAAATCGTGGCCTGGCATAAGTGAACAGAGTGAGCGAGGAGAGGGGTGAGAACTTGGTAGGGGGTGTCCTTTGAGCTTGCACTTGACTTAAATCAGCAATGTGAGCTCATTTCTTCTGTCTGTCTGTCTGTCTGCATCAGGACTTGCCTCCTCTTGGAAGTCCCCAGAGGGCCTGGACCTCATCTGTTACCTCTCGTTACAAAGCTAGTAGATTATTTTTGCTTGTGACTTTATAATTTCCTGTTACTCATCTATACCATGCAAATTTCCTCATTGTAAAGGAGTCAGGCAACCCAGAGAGGATATCTATAATAAAGCACATTGGTCCCCCCTCATCTCCCCTGTTCATACTTTGGTGTATGTCTTCATCGTCCACATATATAACGGATGTGTCCATATATATAGTGGACTTATATACAATCATATGTATATAATCATACATATGTATGGTTATATACAAATCCTTTTCAAAAATATAGATGGAATAAAATTAAGTGCATTGTTCTGCAGATGCTTTTTGATAGCAAATTCCACATACACAATTCAAATTAAAACTGTGCATTGGAGCCAAAATCCCACCAGTGAAGGGGATGATTAGGCTGCTGGTGAGAGGGGAGCCAGCGGTTATTTTCAGGGAGATTCATTAACACTTTCCTGCCCCTGGTGCTCAGCTTCTTTTCATTGCCAGAAAAAAGGTCATTTATCAGAAGTTACCTTAATGAAGTTTAAAAATGAATGTCCGTCAACCACCTGGTCCCCGCAAGGCTGAAATCCTATTTGTTCCCTATCTTGGAAAATAAGTGCTTTATGGTTCACTTGAAAGGAACATCGTCTCCTGGAGGCTGCTGTGGAGTGCGGTCAACTCAGGATCATAGCAGAGGGACCACCCTCCTGGACAAATCCCCTCATCGTGCAGATGGGGAAACTGAAGCCAAGAGCAGGGAAGGGATCTCCCCCAGCCACACAGCATGGTAAGGGCTGAGCCAAGAAAAGCCCATTATCCCAACTCTCAGTGCGGTGCTCTTTCCATTATCCTGGGGTCTGGAAATGAGGAAACCAGAAGACAGCTTCTGGCATAGGTCCCCGAAAAAAAGCCTGTTGGCATCAGCTTGTTGCAGAGGCAGGGAGTATTGGTGAGGTGGGGGCTGGCAGGGAGGCATGTTAAAAATTGTTTCTAGTGGCACATATCTTTACATATGGGTCACTGAAACCATCCTGGCAGTGCTAGGGAGGAGGCACCCCTGGTTCCTCCACTGTGTTTAGATGAACTACAAGTAAGAAGCAGCTCCTCCATCTCTTTGGCCATTCCTGACAGCATCCAGTCCACAGTGATGATGGAGGAGCAGGGTGGTTCCCAGGGATTGATGACCATGCCCTGGGGTGACAGCAGGCTGAGGGCTGACCCTGGTCATCACTCACCCTGTGCAGGAGCCCCACACCCTGCCCTTCACTGCTGCCTGCAGGCTGAATGCTTAAAAATCAAACCACCAAGATCTGTTCTCTTCTCCCAAGGAGCTTCCTCCTGCATAGAACAGGTAACCAGGGGTGGGCCCATGTCTGCCTTCCTGGGCTGCTTGGTGAGATAGGCCCATCTCCAGTGGTAGGCATCTGAGAGCATGTGCAGGTAGAGGCACACAATGGCCCTGTTTTTTGACCCCTCTTTGAAAAAAGAAGGATTTACCGTTCATATCTCACATATGGGGAAACTGAGCCCCAAAGCAGTCTGGGCCGTGTTCCAAGTTCACCAGCCAGCCAGGCCAGTGAGAGAGCATCACCCAGAAACCCAAAAGCCCTGCCTCCCCGGCCACAATCCTTAGCTATGTGACCTTGGGCAAGTTACTTAACATCTCTAACTTGAGGCTTTGCTACTAGCAGTGAAGTCACAGGGCTTTGGCGAAGATTCAGTGAATAATGCACACAAACTGGTTTGCATGGAGTCTGGCATAAAACAGGTGTTCAATAAATATATTATTATTATTATTACAGCAGATGACAGTCTTTAATTCTGCATCCTCTTCCTGTTTTGTCACAAGATTCCAAATATTATTCAGCAGTATAACTCCGTCTCCAGTTTTCAGGGCAGCTGAGAACAGGGAAGGGTTAAGGTGGAGGTGAAGGGTGGCAGCAGGGCGGGGCACTGAGGTGCCATGTCTTGCTCCATTCCCAACA
This sequence comes from Homo sapiens, assembly GCF_000001405.40. Classification (NCBI taxonomy): domain Eukaryota; kingdom Metazoa; phylum Chordata; class Mammalia; order Primates; family Hominidae; genus Homo; species Homo sapiens. The sequence goes on from NC_000009.12 coordinate 132,160,690, forward strand.
CCCTCTGTGACCTTGGGCTGGTCTCTCTCTCTCTGCCTCTCTCTCTGTCTGTCCTCAGGCCCTTTGTTCTTGATGCATCCAAATGACAGTGCTGGCTGCTCAAGGCTGCAGTGAGCCCACCCCAGGAGGCCAGGAGTGTCCGAAAACCACATGTGCTTCTGGAAGATGTGGAAACTCTCCCAGAAGCCCTGGGAGGCAGGCTGGCAGGAAACCTCCTGGGGATCAGAGAGCCCAGGGCTGCCGGATATGATATTGTGAACTCGGTGGCCTCTGCCCGGGGCTGCTGCTACCGGAGCCCTCCCACACCTGCCTCCCATGCTTGCAGGGGAGGGAGACAGAGAACCCCTCAGCCAGGCCCCTCCTGCCCCACTACTCTGCACTCCCTGCAGAGCTGGCTTGGCTTCGTCAAAAGCAGGGCCCATCAGGGTGGAGGCGGCGATGTGTCAGCTGGTATTCAGGCTCTGGTTGTGCGCTCAGATCGCTCCCCCTCCCCATCTCCCCAAATCCACCCACCCACCCCGGTACCCACTGCTTGGGGCCTTCTGGGTGGCAGCACTTCACAGAGAGAGACCGAGGAGCAGCCCTGAGCCCTTGGCTGTGGGGGGTGGGGGAACTGACTCACTTGGCCCCCCTCCCTCGTGCCGATGGGGCAGCCCCCACACCCATGGGCGCTGGCACCCCGGCAGGCCCCCGGGTTTTGGAAGAGGAAGCTGCAGCCCGGCTGCGCCTGACCGGAGCCGGCTGAGGATGCGCTCTGGGCGCAGGGACCCGCTGGCCCCCGGGCCGGGAGGCGATGTTTAGGCAGCGACCCCCCAGAGGCTGCCGGGGCCACCCTGGCCACGGGCCCGCCGGGACGCCCCTGCTCGCCGCGCCCCTCCCCGGGCCGTGGCGCGTCCCCCGAGCCGCGCAATATTTCCTTCCTGCACCTTTAAGAAGACCGTTGCTCCGTGGTGGGATGGTGTGTTAAAGCCACACAGAGGAAGTTACGCAGCCCGGATCAGACCGAGAGATAAAAGCCCCGATGGTGATCGTGAGTGATGGCAAGAGGATTTAGCCTCGGCATTAACTTGGAGCGGAGTGCAGGGGGGCAGTGAAGCGCCCGCCATCTGGCCCGCGCCGCGCCGGGGGGATGCCCCGGCTCCCCGACGAGACGCCGCGAAGCCCACCCGGGCCGGGGGCTGCCCGGCGCCCGAGCGCGGGTCCTCCCCGGGCCGCCCAGGGGGGCCAAAAAGTTTGCACTTGTTAGCGGCGACCTCCCGCTCAGCCCGGGCGGGCGATGCGGGCGGCGCGGGCGGCCCCCTCCCCCGGCCCGCGTCTCCGGGACGGCTGCGGGCGGCCCCCCCGGCGGCCGGAGGGCTCCCTGGCCCCGATCTGACGGCGGCGGCGGCGGCGGCCACAGCGGCGGGAGCGGCGCGGGGAAGGAGCAGCGGCTCGCAGCCCTCGGCCCGCGCCCCCACCCAGCGCCAGCCCGAGGGGGGAGGCGCAGCGCCGGAGGGTGGCGGTCCTCGGCCCTCCCAGGTCTCCGCGCCGGGAAGCCGCTCCGAGCCGGGGTAAGGCGGGCGGGGAGAGCCCGGGAGGCGGGCGGGGGGAGAGGCTGCAGCTTGGCCAGGCCGGTTTCATTTTTAAAGGGCTTCGGTGACCATGCAGGCTTGCCCGGGCCCGGGAGCCACTTACAGCGGCCCGGCAAAGGCTCGGATGCAAAAGTTGTTTGGTGGCGGCTGCTACGAGCTGAGAACTGGAGTCGCCCCAGAGGGGTGTGTGAGGGTGCGTTCTTAGCAGCATCTTAAAGGGGTAGCTTGTCTTTCTGGCCAGCTTCCCCCGGGTCCTTTCCGTCGTGTGTGTGAGAGTGTGTGTGTGTGTGTGTGTGAGAGAGAGACAGAGTGTGTGTGTGTGTGTGTGTGTGTGTGTGTGTGTGTGTGTGTGTGTGTCGGGGAGGGATGTTGCAAGGATGCTCGGATGTGTCTCGGAAAAGGAAACTAACCCTGCTCCCGCGCCTCTCCCCCACCCCAATTCCACCGCCACCGCTTAGAGCCACCCCCATCCCGTGCCCTCCCATCTCTCTGCAAACTGGGAGCCTGTGAGTTGCACAGAGAAACTCCCGGCCAGTCCGGCTGGAAACTTCTCCCGGCGCCGGGAGGGGGTCGGGAGGTGAGGGGGCGCAGGCACTGGTTTGGGGCCGGCGTGGAGTCGAACCTGGAACTGAGCGGCGCGCAGGTGGGGGGAGCAGAGGCGGCGGGAAGGCGGGAAGAGAGGACCGCGGGCTCGCGGGGTCCGCCCGCTCCGGAGTAAGTTGGCCGTCTGGGCTGGGGGCGGCGGCGGCCGGGTCGCCACAGGCGGCAGCGCCGGGGCAAAGGATACAGCCAGTTCCTGGGCGCCCTGCTCTGTGTCTTTTAATTAAGAGAGGCAGTGCCGAAAAAGGGGGCGCCTCAGTCCCGGCCGGGCCTTTATTACGGGCTTAATTATTAATTGCTGCCGTGGCTTGCACGCAACTTTGGGAAGACGAAAAGCAGCTGCGGGGCTGCCGGGTCGTCGGTGTCCTAGGCACAGGGCTCGCAGCCGGCCCGAAGCACTGACTCGACCCTGGCCCCGGCCTCGACCCCGCCCGCGGCCCGCCGGGACCCACCCGGGAGCTGCTGCTCGCGCCCCGCCTCCCGCGCCCAACTTTCCAGGGCTCCCGCGGGCGGGGACCCAGGGGCCGGATAAAGGGCCCGCTCCGGAGCGGGGGGACACCCGGGCCGCCGGAATTAAGAGGCCCGCCGAGGCTACAGTGAGCGCGGGGCGCCCGCTGGACCCCGCCCGGGGCAGAGGACGGGAAGGTGACCCCGCCGGCCAAGCTCCCTTTCCCTCCCGGCAACCGCCACTCTCCCCTGAAAGCAGATTTCACCCCCCTCTGCCGCCCCTGCCGAGGAGGGAGAGGGAACCCCGGGGTGGGCTGAGTATCCCCCCTAGCCCCGGGAGCCCCCAGCGCCCTCCCTCCCGTGCCCCCAGGGGCCCCGCGCCCGCCGCGGCAAGTTTCCCACACGGCGAGGGCGCAGCAGGCAACTCCAAGAGGAACCTGCTGGCGAGCCCAGCCAGCTCGGGAGGCGCTAATTCAATAAGACAGAGAAATCTGAGTTCAGAAATCCTGATAAAATCTAATTTTCGAGTTTTAATACCCTGGCTATCAGCCCCCCTTGGTTCCTGAGGACTCTTAAAAGAAAATAAAGCACATTGATTCTATTTGTTTCTGGGAGCTGCAGTTTCTTAATAATATCAGGTGAAGATAAATTTTCCACGGAGAAAACGATCCTCCGGGATGCAGCTTCTTACTCTGAAAATTTCCCTGCCGACTCCTCACTCTCTGCGCTCCTCCTCGTTATCCGGGGACTCCTGCCTCTCTTCCCCCTTCTCTTTTTTCTTTTTGGCAGAACCCGCCTGCAATATTCGTGTGCTGAGCTCGTAATTCCCCCTGCGATGCCAGCAACGCCCAATTGATTGACTAGTTGTAAACACATTTTTCCCCTGGCAGATTTTGTTGTTGTTAGGGTTTTTTAAATTTATTTATTTTCCAGGGAATGCGTGGCATTTAAACCAACAGGACTGCAATTAATAGATTTGCGAGTTGCGCCGCGCGCGCCGCTCGCCCCAGCCTCCCGGCCTCCGGGCCTCGCTGCCTCCCCGCGCCCGGCGGCGTCCAGCGCCCTGCAAGCCCCGAGCAGCCGCGGGTCCTGCAGCTGAAGGAAGGTTGCAGCTGCGCCCTCCTTGCAAGCCGCAGCCCGGCGTCCTGGTTGTCCCAGCAGCCAGGAGATCCCTACCTGTTAGTGAACAGTTAGGAGTCGACTGCTGGAAGAATTAATTAGGAACGTGCTGTGCTCTGGGCAGCGCGAGCTCGGGTAGAGGCATCCAAACCTTTGCCGGCGGCGCTATTTTATTTTTACTACATTTTCTCAGGTTGCAAAAATAGACACCGGGCACGTTCTGTCTTAGAGTTTTCTAGCAAGGAGCGCCTTCAAGGCCAGGCAGGCTCTGTAACAGGTTCCCCTTTAAACAGCCAGAGGTGAGACGGGGAAAATGGTCCTGGCTGGGTTCTCGTTCATCTCCATCAGCAGTCCTTCACCCAGAGAGAGGGGCAGGGGTCGCCCTAACTCAGATGAATGAGTCCCATGCCTGGAGCCCTGGGGCCCTGGCTGGGGGCTGCTCCGAGCCTGAGGTGCTCAGGGCGCTCAGGGCAGCAAGTGTCCGCCACTTCGGTTTGTCATTTTTGGCAGGAGCGTTTTTCTGTCTGGGTGGAGAATGGAGTTTCACGGAAACACAGTTAACTCTTCAGGGGCCTTGCAAGTACAGGAGGTGAAGAGGATGTCAGGGGAGAGCCAGGTCCAGACTGGACATTTGGGGTGGTTTGGGAAATCAAATGCAATCATCGAAGACATATTAACCAGAATAATTAATCATGCAGGCACTTTTTTACTGCAGTAACCTTTGCCCTATTGGCCAATATTTTTGGCCAGAATCCCATGCTGGCTGGACTTGGATTCTCCGGGTGACGTATCCAGTGTCTGGAACACACCACAGTACTGCAGTCGTGTTATTTCCCAATGTAACATTCATGTAACTGGTATCTATTTTGATATAATATATTAATTATATCTATTTTGATTTTAAATAATTAACAGAAGCTTAAAATAGCACAGCAATAATCGTAATTGTAACCCATTTATAGACCTACCCTCTAAGAATGATTTGCAAAATGCTGGCCTTGATCAGAAAAATCTGAACTCACAAAGCATTGTTACCTCTTTGGCAGTCTTCAATATCCCTAGTTTCTTACAGTTAAAAAAAATTAAATTTGCCATTTCAGATTGTGCCTATGATTGGGGGGCTGTTTCTCAGTGCCTGGCTCTTCATGGTTGGCCAGCACGTGGAGCACTCTGTTCATCTGTACATATAGGTATGGGTCCATCTGCACCTATAGTTACATGCTCATCTTTGCCTTTAACAACTTTGACATTCTGACTTGACAGTCATGGTATTTTAAAGCAACCATTAAATCTTGGCTCCTGGGGATGCTTTTGAAAGTCTCTGACCCCCAAGCCGGGGCACTTCTGCTGAACTAACACTCCCATAAATGAGAAAAAAATGCATCACCTTTTAAATAACATGCCCGATCTCCAAATGTGCAACTCTGATATTAATAAAAATAACCCAGTTTTCTCGGGAGACTTTGCTAATGCAGCCTCATTTTTTGCACATTTTGCCGGAGAGCTTTTGTTCTTATACGTCTCTATTCTCCCCCTCTTTAATTTGTTGCAGGTGTTGTTGCTAATGAGCTCTCTCTCTCTCCTCCCCTCTTACAATGAAAGACAAGTCAGACCCCAGGTACCTGGATGGATTGAGAGCTGAGATCTCAGAAACTTCATAATAAGTTGCCGATGGCTACCAGCCAAGGTCAGCTGGGCCCCATTAGTGCCGGCCCCCACCAAAGCAGAACCAAATAGCCTTCTCCCCAGTGAACACCTCAGTAGCTTTTCATTCTAGTCCAGTCACACAGCTGTTGCCACCTTAAGCTCATATGAAAGAAATCTCTTTTATTGGTCTGAGAACCCAAGTCCAGTCCCAAAGAGGGAACATGTTTCCAGCTAACATGCCCACCTCCTGATTTTATTTTATCTTTACAACGCAGGCTGGAGGGTTGTTTTGCCGTTGTGTTGAGCACGTCACCCATTAAGAGCCCTTTAAAGACCTGGATTGATTGGAAGGACAAAAATTAAAAGCAATCTGATCCAGCCTCATGCAGGATCCCTGCGGATTTTCTCCTTATCCCATTTCCATCCACTGTCACAATTTGAGAATCTGCCTGATTTGATCAGATTCACCTCCAGGGGAGGTGTGATACCAGGGTTAGGAGGACGTGAAGTTATGGGCAACTTTCTGATCTGTCCATCAGCAGTCTGAGAAACGCTGGCTCTGAATTTTCCGTGTCGGCCTTTTGGAAACAACAAGTTCCTCGCTGTTTGCAAAGCTTCAGTGCTCGGGTCCCTGGGACACCCCGGCCACCCTCGCCTGGTAGATGTGGCATTTCCATGCTGAGGCCGCGAGTCCCGCCTGACCCCGTCGCTGCCTCTCCAGGGCTTCTCTGGGCCGCGCCTCTGCAGACTGCGCAGCCATGCTGCATCTGCTGGCGCTCTTCCTGCACTGCCTCCCTCTGGCCTCTGGGGACTATGACATCTGCAAATCCTGGGTGACCACAGATGAGGGCCCCACCTGGGAGTTCTACGCCTGCCAGCCCAAGGTGATGCGCCTGAAGGACTACGTCAAGGTGAAGGTGGAGCCCTCAGGCATCACATGTGGAGACCCCCCTGAGAGGTTCTGCTCCCATGTAAGTCCACTTACTGCTCTTTTGTTTGCCCAGGCCAAGTGGGAGGAGGTCTGGAGGAGATCCTTGGGGTGGACGAGCAGAGCTGGAGGACTGAGATGCAAGGCTGACTTTCCTGCCTCTTGACCAGGTCTGGACCAGACCTGGACCAGGTCTTTGTCCCACCTTGGAAATGTGTCAAAACAGAGGACACCCTGAGGACACTGGGGTCATGTGACATTGTTCTCTGGGGTAGGGGCATTCTCGGCCAGCTGGCCACTAGTTCAGTTCCCTCGGGAAGCCTATAGTATTCAGCTCCGCAGCCTTCAGGCTAAGCCCCACCTCCTGTGTAGGAAGTCAGCATTCTGGGCGAGTGAGCAAGATGCTACCTGCAACATGATACTGTAAGCTCCCTCTGTTCATCCTTTCTGTGGTGCAACCTCTTAGCCCACTCAATCCAATCCAGCAGACGGTACCATGAAGCTAGAGCATGCCAAGCACTGAGCTGGCCCTTTGCATGGGGAGGTTTGACGGAGGCTCAGAGGGGATTCACGCAGGATGAAGTTGGGGGTTAAGCTGGGACAGACAGTGCAGCTTGGGTCCCCTTCCACTTCCATTCCTACATGCAATGATGGCAGCCCCTGGGTAAGTCGGGGGAAGGCAGACATTCAGGCGTTGTCCCTTGCCTCCCTAGCTAGAGAAGGAGGGGTCCTAGGGGCACGGAGTACTTCAGTACTCAAGTAATGTTAACAGCAACAACAACAGCAGAGATGGTTGCGTGCGAGCTGTCTGAGTGTGTGGGCCGAGCCTGATGCCATTGCGAGGAGTCCTCCCCTCAGCTAGCCAGGTGGATTCTGTGTTGTATAAAGCAGGAGCGTCAGGGGAGGGCTCTGGCCCAGTGACGTCTGTGGGCTTCTGTTCTGTCATCTGCAAAATGGGCACACTAAGAGCACACACTCCTAGGGTCATTGTGAGGAGTTTGTGGTTTAATTAACGTAGGTAAAGTGTTCGGAATAGGACCTGGCACAGAGTAAGTGCACGCAGATGTTAGCCGTTGTCATTCTGGTCATACAGGTGGGGTAACTGAGGCAGCCCAGGGGTGACGGGTAAAGGCATCTGGCCAAGGTCACACTCCAGGAGGTGGCGAAGCTGTGATTCCAGCTTAGAGTGGCTCCAATGTCTCTGAGCTAAGCTGCTTCCCACTGGGCAGTGCTCCGGAGGCCGTCCCTGGCAGGGCAGGGCAGAGCTGGGTAGGGCAGCCAGGCTGCAGAAGCTCACAGGAGGGGCTTGATGCCATCCCCCAGGCAGCTGGTACCTCTGCGTGTCCTTGGAGGAGCCTCCAGGTCTCTGGGTTTGTGGTGGGGCTGACCCGGTGCCCCCACCTCAGAGTCCTGAGGACTTGATCTCATGGGCCGGCTCTGCTCACATCACAGGGCAGTCAGCCTGAGAAGGTAGCTTCTTACTCAGGCTTGTCAGTGGTGATGAGGCTGTCACTGTGGGTGGTGGCTGGGCCAGGGCCAGCTGGGGAGAGAGAGAGGGAGGGAGAGAGGGAAGGAGAAGGCGGCACGAAGCCAGGAGCTGGGGCTGGATAGTCTGTGGCCATAACTGCCCCGGGGACCGCAGGGCCAAGCAAGGGGGCTGGGCTCTGGAAGCCAGGAGGAAGGCCAGGATAGGGGCTGGTACTCAGTCCACATCTCAAAGCCGGTGGGAGGGTTCTCCACACGCTCTCGGGCACGGTCAACCTCTGTCTCTCGTATTAGAGTCTCGACTGTATTTTCTCTCTTAAATATTAATCACTGCCTTAACGTGCTTGGGGGAGCAGCTAAATCATAATTCTAGGACCAGCTTTGGGTCGAGGGCTTGAGGTGGGGAGATGACCCTCAGAGTCAAGTCCGAGGCCCTCTCCTTGCCAAAGCTGTCTAGGGTGTCATTGGCCCTGGACCTCTGCCCTGCCCCCACCCTCAGACAGAGAACCCAGTGCAGTGGGCGGCTGTTCTGGGGAGGTGGTCACCCCTCCCAGTCCCAGTGCCGGCAGAGCCTCATCCCAGGCAGCCAGCCTCAAGCCCTGGGGTCTAGAAGAGTGCTCTCTCCCATCCCCATCCCCTGCTCCTCTCCTGGGCAGACAGGTGGGGAAGGCAGGGGAGAAAGAACAGTCCCTCCACAATCTCCCACATGGGCAAGTCCTCGGCGTCTCGCCACCTGTGTGATGGACTTAAATATTTCATCATGGGCTGCCATCCAGCTCTGCTTTGATTACAAATGTGTGTCCGATGAGGACGGGGAGGCCGCCGTGGCAGGTGGACGGCAGCCTTTTGCAGGGCTGGCTTTTGGAGGGCTGGCTTTGGAGGGCTGGCTTTTGGAGGGGTGGTTTTTGGAGGGGGTGGTTACTTCTAGATAGATCTGGGTTCAAACCCTGATGCCACAGTTTATTGTGGCTTCCCCTGGGAGGGTCCGGGCAGTAGGATGCTCTGAGGTAGGTCCTACTCTAATCTCATTTTTGGGAATAGAAAGTGTTGCCTAAATCCTGCCAACATCACTCCGTTGAGAAGGCAGGCTGGGAACTGCCTGTAGCCAAGGCCCATGCCCACCCACCAGGCGGCACAGCCTCCCCTCTCTCCACTTCTGACCTCTCTGAGTTTCACTGTCTTCCTCTGCCCAGTAGAAACCATAATGTAGGAGTGTCACGGTGCTGGCGGGACGGCACAGCCCGGCCGTGCTGCCGTGGTACGTGCGGACACATAGTAGGTACTCAGTGTGCAATACTAGTCACCAGCTTATCACTGTTGTGATTATGGCCTCGGTGATTTTCCTGGCTTTGCTTCTTCCCCGGGCTCCTTTGCCTCTCCCCAGCCTTGGGGACGCCACGCCTTGTATTGCTAGTCTCTGGCAGCATGTGGAAGATGCAGGCTGGGGGAGCTTCCTCGCCTGCAGCCCCAGCAGCTGTTGTTAACCAGCCACCAGGGGGCGCCCTAATGGCGGCCAGATGCCCACTGCCCCCTTAGCCTTGCCATCGCCCATGGGTCCTTGCTCCCCTTCGCCCCTTCAGTGGCAGGTGCTACGTGTGTCCCAACATCCAGCCCACGGGAGCGCAAGCCCGGCTGCACTCCGAGGGTACAGGAGGGACCCAGGGGCGGACGGCCTTTTCAGATGCGGGGTGCAGACCCTCTCTCTTTCCCAGGCTTCCTGTCCTTCAGCAAGGCCACCTGAGAACTGAATTGTAAATTCCAGCCTTGCAAGGAAGGGGAGGAGGCTGAAAGACAAGATAAATGAATAAATAAAAACCTATTGGCTCTAAATGCACAATGAGAATTAATAGGGATGAGCTCTCAACAGAGGATTCTTGGGCGAGGACAAAATTGCAATGAGGGCTGTGGGAGAAGAGAGGCGGCCCCCACCCACATTCCCAGGGCCTGCCCCTGAGGTCAGCCCAGCAAGGCTGCAGGCCGAGAAGGAGGCAGGAAGGGCGACGGGCAAAGGCATCTCAGCCCCTCACAGGGCAACTGCTGCTTGCAGGACCCTTGGAGATGGGGAGGGCGTGACTGGCATTGGGAGGTGCCCCTTAGCGCTCTGCAAGACACGTCTCCCGCCAGCCACCTGTGGTCCCCGTGAGAGGAAGGGGGAAACCCTTCCTTTGTGCCTTGGAGACAAAAACTAGCCACCCGAGACTCAGGGGTGAGCTGACGAGCAGGTGAGAGAGAGAGAGAGAACTACTGCCCAGGCAGCAGGGTGCCAAGGGAATCCTGCCACTCCCACTCAGAGCAATCGCCTCAGTGCAGCAGCGCTGACCTCACCTTGATAGAGGTGCAGAATCCCAGACCCTGCCCCACAACTGCCGAGCCAGACTCTGCCTTTTAACAGGAAGTCTCTGGAGCGCTGGGGTGGGGTTGGTCCAGGATGGTGGATGAAGCCTGCCGTTGACGAAGGGGCCAGAGGTCTGTGGGTCCCATGGGGTCTGTGCAGGTTAAGAGGAGAGGCATTGCTGAGGGGAGACAGGAGCCAACAGGAGAGCACTAGGGGGTCCTGGGAATGGAGGGATGGAGCTGGGAGCCGAGATTCCCAGATGCGGGCCTTGCTTGCCAAGGCGGGGGGTCTGTGCTTCTGAGCAGGAGCCAGTGGAAGGTTCCAGAGAGAGGCAGCACTACCTCCTGACAAGAGCTACAGGCCTAGAATCTGAAGCCCTGAGCTCACATCCCAGTGTTGTCACTTGGGGGCTGGGTGGTCTGAGGTGAGTCATTCAAATTCTCCAAGCCTCAGTTTCCCTATCTGTAAAAGGGGTATGATCTTCACTGCCTTGCCCACCTCACCGACTTCCTGGGAGAGGAAACGCCTCTCACAACATAACAGAAGGTGCTTGGCAGAGACTGTAAGTTCTTTTCTAGTGTGAGGCTTGAATATTATTGTTTATCCAATCTTGATAAGCTTGACATTTCTACATTGACATGGGTGAACATTCAAATTTCAGCCATGTTGGAGTCTCCAGCATACAGAGGCACCTTGGCTTTGGTGGACAGGAAAGCCAAGGGCAGGCTGTGAACGTGCATCTTTGAACACACATCTTACTCAGTTAGAACCTGCTTTAGCTTCTCTGTGCCTCAGTTTACCCAGCTGCAGAGCAAATGGTTCCATTCCTCCCCCAGGGGGTCTGCTGGGCTGTTGAATGCAGACAGCAGGCAGGTCCTGGAGTCCTTGAGCCACTCCTCACTGTGACATTGAACACCACATGCAGAATCAAGGTCACAGACACTCTGCCTCCTGCCAGACCTTGAGGATCATGAAATGTTTCCATCCAACAATGCAGAGCTGACCGGCCCGATGGCTCTGGCCTCCTTCCCCCTCTGTGTTTCTGGCCCCAGCCTCCCTCCTCTCGCCGTCACAACCCTCCAGTCGGCAGATGTTTCCAGGTATGACCTCATGCCAGGCACAGTTGTGATGGGAAAGTGAGATGACTAGAGATAAATTAAGTGAAAAACAAGAGAAAAACACTACAGACATTGAAGACAATACCCAGCTAACCACAAATGGTGACACCGGGGCCTGATATGATAGGAGCTGGGGAAGGAGGAGGGCGTGCCCCTCCCCATGAACTCTCCGGGCGCTCCAGCCTTGGCCCGTGCTGTCTCCTCCACCCGAATGCCTGCCCCCTCCTTCCTTTCTTTTCAAGGCTTCCGCTTCTACCTGGATAACCCTGGCTCCTTTTTCAAGGTTCAGGTTGGACCCTACCTCCTCCTCCAGGAGGCCTTCTCTGACTCCTTTGCCCAGTGGGGTGAGGAGGCCCTCATTTGGTCATCATCCTGCTTACTGACTGGCCTATCAGTGAAGAGTTCTGGCCCTAGGAATGGAGAGTTTAGAATCCCGTGCTGTGTGATCTCTGATGTGAGACCTAACCTCTCTGAACCTTAGTTTCTCAATGGGAGCTATTAATAGAACGTGCATAGGAGACTGTCATGAGCACGGTGCTTGGCACATAGTAGTTGCTCACTGCGTGCTGGCTGTTGGGACCAATTCTGTAACTTTAGATGTCTGCTTTTCCCCTGGACTGTGAGCTCCTCAAAGGCAGGGCTGTCTCGCTATCTTTGCATCCCCAGCACCTCCCTCTGGACTTGATCAGTGCCCAGTAAGCATTTCCTGAATGAATGGATGCATGGGAGGAAGCATGGTGTGATCCAGGAACGCTTCTCAGAGGAGGCAGGATCAGGGCTGTATTTTTTTTTTTTTTTTTTTTTTTTGGAGTCAAAGTCTCGCTCTGTCGCCCAGGCTGGAGTGCAGCGGCGCAATCTCGGCTCGCTGCAAGCTCTGCCTCCTGGGTTCACGCCATTCTCCTGCCTCAGCCTCCCCAGTAGCTGGGACTACAGGCACCTGCCACCACGCCAGGCTAATTTTTTGTATTTTTAGTAGAGACGGGGTTTCACTGTGTTAGCCAGGATGGTCTCGATCTCCTGACCTCGTGATCCACCCACCTCAGCCTCCCAAAGTGCTGGGATTACAGGAGTGAGCCACTGCACTTGGCCAGGGCTGAGTCTTGAAGGAAAAACTGGGGTTTGGGTCAGGACAGAGGAGACCCTGGAAGCCCCTGCTTCTCTCCACTGCAGTCCCTGTTCTGTGGGATTTGCGATTGGATGAAGCCGGGAGGTTTGCACAACTCTGTCCTTAAGTCAGTTGCAAGTGACTTCGGCACCTGAGCTGCACCAGCCGTTAAAGCCACTCAGTCTCTTGAAATGCCCGAGGCAGGGCCCAGCCTAGGACAAGAATAGTTCTGTGAAATGACATCTTGTTGCACAGTGAAGTCTCCCTCCTGGGCAGTAGACAATGAGAAGACCGAGGCCCGGGGCCCAGGGAGTGAGACCCTTGCTTCTGACTTCCCTTGAGGGAATGAGGTTGGGTCCAGACACCCCGTGGAAGGCAGGCAGCTGTGTGAAAGGGCCCAGATGGGACATCTTTCCAAAGAATGTCAGAGACTTAGAGACCCCCAGACCTTTCCGGTCTGCGCATCCCCACCTTCCCAGGCTGTCTTCCTCTATGCTTCCTAACTCTGATGTTTAATCCATTTCCCTTTTTCTCATTTACTGTGGGTATAATGACAAGCTGCCTCCAATCCCACCTGCGATGGGGCAGGCAGTGGATGGATGGACAGACGAACGGACAGACAGGCAGGCCGCACCATGCTGCGGATGAGACGGATGGATGGACAGACGGACAGACAGGCAGGAGCACCATGCTGCGGATGAGATGGATGGACGGACGAACGGAGAGGCAGGCAGGTCGAACCATACTGCGGATGAGACGGACGGACGGACAGACAGGCAGGCCACACCATGCTGCGGATGAGATGGATGGATGGACAGACGGACAGACAGGCAGGCCGCACCATGCTGCGGATGAGATGGACGGACGGACGGACAGATGGACAGACAGGCAGGAGCACCATGCTGCGGATGAGATGGATGGACAGACGAACAGACAGGCAGGCAGGTCGAACCATGCTACGGATGAGACGGACGGATGGACGGACAGGCAGGCAGGCCACACCATGCTGCGGATGAGATGGACAGACGGACAGACGGACAGATAGGCAGGCCGCACCATGCTGCGGATGAGATGGACAGACGGACAGATAGGCAGGCCGCACCATGCTGCGGATGAGACGGACGGACGGACAGGCAGGTCGAACCATGCTGCAGATTAGACGGACAGATGGACGGACGGACAGACAGGCAGGCCGCACCATGCTGTGGATGAGATGGATGGATGGACAGACGGACAGACAGGCAGGCCGCACCATGCTGCGGATGAGACGGACGGACGGACGGACAGACAGACAGGTCGAACCATGCTGCAGATTAGACGGACAGATGGACGGACGGACAGACAGGCAGGCCGCACCATGCTGCGGATGAGAACTTGGGCTTCTGGAGGGAGGAGATGGGGCCCGGGGGCATCCCGCACTTCTGGGATGTGGGACTTGGGATAAGTCCCTTGTGACCCTGAGCCTTGGTTTTCTCATCTGAAACTGGGCATGGCGCTGGACACAACCTCGAAGGACGTGTGTACAAATAAGACGAGACCAGGCGTGTGATGACCTCAGCTGGGAGCCAGCACAAAAGGAATGCTCAAAAAAAGGGCCGGGTGCACGGTGGCTCAAGCCTGTAATCCCAGCTCTGTGAGAGGCTGAGGTGGGCGGATCACCTGAGGTCAGGAGTTCAAGAACAGCCTGGCCAACATGGGGAAACCCCGTCTCTACTAAAAATACAAAAATTAGCCGGGTGTGGTGGCGCGCGCCTGTAATCCCAGCTACTTGGGAGTCTGAGGCAAGAGAATCACTTGAACCTGGGAGGTGGGGTTTGTAGTGAACTGAGATCGTCCCACTGCACTCCAGCCTGGGCGACAGAGCAAGACTCTGTCTCAAAAAAAAAAAGTGTATTTTTATTTTTATCCTTTTTAATTCTAGAATTTAGCTTGAGGGACAGAAGAGGACCCCATAGGCCAAACCCACAGCCAGAGGCACAGGCTGTGGGCTCAGAAGTGGGTCTTGCAGGATGGGAAGGGTCAGGAGAGTGAGGATGTGGGCAGAAGGAATGGTTCGTGCAGAGACGCAGGGAAGGGGGCCAGGTGATTCGAGGGGAAAGTGTGTGGGTGACAGAGAGGAGACAGTCCACTCCCCCTGCCCACCTCATCCAAGCCCCTGTAGGTCTGTTACTGTGCATCTGACCGGTGAATATTCTGAGACTTCTCAGAGCCCACTGAGTGTAGGAGCTGGGGTTCAGCCTTCCTGTGTCTGGCTCCTGACCGCTCGCTAGGGTTAGGAAGGATTAGGCCACAGGCTCTGAAGGAGCAAGAGGGGCAGGAGGGCAATTGAGGGGCAATTGAGAGGAACCCAGAACATGGAAGCCCTGTGCCGTGGGGCTGGTCCAGAGCTCACCAGGCTGGACCACGTGGTTGCTGAGCCATGGCCCCTGACCGGGGCTGACCTGGCCAGAGTCCCTGTGGCCAGCACTGATGCAGGGCTCCTTCCTAGAGGGGCCGGGCCATGAGGAACAGGAGAAACGGCAGATGATGCGGGAACCGGTCTGTTCGGCTTTGGTTTGCAGGATCCGATTTGTTTTTCATCAGCAGCAGATTTGCTTAAGTATATGAAAATGTGTTTCTAATTCCCCGAGCACACACCAACTGCTGGCGGGGGAGGGAGCAGTGCATAGGAGCAGAGTGAATGCCACCGGGAGTCAGAGTGCTAGGCCCTGGCTGCTGAGAGAGCGAGAATACGCCCCCAGCCTCAGTTTCCCCAACTGAGCAGCCGGGGAAGATTTGGCTAGATTAACCAGTTCATTCAATGTTCCCTGCTGATTGCCAGGTACATTCTGGGAGTTTAGGGAAATCCAGATTGGTCAGAGACAAAACCACACAAAACAGTGGACTCCAGTGCAGACAGAGGGGTCCTAGATGTATACCCCGGGCTCAGCATAGCAATAATCATTTTAAAAAAGATTTTAAAACATTTTTAAAACTCAGGTGAAGTTCACATAACATAAAATTAACCAGTTAAACAACGTTTTGGTGGGTGCAGTGGCTCACACCTATAACCCCAGCACTTTGGGAGGCCGAGGCAGGAGGATCACTTGAGGCCAAGAGTTTGAGACCAGCCTGGGCAATGTAGTGAGACCCCATCTCTCAAAAAAAAAAAGTCTTATTGTGTCTAACATAAAACTTGCCTTTTAAACTATTTTACAATATACAATTCAGTACATTCACAATGTTGTGCAACCAGCATCTCTACTTAGTCCCAACACGTTTCCATCGCCCCAATAGAAAACCCTGCACCCGTTAGTTACTCCCCATCTCCTTCCCCTGCCCCTGAAAACCACGCGTCTACTTTTTGTCTCCATGAATTTAGCTATGCTAGACATTTCATACGAATGGAATCAGACAATATGAGGCTCTTTGTGATGGCCTTCCTTCACTGGCAAAATGTTTCCAAGGTTTGTCCACATTGTCGCATGACTCAGTGCTTCATTCCTGTTTATGGCTGCATAATATGCCATCCTGTGGACACACCATATTTTGTGTATCCGTTTCCTAACTGATGGACATTTGAGCTGCTTCTGCTTTCTGGCTATTAGGAGTGATACTGCTGTGGACATTTGGGTCTCAGTTTTTGCATGTGTGTATGTCTTCATTTCTCTTGGCTGTCTACCTAAAAGTGGAGTTTCTGGGTCACAAGGTAATTCTATGTGTAACTTTTTGGGGAGCCACCAAACTGTTTTCTACAGGTGCTGCACCTCTTACGTTCCCACCAGCAATGTACGAGAATGCCAGTTTCTCCGAATCCTTGTCAACACTTGTTATTTTCTGGTTTTGTTTTGTCTTATTAGGATGAGCCTAGTGGGTGTGGGGCAGTATCCCATTATGGTCTTGATTTGCATTTCCCCGATAGCTAATGATGTCAGTGTGCTTCTTAGTCATTTTTTTGTTTTTGTTTTTGTTGTGTGTTGTTTTGAGACAGAGTCTCATTCTGTCACCTGGGCTGGAGTGCAGTGTTGTGATCTTGGCTCACTGCAACCTTCACCTCCTGGGTTCAAATCATTCCTGCCTCAGCTCCCAAGTAGCTGGGATTACAGGTACACACCACCACACCCACCTAATTTTTGTGTTTTTAGTAGAGACAGGGTTTCACCATGTTGCCCAGGCTGGTCTCGAACTCCTGGCCTCAAACGATCTGCCCGCCTGGGCCTCCCGAAGTGCTGGGACCACAGGCGTGAGCCACCACGCCCAGCCTATTTTAAATTTAATGAACTCCAATGTGTGTATTTTTTTCTTTTGTTGCTTGTGCTTTTGGTGTCATATCTAAGAAACCACTGCTAAATCCAAGGTCAGCAGTATTTACCCCCATATTTTCTTCTAAGACTTTTATAGTTTTAGCTCTTATATCTAGGTCTTTGATCCATTTTGAGTTAATTTTTGTATCTGGTGTAAGGGAAAAGGTCTATCTTTATTCTTTTGCATGTGGAGATCCAGTTTCCCCAACACTATTTGTTGAAGAGCCTATTCTTCCCCCACTAAATGTTCTTGGCAACCTTGTCGAAAATCAATTGAGCATAATCTATGCACTTACTTCTGGACTCTCAAATCTCTGGGTTTTTTTGTTTGTTTGTTTGTTTGTTTTGGAGTCAGAGTCTTGCTCTGTCACCCAGGCTGGAGTGCAGTGGTGCGATCTCAGCTCACTGCAACCTCCCCCTCCCGGGTTCAAGCGATTCTCCTGCCTCAGCCTCCCAAGCAGCTGGGATTACAGGCACTAGCCAGCACGCCCAGCTAATTTTTGTATTTTTAGTAGAGATGGGGTTTCACTATTTGGCCAGGCTGATCTCGAACTCCTGGACTCAAGTGATCTGCCCACCTCGGCCTCCCAAAGTGCTGGGATTACAGGCGTGAGCCACAGCGCCTGGCCTCAAATCTATTCCTCTGAAGCATCAAGCATTCTATGTGCACTACTTCATGAAACCCTCCTGGATATTCTGCACTGTAGAAACGATTACTCTCCTGTTGTGCCCATTTTATAGATGAGGAAACTGAGACTCCAAAACTGAGTGAAGTCAAGGCTCAAACTCAGATCCCAGTCATTTGATGACTAGGCCACAGTGAGGCCTGAGGAGGGGAAAAATCCCAATGGTTACCCTCCCCTTCCCCTCCCCACCCTCATTTTCTTCTCCCTCTTTCAGGCTGGGATGTGGACTTGGATTCTCAGAGCAGGGTCCTTGGAAGGAGATGCTGTGACTTCTCTCTGGCCTCCAAATACCTCCTCAGCCTCCAGTCCACCTCCGTCCCTCTCCCACGCAGCCAGGCACTGTTCTGTCCTCTTCCTTGTCCCACAGTCAGTGCTTGCATGTAGCAGGTACTTAATAAATGCTGAAGATAATTATCCATCATTTCAAATAGAGACACACAACTTAGAAGGCATGCTGGGATTGTCTAAGGCCAGAAAAACCCCAATGTCGATAAGCATGTTACAGTGAAATTGACTGCGCCCAGGAAAGGGGACCCCAGAAGCAGGTGGCTGGTGTCCCCCTACCCTGCCCCAGGCCCCGAGTTCCCCAATCCACCACTAGGAAGTCCTGGGCTCCTGTGAAGACAATATAAAACCACTGATTAGGCCAAGTGTGGTGGCTCACACCTGTAAATCCTAGCACTCTGGGAGGCTGAGGCGGGCGGATTGTCTGAGCTCAGGAGTTTGAAACCAGCCAGGGTGACATGGTGAAACCCCATCTCTACTAAAAA
The DNA here is from genome assembly GCF_000001405.40 of Homo sapiens. Classification (NCBI taxonomy): domain Eukaryota; kingdom Metazoa; phylum Chordata; class Mammalia; order Primates; family Hominidae; genus Homo; species Homo sapiens. The sequence continues at coordinate 132,178,784 of NC_000009.12, forward strand.
TACAAAAAAAAAAAAAAAAAAAATTAGCTGGGTGTGGTGGTGCACACCTGTAGTCCCAGCTACTCGGGAGACTGAGGCAGAAGAATTTCTTGAACCTGGGAGGCGGAGGCAGAGGTTGCAGTGAGCCGAGACTGTGCCACTGCACTCCAGCCTGCACAACAGAGTGAGACTCGGTCTCAAAAAAAAAAAAAAAAAAAAACTACTGATGAGGCACATCCCCCCCTCTCATTTCCTATGAAGGAGAAACTGAGGCCCAGAGGGTTGGAGTGACTTCCTTGAGCCCCCCATGAGGAGCTTCAGACCCTGGAGGCTCCACCCCAGGCCAAGGGCTCTCCCAGAGGTAGACTGGAGCCATGAGGACAGGGGCCCTCCCCAACCAGGTCTCTGTCCATCTACACGTGCCCTGGATCTGACTTCACGTGATGGCATCTGGTGGGGGACACAGGATGCCTGCCCGGATGCCACCTGCAGCCAGTGGGGGCCGGAGCTGCCTCTTCAGGGTCAGTGAGGGTGATACATCTACTTCCCAGCCTGCTTAGGTGAGCTCCCGCCTATGTGTCACTACTGGTGACTGGCATGGCTCAGAGCCAGATCTTGGGGGCCCTGAGGGGATCAAGAGCGTCCCCTAAGCCCATCTGCCAGCTGCGGTCTTCTCTGTGGTGGCAGCATCACAGAAAGTGGACAGAAAGAGTGCTCTGTGCCAGGAGGGCAAGGCCGGGTAGGATGGTGGCTGGAATGCTGGCGATCGCAGCAATGCCGGCGATCATGGTGCTGGGTTTTGGTGGTGTGCTGGACGCCTGGGAGCCTCATGAGTGAGAGACTGGGGCACACGTGCTTCCGTAGTGCCATGCACCGGTGGCAATTCAGAGAAAGACGCTGTGCAAAGCACCCCATGTGTGCAGCTTTTTGCCCTCTCGTAACAGGACGGAGCCAGGTCAGAGTGCAGATGAGGAGAGGAAGGTGCAGGGAGGTGGAGATGCTGACCCAAGTTTGCACAGCCAAAACTAGGATCGGTCTCCAGGGCCTCCGTCACTGTCCTGTCCTGCCTTCTGTCACACAGGAGTTCGAATGGTCGTTCTGAAATTGAGAGCTAGCGGGGCTGGGATCTCACTGGGCGGCCACAGAGGGGTCCCCTGACCTCTTGGGGTCTCGTTGGCAGGAGGGAATTGTATTGGAATATCCAGGTGTGTGGATCCCTGTGAATCTAACCCTGGAGTGTTCCAGAACTGCCCACCCTGTGGAAAGGGACTCAGGCCTGTCTTCAAGGACCTGGCATCCTTCTGTCCCAGGGCAGTTTGTCTTGGGTCTCTCAGGGACCGTTTGGGCCTCTTCAGCCCCTCATTCCACTTCCCTCCTGCTGCCCAAGTCATTCGTCCACTTGACTCCAAGAGTCGGCTGGGGAAATAAAAGGAAATGAAACACGACCAGGCATTTTCCCTTGGCCGAAGCAGAAGTCTGCTGTCGGGCAAAAGGTGAAGAAGAGACCAATGAGAGATGAGCCCACGGTGCTCCTGCCCTCCACCAAGGCAGGCCATCCTCTGCTGCCAGCCTGCAACAGGGCAGTGTCCTTCTGGGAGGTGTCCCTCCCTCTGGGGGATCAAGAGATGGCCAAAAGCAGGTGGCAGCAAGTGGAGAAGGCTGTTAATCCAGAACGCACCTTGTCTCTGCCCCTGTCCCCACCCAGGCAACATCCAAAACCTTTGCCCACAGTTCTGGGGCTGGCACCGTCCTGGGGCTCAGCTCCTAGGGACGGGGCTCCCCCAGGCACTGGCTGCCAGGAACTGGGTGGCCCCGGGCAAGTCTCTTCCCATTTCGGGGTATAGACTTCCTGCCTGTAAAATGAGGGGGTCTGCAGGTCAACCTCAGAGTCCCACTGTACCCCCAGATTCTGCTTCAGGGAGACGGAGAGAGAGAGAAAGAGAAAGAACGATAGAGAGATGCAATAACCTCCCAGCATCCAGGAAGACCCAGAGGGGAGAAATGCAGGGAACCTACCCAGAAAACCCTGGAGCGGGAGCTTCTCACTTTTAATGGTCATGGCCCCACTTGAGAATCCATGGTGCTCTTCCTAGAACCACGCATGTGCACACGTGTGTGCAAACACTGGGCTCATGCACAGGCACACACACACACATATAAGGTTGCAAACACTTTCAGGGACTTCCCAGATTTCTCTGAGTCCATCCGTGGTCACTTTCGGTCAATCATCTGGCCTGAGCAGGTTCTGCCTTCTGGGGGCTCTTCTACCCTCAGGGAAATCAGGGTTTGGTTCCCTGTAATTGTCTGGTCCAATTGTCTGAGGACTTTCTCTTTTTTTTGAGACAGGGTCTCACTCTGTCACCCAGGCTGGAGTGCAGTGAAGCAGTCTTGGCTCACTGCAGCCTCGACCTCCTGGGCTCCAGTGATCCTCCCACTTCAGCCTCCTGAGCACCTGGGATCACAGGCATGCACCACCATGCCTGGCTAATTTTTGTATTTTTGTAGAGATGGGGTTTTGCCATGTTGCCCAGGCTGGTCTTAAACTCCTGGGCTCACTTTCTTTTTTTTTTTTTTTTGAGACGGAGTCTTGCTCTGTCACCCAGGCTGGAGGGCAGTGGCATGATCTTGGCTCACTGCAACCTCCACCTCCCAAGTTCAAGCAATCCTCCTTCCTCAGCCTCCCAAGTAGCTGGGATTACAGGCACCTGCCACCATGCCTGGCTAATTTTTGTATTTTTAGTAGAGACAAAGTTTCACCATGTTGGCCAGGCTGATCTCCTGACCTTAAGTGATCCGCCCACCTCAGCCTCCCAAAGTGTCGGGATTACAGGCGTGAGCCACCGTGCCTGGCCATAGCCAGACTTTCTTGATTCTATATCCTTCTCCTCAGAGCAGAAACATCGAGCATTTGTTGAGTGCCTCATGTATACCAAGCCCTTAACCTAAGCTATAGCTCATTGAACTCTCACAGAAGTCTTAAGGTAGAGCTTGTATTTAGATCCGTTTTGAATATGAGGAATCTCAGGTTCAGAGAATTTAAGCCACTTGCCGAAGGCCACACAGCTTCTAAGTAGAGGAGGCTGGCACCTCCAGCCTGGGCCGCCCGGCCCGGCATCCAGGTTCCTAAACAGGCTGCTCAGCTGACACGAGTCGCTCTGGATCTCAGAAAGCGCCTGATAGACGGAGGCGGCTGTCATCTGTGTGTGTGTGTGCGTGCGTGCAGCCATGTGTGCTGGTGAGCATACTGTCCCTGTCAGCCTCTCCTCCCCCAGCACACCCCGGCAGCCCAGAGAAGGGAGGGCCCGGAGGAGTGACGGTGTTCCCCACCCCCTGCCCTTTGAGACACAATGGAGTCCGCTAATCCAGTTACTTGATAATTCACTTATTTCATGTCTATTTGGCAGCGAGCGTGCTCCCACGCACCAGCTCTGGGGAAGGCGAGATGGCTTTGCCTGGAGGAACCTGATTGTTTTTCTGGGGAAGGAGTGGGGGAAAAAATTGCACCCAACAATGGACAATAATGGGCCTAAAAATAGAGGGTGGAGGGTGCAGGGGGTGGAGGAGTGTGCTGTCTGCCAAGGGAGGGCTCCAGGCCTGTCTGCTTGGCACGGGGCAGCCCTACCCTCCTGCCCAGTTCCCCTCCCCTGCACTGGGTTGGCCGCCTCTCAGCCTAGAGGAGGGGCACTGGAAGGAGGAGGCCCAAGTGGGTGGGGGGCTGGGTGGCCTTCCTTGCTGTCTCTGCCCGCTCCAAAATGGAAAATTGTCCCACCCAGGGGGTCCTGGAGGCAGCAGCCACGACCTTGGGTGGACGCTGCGCCTCATCAGCCCTGACTAGCCGTGATGCCCAGGACCTTCCCCCAAGGGGCTCAGGCATCAGCTGAGAACTGCAGCCTTGGGTACAGAGTACGGGTTGTCTCCCAGCAGGAAAGGGAGGTTTCAGGTTTTGTGGCTCTTTTCCATCTCCCAACACTTGGGGCAGTCTTCTCGAAGGCCTCAAGCCCAGCGGGCAGCTATGACCCCACCAGGAGCGGAGCGGGCAGGGACCAGGCTGCCCTCTAAGCCACTCGGCTGGCTCTCAGCCGGGGTGCACACTGGACTTGCCTGGGAGCTTTTCATTCCCCCCCTGCCGCAGCTGCCCCCCAGACCAGCTTCAGCAGCCTCTCTGGGCGGCCCAGCAGGAGGAGGCATTAAACCTCCCCAGGTGGTCCCAGTGCACAGCCAAGTTTGAGAAGCACCGATTGAAACCTCTCCCAGGCCTGCCCTGGAGCCCTTCCAGCCTGAAGCATCTTGTCGTCTTAAAACTGAAAGACCAGGAGGAAGAGAATTCCATGGCCTGCCTCGGCTCTCTCAGAGCCTCTCTCACATCTGAGCTGCAGGTGCTCCATCCTCCTTCTGGCTTCCTGGGTGCCGAGGGGTGCCAGCTCTCCAGGCTTGGGAGAGGGCCACTTAAGCCCTCACACTTTGTTCCCAGGCTCTTCACCTGTCTTCCTGGAAGGAGGGGGCCGGCCAGCATTAGGGCTGTCACGGGCGCTGCTTAATGTCAAGCTGCCCATCTGGCTCCTGGCCTCCCTTTGGCCTTCTCTCCTGCGCTCCCCACCAAGCTCCTGGCTCAGCAGCGTGCATGCGTTAACCCATTGCCCCCCTGCAGTGTTTTGTGTGTCCAGCCTGGCCCTTTGCTCAGTCGACCTAGAGCACCATCCTCCCAGACTAGTCGAGTGTCCCTCCACCTGTCCTGAGTCCAGATGAAATCCCACCTCCCCCAGGAAGCCTTCTGACTGCCCCAGCCCGTCACCTCCAGGGCTTGTCATCTGTGCCACTCATGGGGACCAGGACACAGGTGACTTCTCTGGTGGACACAGCAGAACGGTCAACATTCCCAAAAGGGAGCAAATTGCCCGAGTCACCAGAAGTGTGACCTTGAGCAAGCATCTGGCTCAGGGGCTCTTGGCTTCCCCACCTGTAGGTAAAATAACAGGAACAGTGTCATCGTGTGGGGGCCCTTCCCTGGACCACCTGGACCAGCCTCTCAAACCTGGCCACACATCTGAGTCACCTGCTGAGGGTTTTGGTTAGTTGGTTGGTTAATTACTCGATTGGTTAGTTTGTTGGTTTGTTTGTTAGCTTTCAATTTGGAGTAGAATTTCTGACCTTAGGGCCCAGGAATGTTGCCACACCCCTCCCGTCCCCAGGTATTGTCATGTTTTCATGGGTGGCCAAATCTAAGAGCTGCTTCTCTGGGGCACGAAGGATGTTCACAAATAGTTGATGAATAAGTGAATGAATAAATCAATGAAACTTACCAGCCCAGCCTCACTACTCGCACCCACCCCCAACGACGAGCCAGGGTTCATCCACAGAGGGGTGTACCTGTCCAGGTGTCCCCAGGTGTGGGCAGACCCAGTAACTTTACTCTTTCATCGGCCCCACCGCCTCTTAACTCCTCAGAGACCAGCAGGAAGAAACCCTCGGAGGTCGCAGCTTCTGGCTGTTCTCAGGGGCAGGCCCCGTCCATCGGGTGCTGTGTCTACTCCTAAGACCTGGTTCTGAGTATGGAACACCTGGAGAGGGAAGGGGCCGAGGAGGGGGAGTCACTCGGCTGTGTCAGGCTCCGCCCCTGCCTTCCTGAAGCACACAGTGGGGAGGGGACACACCCGTCATTAACCGAAGAAGCCACTGGGGAAAACTGTGACCCAGTGCTCCCTTGGGACTGGGGGGCAGTGGCCAGGGGTGTTTTCCCTGAGGAAAAGAAATTTAAGCAGACACCTGCCAAAGGCTGGAGGGAGAGCTGTAGACAGAAGATGGCTCAACCTGAAAGCTCCGCGGGGTGGAGGGGGCATCCAAAGGGCGGGAGAGACTGGCCAGTAGAAAACGAGGCCAGAAGCCGGACATGGTGGCTCACGCCTGTAATCCCAGCACTTTGGGAGGCCGAGGCGGGTGGATCACCTGAGGTCAGGAGTTCGAGACCAGCCTGACCAACATGGGGAAACCCAGTCTCTACTAAAAATACAAAATTAGCCAGGTGTGGAGGCACATCCGGTAATCCCAGCTACTTGGGAGGCTGAGGTAGGAGAATCACTTGAACCCGGGAGGCCGAGGTTGCAGTGAGCCAAGATCGTACCAGTGCACTCCAGCCTGGACAACAAGAGCGAAACTCTGTCTCAAAGAAAACAAGGCTGGAAAGACAAGGGAGAGAGGCAGAGCTGGTGGCAGAGCCAGGCCCAGGGTTTGGACTTAAGAAGGGGAAGGCGCTGGGGCTCTGAGGAGGAGCTGGAGACAAAGGGAAGGGTGTCTGGCTGCAGGCTGAGAATGGGCTGGGGGTGGGGAGGCTAGAGGGGTCGGTGGAGGCCCCAACCAAGGCGGGGCAGGGGAGAACAGAGTGAGCCTTTAGGAGAAACCACTGCTGGGGACCAGGCTTCACTCTCAGCCCATCCGGAAACCTCTTTCAGCTGATGCTTCCCCCGACCCCCTTCCCCACCCTGGGCCTCTGTTGGAAGCTGGCTGAGGCCCTGTTGATCAGCAAGAAAGCCCAGGGCAGCTCTCAGAGAAGAGGAGAGGGGGCCCAGAAAAGGCCCCCAGGATCTGGGGAGGGGATCCGAGGAGAGGCAGCTACCAAGCGCCCCAGCCAGGGGGGCCTGTCCCTCACCCCACCCCGGCACTGAAACCCTCACAGCCACTTTTTTCCTCCCTCCGTGATAAAATATTCATGGCGGCAGAGTGGGCCCTCTTTGGGAAGGCTGCCTGGGTCTAGCTTATGCTCTGCACAAGCTTTTAAAGAGCAGGGCGCTGTTCCTACTCTCTAAGCATTTTCTAAGTCCTGAATCAATAATGCACTTTCCTGGGCTTCTCCGGATGTAGCCCTCTTCCTCTCGGTGCCTTTCCCCCGCCCGCCCCCTTATCTTTCTTTCCCTTTTCTTCTCTCCCGTTCTTTCATCCTTCCATCTCTCCTTTCATTTACTTTTTAAAAAAGTATGAAAGTGTTGAGCTGTTTGGGTGGCCAGTGAAGCCCTGAGTAGGGAGTGGGCAGGAAGGGAGGCGCCAGACTGAGCCCCTGTGTGTGCAGGGAGGAGGAGGAGGAGTGGGAGGAGGAGGAGGAGTGGGAGGAGGAGGAGGAGTGGGAGGAGGAGGAGGAGGGAAAGGAGGAGGAGCAGCAGCGGCTGAGCGCTCCCGCTGGCCCTGCTAGGGAAGTGTTTGAGGATCACTGAGCTCCTGGTGTGGGGAAGGAGGAGGGCTTAGCCTCACCCGGCCTCCCTCTCTCCTTTTTCTAATCAATTAGAAAGTGTTTACAGCATAGCCAGAGAAAAATAGGGAACCTGGGACCAAGAAAAAATGCAAAGCACCGGCCAAATTTCAGCCCCACACTCGAAGGAGGGAGCAGTGGGGTTTCACCTATCTGCCTTCTGTGGTAATGAAACCCCTGTCGCTAGAGGTATGCAAGAGAAGGGGAGCCTTACCCTGTCTGAGACAGACGCCCATGTGTCTGGTCCATTCTGTCAGTCGCCTGTGGGGTGCCCCAGGGATGCACGGGCACTCTTCAACTGGGATAGAATTTCCTGCCCCAAACATTCCTGGAAATCTGGCTGTGGGAAGAATCCACATATGCCCAGGGCAAAGCAGAATGTGTCCTTTAAGAAAACAATAATACATTTTTAAGTTCCTGGAGAGATTAACCCTTGTCTAGCCAGAGCCATGGCAATGCCTCCCCGCCCACCACACTCTGGTGGTTCGGCTGACGGAGGAGATCAGTCATTCAGGGGTCTGCGGTCCTGATGAGCAGTGGGTGCCCACACCAGGCCTGGCATTTCATCCTTGCTTTCTGACCTTGGCTTCCCAGTTGACCCTCTCCCGGGCAGCTCGTCCATCAGGGCAGCCCAATGCCCTCAGGTCCTCCGAAAGGATCTCAGGGTGTTCTGTGGGGGCAACCCGAATTGGTGTAAGAAGACTAAGCAGTCGATCTGCTGGAACAGCATCCCCAAAGCGGAGCGAAGCCCGCGGATGCCCACCGCCTCTCCCCCAGGCAGCGTCCTACCTGGATAGAACTGCCTGGAGCCACTGCAGAGGGTCCTCGCTCAGTTAGGGAATGTTTGTCATATACCGCTGTGTGCAAACAGCTGTTGGGAGTGTGGCACAAAGGTGGGTAAGGCCCCTGCTCTCCCAGAGTTCACACTCACAGAAGGTTCTGGAAGGAGGAACACTGTGGGCAGGGTTGAAAGGCCTAAAGTGCTCCCTTTCCTCCCAAATAATGCGGGGTGAGGGGCGGTGAGGAGAGCCGCTCTGAGCAACCAAGGAACTGAGATGCATTTTCTGGGTCTCCTTTTGAGCCGAGGCAGGTTCGAGAGGCAGCCAGAGACTCTGGGTTCAAGGTGGACCTGTGCCCAGGCCATGCCCACTGTGGCCCCCCTGGGGGAGGAGCAGGGGCGGTCGCCGTGGCTTTGGGAGGCTCATTGCTGGGACAAGCGAGTCCCTGGGGAGGCAGCGCTTGGAGGCTCGCTTGCCTGCCCCTGCCTGAGTAATTGCTTGGAGCTGGGAGGAAAATTGCTCCAACCAGAAAACAAAACAGAAAAGCCGCCTTGGCCAGCTGCAGCTCCAGCCCTAAAATGCCAGGTTGGTTTACGCTGATTCACGAGCGGGGAGGGTGACCTTGCTGTCTGTTGTCCAGGGCCTGTGCACGAAGAGAATCTGGAAAGGGAAGGAGAGAGACACCTGCACGCTGGGGAAGGAATTAGCAGCACAGAGAGCAAGAGGGACAGCGATCAATGAAACCATAGAAGGAGAATGAGAAACACACACACAGAGAGCGAGAGGGAGCAAGAGAGAGAGAGAGAGAGAGAGAGAGAGGGACAGAAAACAAGAGGGAGGGAGGGAGGGAGAGCTCAGAGAGTTAGAGACCGTCAGGGCCGCTAGAATTAGAATCAGCTCTGAACAGAATCTCCGTTTCCGCTTTGTTAATAATTTATTCCCTCTGCAACTTTTCTTACCAATAAATAGGAAGTAATCTGTTAAGGAGAATTCCCCTAGCACCCCGGCTTTCTCCCTGGAGTCAGGGGAGGAGGATGTGTCTCTGTGCCCTTCCTCCCTAGCAGCATGGGGGCCTGAGGAACACGCAGAACTTGAGACTTTAGGATGTCAGGGTCAGAGGCGGACAGCCCACTCCTGCCCGGTCATTTTGTGAACGGGGAAACCAAGGCACAGATAGGGCAAGGCCCTGGCCAAGGTCACACATGGTGTTAGGGGCAGTCCCCTGAGTCCTAATTCCATGGCCCCACGGGTCAGGGCACCTATTGATTTATGCACCTGCCCAAGCCATAGGGTTTCCCCCGAAATGGCAGAGGCCACATCCAAGGAGGAGGGTGGGGCTAGCTCGGCTGCCTTTCCTTGCCTTCCCCCACGATTGCTTCCCCCGTGCTCGAGTCCTGGCCCTCTACCTGGGCACCCACACCCAGGGCCTCTCCTGGGCAGCCTCCAGCCTTCCACCTTGTATGCGGCAGCAGCCTCCCGTCCTGGTGAGGCTGAGGGGCTGAGGATGAGAAGGGTTCCGTTGGCAAATCAGCAACAGCAGTCAAGAGACGTGCCGCCTGCCTCCCCGTGGAACCCGAGTCTGCGGGAGCACAGTGCGGCCCAGGCAACAGCGTCCTTTCCCTTTTGGGTGAAGGGCACCATTTCCCAATTTGTCTCAGGGCCCAGCTCAGTGGGCCATCCCCTGGCTTCTTATCCCACCTCAGCTGCTGCCGAGCCGCATGACCCTGCGACATTGCTCAGCCTCTCTGAGTCTCGGTTTCCTGAGGATCGCACTCTCCAGGATCCCTGGGAGCGTGGGAGGTGGGGTTGAGGCACACAGGGCGCCCAGCACAGGGCCGAGGTGGAAGACATGCTCCCTAACGGCGGGGCCTGCTGTTTGCTGAAGCACCAGGCCAGACAGTGGCCATGAATGTGCTCCCAGCATCCTTCACCCATGAGCTGGCACCACCGAGGCACTTGCCATGGTGCACCTGGCATCATTCCTATGACAACCCTGTGAAGCCAGTGCTAGTAACCTCATTGAGCGTTCATTCATTCTCCGAAGATTTCCCGAGTCCCTGAGGAGGGCCGGGGGCTGGGGCTGGAGTGGGGACAGGATCAGATGTGGTCGCTGCCCGCATGAAGCCTCCCCTCCAACAGAGAAGCTGAGGCTCTCGGGCAGGAGAAAGATCTTTTCCTCACCCATTCTATGTTAGTGGCTGAGGGCCCATCATAACAGACAGATTAATACCACCAAAGCATACCAGTGGATTTAATATAAGTTTTATGTGAAAAAGGCTTTAAGCCTTTCTTTTTTTTTTTTTTTTTTTTTTTTTTTAGACAGGGTCTCACTCTGTCACTCAGGCTGGAGTGCAGTGGCACAGTTACGGCTCACTACAGCCTCGACCTCCTGGGCCCAAGGGATCTTCCTATCTCAGCCACCCAAGTAGCTGGGACCACTGGTGTGTGCCACCATGCCCGGCTAGTTTTCTTTTTTGTTTTTTGAGGTTTTTTTCTGTAGAGATGGCATCTCCCTGTGTTGCCTGGCCTCATGGGAGCTTTCATAAGGAATGAAGACCCAAAACATTGGTGAACATCTATTTTGTATGCTAGGTTTAATGGAGAAATAGTCATGGAGAAGTACGATTGGCTTAAAAAAAAGGTATCATCTCCTGGTGATAAACTGGCGGGAATTTTGCAAGACCTGTGTGTCCAGGTCCCTCTCTGTGACCCTGCATCTTTGGAGATGAGAATGTTCCTTCCTCCGGGCATTGGGAGGGCACCTCTCGAATGAGCCTCATGTCCTGCTTCAGGGAAGAAGGGCAGGGGAAGGTCAAAGAGTAACCTTCCGCTTCTGTGGTTTTCTCAAATCCCTTCAGCTTAAAAAAAATTTTTTTTTTGAGACGGAGTCTCACTCTGTCACCCAGGCTGGAGTGCAGTGGTGTGATCTCAGCTCACTGCAACCTCTGCCTCCCAGGTTCAAATGATTCTCGTGCCTCAGCCTCCTGAGTAGCTGGGACTACAGGCACGAAACGCTATGCCCAACTAATTATTTATTTTTTTTAATTTTTAGTAGAGACAGGGTTTCACCATGTTGGCCAGACTGGTCTTGAACTCCTGACCTCAGGTGGTCGGCCCGCCTCAGCCTCCCAAAGTGCTGGGATTACAGGCGTGAGCAACTGTGCCCAGCCTAAAATATTTTAAGAAGGTTTTAGCCTGTAATCCCAGCACTTTGGGAGGCCGAGGCGGGCGGCTCATGAGGTCAGGAGATCGAGACCATCCTGGCTAACACGGTGAAACCCCGTCTCTACTAAAAATACAAAAACTTAGCTGGGCGTGGTGGCGGGCACCTGTAATCCCAGCTACTTGGGAGGCTGAGGCAGGAGAATGGTGTGAACCCGGGAGGCAGAGCTTGCAGTGACCCGAGATAGCGCCACTGCACTCCAGACTGGGCGAAAGAGAGAGACTCCATCTCAAAAAAAAAAAAAAAAAAAAAAAAAAAAAGAAGGTTTTAGGGTAGCATGTCCTGGGCTTCATTGGGCTCAAGGAAATTGGGGGACTCGCCCAAGCCTGTGGAGCTGGGGAGCTGCTGAGGGAGTGAGCCAGTGCATCCCTCCACAAACCACAGAGCCCTGCCCGGGACACCCTGGCGATTTCATCCCAACTCTGAGATTTCATCCCAGCGCAGGCTTGGGTGCAAGGCCAGCTGCATGACGTTGTCTGTTCTTCTTCCTGAGACTTGGTGACCATTCCAGTGACCGCCCCTCCACGGCCTCCTTAGTCAGGGGCCTGGAAGTTCAAATGGCTGGGCTTCCCACAGGCACATTTACCTCCATTCTTGCTAACAGTTCACTTTCCCATTCAATTATGTTTTTTGCCTGCAGCTTGCCTATGATGTTTACAACCTGGCCTCTGACTTTGACTGTACCCTTTGCACAGAAAATAACATAAAAGGAAAAGCATTTAAGTGCCCATGACGAGGCTTGAAAAGCATGGCATGAAATGGTTTCTCCATAGAATATTTCATGCCAGGAGCTCAGGCTTGGCATCTGTGTAGGAGGCTCCTCCTCACCCGGTTCTCTGGTGCTATGGGCCTGGCTGGCTGCCTTCCCTTCCCTCTGCCCACCCTCCTTTGACTTCTAGCCACACTGCCTGACCTTTCAGGTGACTTGCCTATGTGTGTCCAGAGAGATAGGAAAGCTGTAGACATGATGGGCTTGGTTTCCCCAAGATTCCTCAAGGTTGGGTCCCGTGGAGTCCAGGGGATGGGTAAGTGATGTGCGGCCATGGGTACTTAGTGTCTTATCTGAGACGTGGAGCTGACTGTAGCACCTGCCTCCTGTGGGTTGCTGAGAGGGTGCAGGGAGGAGCGGCTGTGAAGTGCCCAACCCAGCCCGGGCACAGGGCTGGCACTCAGTGAATGTTACAATCATCACACTCTTCTGAGTCAGCCGTTCCCGGGACAGTCCACGCCATGAAGTTCCAGGGTTTCTCATGCACAAGCCTGGTGGTCTCAGCCTCATCCCTTCCTCCTGTGGAAGGTTGCTGGGAGTGGAGTGTCCCTGAGTTAATACGAAGCTGCTGTTTCAAAATAATCGCTCCCATTTGGAGACATTTCCTAGGGATTCTAGGTAATGTGAGACACAGACCATCTCACATGGCAATCAATAAGAAAATAGAGACTCAGAGAAGTCAAGTGACTTTGTCAAGGTCACAGAGCCTCAAAGGAGAGAGCTGAGAGGGAACTCAGGGCTTTCAGACGCCAGGGCCCAAAACTGTATGGAAAATGGGTATGTTAACTCATCTTTCTTTTTTTTTTTCTTTTAGACAGAGTCTTGCTCTGTCGCCCAGGCTGGAGTGCTGGAGTGCAGTGGCGCGATCTCGGCTCACTGCAAGCTCCACCTCCTGGGTTCACGCCATTCTCCTGCCTCAGCTTCCTGAGTAGCTGGGACTACAGGCGCCCGCCGCTACACCCGGCTAATTTTTTGTATTTTTTAGTAGAGACGGGGTTTCACTGTGTTAGCCAGGATGGTCTCGATCTCCTTACCTCATATCCACCCGCCTCAGCCTCCCAGAGTGCTTGGATTACGGGCGTGAGCCACCGCGCCCGGCCATTACCGCATCTTTCTAGAGAAAATCCCAAGACTCTTTTTAAAAATCAGCGGTATGATTTTTGTTGTTGTTTTAATTTTCATGAAATATTTAAAGAGGCAGCTACTACTTCTGATACTATCAAAGGGCGGCTTTGGAGCCATGCTGAAAGGCTAGAGGTGTGCCTAACAGTCTCTCCCTATATTAGGCCACTTTGTTCTGACTGCTGTTTTTGTGATTAGTTGATCTGCTGTCCTGGAGATGGGTGGAAACGCGCAGACCCAGAGGAGGCTGGCAAACCTTCACCCCCACTCAGAGGAGACACTCCCAGTCTCAGCCCCACCCCCATGACATTATCAGCTGTCAGATGCTGACTGGGGACTGGGGTGGGGGGACTGGGGTAAACTGGTCTTCTAATACCCCGGTGGGTCCCCAGAATTCCCCCAGTGAAGAATAGAAGGTCCAGGTGCAATGGCTCACGCCTGTAATCCCAGCACTTTGGGAGGCCGAGGTGGGCGGATCACCTGAGGTCAGGAGTTCGAGACCAGCCTTGCCAACATGGTGAAACCCTGTCTCTACTAAAAATACAAAAATTAGCCAGGCGTGGTGGCGCACGCCTGTAGTCCCAGCTACCTGGGAGACTGAGGCAGGAGTATCGCTTGAACCCAGGAAGTGGAGGTTGCAGTGAGCCGAGATTGTGCCACTGCATTCCAGCCTGGGCCATGGAGCAAGATTCTGTCTCAAAAAACAAAACAAAACAAAACAAGAATAGAAGGAAAGTGAGAGGAAGCAATACTGTGTTTGTAGAGGAAAAGGAAGGTCAGGTCAGCGCCAACAGTGCCTTTGCTGGGATGCTCCACACTCCTGACCAGCTCAGTGGAATTCTGAGACCTTGGGGAGCAAAATCAGAGGGGGACAAGGAGAAAGACAGAAAGAGAAAGAGGGAGAGAGAAAATTGTGTTGGCCGCGGCTCGGGATTTATTTATTGTACTTGCTGTTGACTGAGCTCGCTCCACAGCAGGCGAGGGGCCTGTAAACACACAGGCTGATTCATTAGTTTCTGACCATCTGCTTCCCGGGCCGGGGCGGGGGCCGGAGTGCCCCATAGGTTGGAGCAGCCAGCTTAGAGCCCCCATCTCCAGCCAGAGCCAGCTGTGTCAGTCTTCCCAGTGACAGACAGGCCGGGTGCAACTGGGGGCTTTGAGGGATACCCTGTCCCCCGCCACAATGCCCCCACCCCATAGAACCCATCAGGGGCCTGGGCAGGGCAGGGCTAAGTAAGGCAGGAAGATGAAGAGAGACCAGGGAAAAGGTGAAGTGTGGGTGGCTCAGCAGTTGGGGATGACGGGAATACTATCAACACTCAATAGGAGATATGTCAATATCACTGTCATTTTATTAATAGCTTATTAATATGATGATAATAATAATAAGTATAATTGAGTGAGTGGTTACTGAGGTCCAGGCCCAATATGCAGGCCTCACTACACTGTCCCCAATAAGCACATTAACAACTCTATGATGGATGATGAGAGAACTGGGTTCAAAGATTGATTCAAGTCAGGAGGGCCTCCTGGAGGAGGCACATGTGGGAGGGCTCTGAAAACCAGGAGGACAGACAGTGGCCAAAGGAGCACAGGCTCTGAGGTGGGAGGGGACGAAGTGGCCTGGGAAATGGCACAGCTTCAGTGCTGGGTTGATAAGAGCTTTCTGGGTAGGTGACGCAGTGTGACGCCACTTGGTGCCAGCGTACTGAGAAACCAGGCTGGTGGAGGAGACCCCAGAGACATCCTCTGGGGAAATAGGATGAAAAACTCCCAATTCGTCTCTACCCCTCTGAGCCATTCCTCCCGGCCTGTTCCCTCTTTGCTCACCTGGCATGAGGCTTGTCTTAGTCAGCTCCGGCCACCATAACAAAGTAGCACACGAGACCCAGGTGGCTTAAACAACAAAAATGTCTTTCCTTGTTCTGGAGGCTGAAAGTCCAAGATGAAGTTGTTGGCAGGTTTGGTTTCTGGAGAGGCCTCTCTCCCTGGCTTGGAGCCAGCCGCCTTCTCACTGTGCCTTCAAACGGCCTTTTCTCTGTGCACATGGGCCCCAGCGTCTCATCCGGCAGCCAAACTTC
The DNA here is from genome assembly GCF_000001405.40 of Homo sapiens. Classification (NCBI taxonomy): domain Eukaryota; kingdom Metazoa; phylum Chordata; class Mammalia; order Primates; family Hominidae; genus Homo; species Homo sapiens. The sequence continues at coordinate 132,193,974 of NC_000009.12, forward strand.
TTCTTCTTCCAAGGCCACCAGTCAGATTGGACTAGGGCCAACCTGAGGGTCCCATTTAACCTCAATCACCTCTTGAAAGAGAATCTGTCTCCAAATACAGTCCCATTCTCAGATACTAGGGTTAGGGCTTCAACATAGAAATCTGGGGGACACCATTCAGCCCCTAGGAAGTCCCCAGGGGCAGCAGAAGCAGCACTGGGACTTCAGGAAGGGAGTGATGGCTGGGCTGGGGGAAGGGGGGCATGTGCCTGGGTGCCAGAGCCCAGGTGCAAGTTCTTGGAGCATCTGCCCATCACTCCTCCTCCCGAGCGGCACAGACAGAGCCCATTCTGCATCCAGGCTCACAGCACCCTTCCCGGCTGCTGGCTCCCTCACGGGTCAAGCCTGCCTCCTCCAGCCCAGCACCTGCTACCCACTCAGGCCATTGGGCCATCCCCACAGCCTCTCAGTCCCTCACCATTCCAGGCAACAGCACAGGACAGGGTGTGTCTTGCCCAGAGTCACCCGGCCAGTGAGTGAGGAAGCTGGGAACCCCCCCGCCCCATGTCCCTCTGCTGTCCTGGCATGGTGGGCTTGCCAGTGGTGTGGATATCTCTGATGATAACAGCAGACTCCTCCTCAGAGGTGCCATCTGCTCTCGAGAAGGCTGGGGCCAGTCCTACCCTGGCCCGGGCCTCAGTCCCCCCATCTGCTTAAGGAGATATTGGACTCTATGGTGAGCTCCTGCCACCCTGAGGTTGCATAGGGGCCTGAGGACAGAGCTATTTTGGTCAAAGAGGGATTTGTGGAACCTGCCTCAATGAACCGAGGGTCAGCCCTGCCACCGAGGAGCCCCAGGCAGCCAGGGGACCTGTCCTTCACCCTAGAGGATAGAAGCCCAAAGGCTGCGGCTGCTGCAGTGGCACCTGGTGGGGGCCGCGGGGCTGTGGCTCAGCCCCTCAGAAGGCGGTGGGCCCCATTTCCCCCATGGGGGCCAAACAGCTCATTTGAGAGTGAGAGGTTTTAACTTAGATCCAAGCCATTTTGTGTCTGAGCAAACCAGACACCTGAAACATGCATCAGAAAGGGCCACAAGTGGTCCGGAGCACTGGGTGGTTGTTAGTGACAGTGTTCGTTTTTTTCTTTCTTTCTCTTTCTTTCTTTCTTTCATTCATTAATAGACTTTATATTTTAAAGCAGTTTTAGATTTACAGAAAATTGAGCAGATAGTACAGAAAGTACCTAAAACCCCATGCCACCCTCCCCCACCCACCATCTTTCCCTGCCTATTATCCACATCTTGCATTAGTGGGGGATATTTGAGGTTTTGGGGGATTTCTCTTTTTTTTGTTTTCGTTTTTGTTTTTGTTTTTTGAGACAAAGTCTCGCTCTGTCGCCCAGGCTGGAGCGCAGTGGCGCGATCTCGGCTTACTGCAAGCTCCTCCTCCCGGGTTCATGCCATTCTCCTGCCTCAGCCTCCCGAGTAGCTGGGACTACAGGCGCCCACCACCACGCCTGGCTATTTTTTTTTTTTTTTTTTTTTTTTTTGTATTTTTAGTAGAGACGGGGTTTCACTGTGTTAGCCAGGATGGTGTTGATCTCCTGACCTCGTGATCCACCCGCCTCGGCCTCCCAAAGTGCTGGGATTACAGGCGTGAGCCACCGCGCCTGGCCTTTGTTTTGGGGAATTTCTTTAGAGACAGGGTCTCCCTCTGTGATCCAGGCTACAGTGCAGTGGTGCTGCATAGCTCACTGCAGCCTCAAACTCCTGGGCTCAAGCAATCTCCAGCCCCAGCCTCCCAAGTAGCTAGGACCACAGGTGTGCACCACTATGCCCAGCTAATTTTTAAATTTTTTTTTGTAGATACAGGGTCTTGCTGTGTTGCCTAGGCTGATCTTGAACTCCTGGCCTCAAGTGATCCTCCCACTTCTGCCCCCCGAGTAGCTGGGACTAGAGGTGCATGCCACCACACCACACCCAGTTTATTTTTTATTGTTTGTAGAGACAGGGTCTCTCTGTGTTGCCTGGGCCGATCTCAAACTCCTGGGCTCAAGTGACCCTCCTGCCTCGGCCTCCCGGAGTGTTGGAATTCCAGGTGTGAGCCACCATATTAGTCATGTCTGATGAACCATTGTTGATACATTATTATTAACTAAAGTCCATAATTTACATGAGAGTTCACTTACTGTGTTGTACAGGTCTATGGGTTTTTTTGTTTGTTTTGTTTTGTTTTTGTTTGTTTTTGTTTTTGTTTGATACGGAGTTTCACTCTTGTTGCCCAGGCTGGAGTGCAATGGCACGATCTCGGCTCACTGCAACCTACGCCTCCAGGGTTCAAGTGATTCTCTTGCCTCAGCCTCCCCAGTAACTGGGATTACAGGCATGCACCACCACGCCCGGGTAATTTTTTTGTATTTTTAGTAGAGACGGGGTTTCTCCATGTTGGTCAGGCTTGTCTTGAACTCCTGACCTCAGGTGATCTGCCCGCCTCGGCCTCCCAAAGTGCTGGATTACAGGTGTGAGCCACCGCGCCCAGCCTGGGTCTATGGGTTTTGACTCATTCATAATGGCATGCATCCACCACTGCAGTATTATACGGCATAGCCTCACTGTCCTAAAAATGCCCTGTGCTCGGCCTAGTCATCCCTCTGACCCTGGGGACCACTACGTTAGTGACATTTTCAGATCCCTCTGGCCTGTTTCCATCAGTGACACTTCTCACACCAAATGTATGGGTTTTCCACACCAACAACCTAGTCTCCAGCTCTCTGGACACCACTGGGTGTCCGATGATTCCGTTCAATTGTAACACTGCCCAGAGCTGGCGTCAGAACCCTCAGGTGAAGGGCTCAGTCGCACCACACTGCCCCCACCTCTGACGCAATTGCAAGTTCCTGCCTCCCGTACTTCTGTCCAATTGGCTGTAAATTGGGGGTTCCCACGACCCCTCCCTCAGGTTTGATAGTTTGCTAGAACAGCTCACGGAACTCAGAAAGGCATTTTCCCTACATTTACCTGTTTATCAAGTTCAGGAACAGCCAGATAGAAGAGACTCACAGAGTAAGGGATCGGGGAGAGACCCAGAGCTTCCAGGCCCTCTTTGAGCACCTCAATGTGTTCACCAATCCTAAGGGTACAGGTAAAAAGGCTCAGGGGCCGGGCGCAGTGGCTCACGTCTGCAATCCCAGCACTTTGGGAGGGCAAGCCAGGTGGATCAACGGAGGTCAGAGTTCGAGACCAGCCTGGCCAACATGGCGAAACCCTGTCTCTACTAAAAACACAAAAATTAGCCGGGCGTGGTGGTGCATGCCTGTAATCCCAGCTACTTGGGAGGCTGAGGCAGGAGAATCGCTGGAACCTGGGAGGTGGAGGTTGCTGTGAGCCGAGATCGCCCCACTGCACTCCATCCTGGGAAACATAGCAAGACTCCATCTCAATAAAAAAATAAAATTAAAATTAAAAAATAAAAGGCTCAGGAAGGTGACTCAGCTAAGGAGATATTTAGAGAGTCGAGAATGTGAATGGGAATTTTTGAGGCGGACAGAGTGGAAGGGCACATGAAGGAGACAGAATGCCATCTGCAAAGGCTCAGAGGTACAACCAGGCAGGGGCAGGAGGACAGCTGTCCCGGGGAGGCCCAGGCACACTGTCACCAGGTGTGGGAGGGCAGGTTGGGGTTGGTATATTACAGAGTCAGGACTCTGTATTCCAGGCAACGGGGAGCCATGGAGGGCTTCAAAGCAGGGGACTAACACCCAGCCTTCTTGGTTGTCTGTATTTAGAGCAAGGACAAGTATGCATTTTTTCTTTGGAAGCCATGGGATTGCACACCTCTGCACGCATTGAGGAAATGGGCACAAATCTCCCAGCTGTGTCTGGGCACCGGAGCACAGGCCCTGTAGCCACAGAGCAGGTTTCTCGGTTCGCAGGCAGGGGCTAGGCCGCGCAGAGGCTTCCCAGGCCATCCCGAGCATCCAGCACCCACCCTTCCCTTCTCCTCTCCCCGCTGCAGGAGAATCCCTACCTATGCAGCAACGAGTGTGACGCCTCCAACCCGGACCTGGCCCACCCGCCCAGGCTCATGTTCGACAAGGAGGAGGAGGGCCTGGCCACCTACTGGCAGAGCATCACCTGGAGCCGCTACCCCAGCCCGCTGGAAGCCAACATCACCCTTTCGTGGAACAAGACCGTGGAGCTGACCGACGACGTGGTGATGACCTTCGAGTACGGCCGGCCCACGGTCATGGTCCTGGAGAAGTCCCTGGACAACGGGCGCACCTGGCAGCCCTACCAGTTCTACGCCGAGGACTGCATGGAGGCCTTCGGTATGTCCGCCCGCCGGGCCCGCGACATGTCATCCTCCAGCGCGCACCGCGTGCTCTGCACCGAGGAGTACTCGCGCTGGGCAGGCTCCAAGAAGGAGAAGCACGTGCGCTTCGAGGTGCGGGACCGCTTCGCCATCTTTGCCGGCCCCGACCTGCGCAACATGGACAACCTCTACACGCGGCTGGAGAGCGCCAAGGGCCTCAAGGAGTTCTTCACCCTCACCGACCTGCGCATGCGGCTGCTGCGCCCGGCGCTGGGCGGCACCTATGTGCAGCGGGAGAACCTCTACAAGTACTTCTACGCCATCTCCAACATCGAGGTCATCGGCAGGTAAGGCCGGGGGAAGCCCTGGATGTCACCTGCAACCTGGGATGCTATCTGTTACCTGGGACGTTATTGGATACCTGGGATGTTACCTGGTATGTGGAACATGACCGGGTTCTTGGGATGTTACCTGGTTCCCTGGGCGTTACCTGGTATGTGATACATCGTTACCTGGTTCCCCGGGGGTTACCTGGTATGTGATACATCGTTACCTGGTTCCCTGGGGGTTACCTGGTATGTGACACATCCCCTGGTTCTTGGGATGTTACCTGGTACCTGGGACATGACCTGGTTCTTGGGATGTTATCTGGTACCTGGGACATGACCTGGTTCTTGGAATGTTACCTGGTACCTGGGACACTATCTACTTCTTGAGATGTTACTTGGTTTCCAGGAGGTTACCTAGCACCTGGGACATTACCTGGTTCTCAGGACATTACCTGATATTACATCATAGGGACTGCCTAGGATGGCTGGGGCTGCACAGACCCAATGCCTGAGCTTTTCCACGGAAGAAGGTGCACATGTCGGAGGAAGGAAGTGCATGTGTTGGAGGTGTGGAGGGCAGGAGTGGAGCCTGTCTGGGCAGAGCTGGGCTAACTCCTGGTGCTGACTGTGAGAAGTGCTCTGAGGCTGTCCACTGACTCAGTGAATGGGCTCTCATGTTCAGGGGTTTCCGAGACCGCCCTCAGGCTCCATGATTCACTAGAAAATCTCACAGAACTCAGCAAAGCTGCTATATTCACAGTTATGGTTTATTACAATGAAGGATACAGATTAAAATCAGCAACAGGAAAAGGTGCACAGGGCTGGGTCCAGGAGATACCAGGTGCAAGCTTCTCATTGTCCTCTCCCAGTGGGGTTGTGCAGGCAGCACTTGATTCTCCCAGCAGTGACATGGGACAATGCTTGTGAACTATCACCAGGCAGGGATGCTTACTGAAGCCTCAGTGTTCAGAGTTTTTACTGGGAGATGATGGTATAGGCATTGCTGATGATCTGGCTGGCCTTTGGCTCCAATCCCTCCAGAGGTCGAGCTGATACTACATGGCCCAAGGCATAGGCTCTCTGATGTGGCCCAAGACCCGCAGGCAAACATGGACACTCTTCCTAGACAGGACAGTCCAACGGCTTATGGATTAGAGGTCACCTAGCAGAAACCAGGCCGGAGTCAGATCTTTCTTTGGAATGTGCAGGGTGTGGACAACCCAGGCCTGCTGTGGCAGCTCTTTCTTGCCCAGCTCTGGAGAGGAATGTGTTTTGAGGAAACTTTGAGGAAGGCAAAAGACTGTCATAGGAGATGAAAGCAGCCTTTACCTCCCAAAAACTGTTTAGACTGTGGATGATTAAATGGTTCTGTGTTGTCCTGGGTCATTTGTACTTTTGGCAGATAATATGCCAGTCTGTGGGGGCAATGCCATCTACCCTGGGCCATCTGTAGAATGGGGATGGTAACAAGCATAAGTCTCTTGCTGGATTGTGGTGAGGGTTAAATGAGTTAAAGTTGATGAAGCACACCGAACAGTGCCTGGCACATAATACGCACTAAAAAAAAGTGTTTAATAAAAAAATTGGACAAAATAATGGAGTGAGAGGGCTGGGGCGGGCTGAGGGAGGAGAGAGTTGAGACCCAAGGGTGCTGGGGCAGTCCGGGCCAGGAGCCTGGCTTAGGCAGGTGCAGGCAGGGGCTGCACCTGGGGAGCCCAGCTGGGATGATCACTGTGGGCATCTCTCCACTGCAGGCTTTCAATGTCCACCCAAATCTGTAATTCCTGACAAGTGGAAAAAGTGATTTGCCGTATGGCAGGTAGAGCATAATCCTGTTTTTGTAAAATATATAATATGCCTTGTATATCATTTCTGCGTCTTGAACAGACATTGGCTGTAAGTGTGTACAGGACCGGGAAAAACATCATGGGTTGGGGAGAAAGGCTGGAAGCCCGTTTGCCAGCCATGTGCTGTGGTGATGCCTGTGCCGTGAGGCTGGGCAGGCCGCTGTGGTGCTGCTGTTTCCAGCTTGTATTTGCATTTTGTTTCACTTTGACGGTGTGTGTGGATTCCAGGTGGGCAAAGGCAAAGGCAGGTCGTTCATGAAGCTGGAGTCAGCTTCAAGTCTGGCAGATGGGAGTGAAGCAGGTGCAGACAGGGGCCCGTGGTTCTGACACCCGTGATCTCTAACCCACCTCCAATTGGGACAGGATATTCAAAATCAGGAATGTTCTGGAAACCACCCCATATATAGGCACTGTTGTGGAACTGGTGTCCAGACTTTCAGCCCCTGGGCATCTCCGTGACCTCTGCCCTCGGGATGCAATTGTCTGGTTGTTACTAGACACCTGCCAATCCCTGCAGTCCCACTGGGCTTAGCAGCTCAGGGCTGGGAACCAGCTCCCCAGGCCCTGCAGGCTCCTGGCTTGTCTTCTGACCTTGGACTGCTCAGGGAAACCCTCATCTTCAGGCAACTGTTCAAGGACCCTGCCTTACCTTTCATAAGGTGGCTCATGTGGGGCCCTCATGTCTGGGCCAGCTGTAGGATCCAGACTGGGACTGTGATGCTCAGGGCCTGGTGGTGCCCCTTCAACCCCAGCAGGGTGACCTGGGGTTCAAACCCTGCCTCTCTGCATCCTGCCTTGATTTCCCATCTGTGACAAGAGGCCTGAGGCTGCCTGGAGCCCATGTCTCCCTGGAGGTGGTTCCGCTTGGCACCCAGCCTCTGCGGGCGGCGGGGAGGAGCCGAGGTGGTGGCGAGAGTGTACAATCAATTCAGAGAGAGAGTAAACACTCTTCAGGCGGCAGCTTGGCTTGTCGTTGAACTCGGTTGGGTTAGACGGTTCAGCGAAGGACTGAGGTTACCTCCCCTTTTCCCTCTTCAGTTCCGCTGGGAAAGTCCAGCCATGCTGAGAAGCCAGAGACACAGGACTGGTGGCAAAGGGGGATGTGGGACCCGAAGTTCCTGAGTGGGCACCAGGGACCCCTGGGGGTTCCCAGGCTCTGGGATTTTACACCGATCCTGTTCTGGGGATTCCCTCAGAATTTCGTGACTGCCATGTTGCCCAGTGGCTCCGCTGTGGCCCACTAACAAGAACAGCAAACGTTTATCGAGCATTTGCTACGGGCTCATTTGCTATTGAGCGCTGTTATTAACGGCTTCATGTGTATTTTCTTGTTTAATCAATAGCCGTTTAATTCCCCAATGGTTATTGAATGGCTCAGATCCCACAAGCCAAAGACACGGCACTGAGCAAGCCAGACCTGATCCCCACCCCCTGGAGCGCTCCCCGCGGGGGCAGCGCTCCCCCAGCCTCGTGTTTTCAGATGAAGAAGCCAAGGACTCTGAGGTCAGAGAATAGAAGGAGATTGCACAGCGCCACTACATGGCAGACAGCTAACATCTAGACACAAGCATGTCCAGGCTCAAGACAGACTCAGCCACCGAGCTGTCCCTAGCCCTGGCCCGGTGGCTGCCTCATTTCTGGTTCCAGCTCTGACTTGAGCCCACCTGGAGCTCAGGTAGCCTGTATGATGGAGCGATCCCACGGGACTCCCCTTTGAATTGAAGGTTCTTTGATGGGTGGTGGCTCCCTGCTCTGCCACTCAAGTCAGTGATTTCCAGCTCCAAGGGGGACCCCAATGGCAGGCAGCAATGTAGGCAGGAGGGGGAGGACAGAGGCACCTGGCTGCAGAGGAGGAGCTGGAGCAGCTGCAGCAGCTGCAGCCAGCCCAGGGCCCTGGGAAGGAGGGACTGGTACAAATGGTGAGGGGGACAAGAGGTGGGGACAGACTGAGCTGCAGCCCCACAGGGGGCAGGTGGGCTGCCGGTGGCTCTGAGAGAAGCACAGGCACCCGCAAGTCCCAGCCACGCCCCCTCCCTGCCTCCCGCGGAGCCTGCTCCACGTGCCCATTCCTGGAAGGCAGGCAGGGGGTGGGAGCTATTTTCTCCTTCCACACATGGGGAAACTCAGGTGCGGAGCCTGGAGAGTGGCTGGCTTCAGACTGTGCAGCAAATCTGGGGCAGAATCTGGATTTGAGGAGGAATGAGATCATCCCTTTATGGTGCTTGGAGCGGGAGGGGCCTCCGCCCCCACCCTCCACACAACCATTAAGAGAAGCGGGGCCCAAACCTGACCCAGCATCTCACAGGAGAACCATTTAAGACAGGGTTCCCCAGCCCCACCACTGAGAGCTTTGGGACCGGGAGGCTTGGGGTGAGGTCCAGAAGGCTGTGTCTTTGCAAAGCTCCTCAAGTGAGCTGGAAAGGTGGAAGCTGCTGCATCCATGGAGATGGATGACTGTAACCTGTTGGAACCTCAGTTTTCTCATCTGCAAAATGGAGAAATAGTAATGACTTCAGCTGCCTGTTGTGAGGAGTCGATGAAATGCTATATTCAAAGAGCTTATCCCAGTGTCTCATTCCTCTGGTTAGACGGTGGGAGAGGGAAGTGGGGGAGGCTTGGGGTCAGGGCTGCCTAGATATGAGGCCATTCCTGCACCCACCCCAGGTACTAGAAGGAGTGTGGAAGCATGCCTCTGGGTTCACAGGGGTTGCAATCCCAAATGTCTGCAGAGGCTGGAAACACAACTTACGTGGAAGCCAGGCATGGTGGTGTGCGCCTGTAGTCCTAGCTACTTGGGAGGCTGAGGCAGAAGGATTATTTGAGCCTGGGAGGTTGAGGCTGCAGTGAGTTATGATGGTACCACAGCACTCCAGCCTGGGTGACAGAGAGAGATCCTGTCTCTAAAAAAATAATAATAATAAATTCAAATGAATAATAAAAATAATGAGAAGAAGATAATGTACATGGGTACCTATGGTACCAGCGGAAGCGATAGGGAAGGGTGTGGCCTGGGGAGAAATGGAGACAGCAGGCGCCTCACAAGACAGTGGACCAAACATTCCAGATCTTCTGCGGTTACAAAGGAAGGTGCACAGAAGTATCTATGTAAAGTCTCTTGCTTTCAAAAATATTGGCACCTACTTCAAAAAGTTGTTTAAACTCTGTGCAAGGAAAACAAAATACCCCTGCAGCCCAGGGCAGCTCACGAGCTGCCAGGGAGCACCCCTGCTCTGAAATGCTCAGTGTCCTCCTGCAGCCGTGGTAGCAGCTGCATTCGATGGGCCCAAGGCAGGGCCAACACACTGGAGCCAGGGCAGGGGCAAGATAGCAAAACAGCCCAGCCAGCTCTGCCCACTCCAGACCTGGGAGTCAGAGGGAAGGGGGCATCATCCCACGCAAGTTCCTCTGCCCAGAAAACCCAGGAAGCTCCAGGAAGGCAGCCCAGCGGGTCCTTTGCCAGCAGGAACAGGAAAGGAGGAATGAGTTCCCCATTCCTGGAGGTATTCAAGCCCAGTGGGTGGTGTTTGTGGGAGATGATGAAGGGAGGTCCTTTGCACCAAATTAAGGTCTTGTGTGCCCATTCTGTTCAAAAGGAATAAATGTGGATTAAGGGAACAGGAAAGGCAGGTACCATTTATTGGGAACCCATGGGTTACGTGCCAGGCATTGCATCCTCACCCCCTTTCTGCCCAGGAGCAGGCTGAAGTCCTTGAGCGAGAGGAAACCCGTGAGTTCCAAGAGGCTGAGCTGGGCCTGGACGGGCAGATCTGAGCTCCAGACTGGCCAAGCCCGGCTCCTGCAGACCCAGCTTCCCCAGACCCTGTGGGGGTCTAGCTGCTCTATGTCCCTGGGCCTCCCCCAACCTGTTTTTTCCTCAACACCCTCCCCTCTTTCTTGCCTTCTTGTTTTCTTCCATAAACGTCCTGTCCCTATTGATCGCCCCGTAACTGGAGATGGACGGACACCGGACTAGAATAGAAACAGCAGAGGGAAGAAAACCATGGAGGGTGGGCAGGTGGGCGCGGGGAGGGGAGTGCAGAGACAGGCGATTTCAGCCACCCTATTCCTGTACCCACCCTCCCTGCATCTCTTTCTCAGCTGCTCTACAGGAAAAACAGGGGCAAGAAGGGAATTCTGTGATGTTATTCTGCCTGCACTGACTCCTTGAAACTCTGGGAAGGCAGAGACAACTCCCTCAGCAATATTAACTGTCATTCACTGAGAATTCCCATAGCCCAGGTAGCATCCCGAGTCCTTTATGTGCATTTCCTCATTAAGTCCTATCCTGTGAGGATCATTGTCCCCATGACACAGATGAGGAAACTGAGGCCAGGAGGTTGAGATATAGATGGAAGGGCTGGGTGTGGTGGCTCGTGCCTGTAATCCTAGCACTTTGGGAGGCTGACGCAGGAGGATCTCTTGAGTCCAGGAGTTCAAGACCAGCCTGGGCAATATAGTGAGACCCCCATCTCAATGAAAACAAAATAGATGGAGGTACCCATGAGGATGGCTATTATTGGAAAAGCAAAAAATAACAAGTGTTGGCAAGGATGTGGAAAAATCGGAACCTTCATGCATTGCTGGTGGGAACAAAAACGGTGCAGCCACAGGGGAGAACAGTATGGTGGCTCCTGAACAAGTTACATGTAGATTTAGCAATTCCGCTCCTAGGTATAGACCCAACAGAACTGAAAGAAGGGACTTGAACAGATACTTGTACACCCATGTTTATAGCAGCTTTATTCAGAGTAGTCAAAAGGTAGAAACAACACAACTGTTCATCAACAAATGAAGACATAAAATGTGACCCATCCATATAATGGAATATGATTCAGCCTTAAAAAGGAGGGAGAACCTGACACACGCTGCGACACAGATGAACCCTGAGGACATGATGCTAAGTGAAATAAGCCAGACACAAAAGGACAAGTACCATATGATTCTGCTTACCCGACGTCCCCAGAGTCGTCAAATTCATAGAGACAGAAAGTAGAATGGTGGCTGCCAGGGGCTGGGGGAAGGCGGAATGGGGGTTAGTATTTAATGGAGACAGCTTCAGTTTGCGATGATTTAAAGTTCTGGAGAGGGATGGTAACGGTGCTTGCACAGCACTGTGGATGTGCTAATGCCACCAGACTGTACACTTAACAATGGTAAGGTGGCTGGGCGCGGTGGCTCATGCCTGTAATCTCAGCACTTTGGGAGGCCGAGGCGGGCGGATCACTTGAGGTCAGGAGCTCAAGACCAGCCTGGCCAACATGGCAAAACCCCATCTCTACTAAAAATACAAAAATTACCTAGGTGTGGGAGCGGGTGCCTGTAATCCCACCTACTTGGGAAGCCGAGACAGGAGAATCACTTGAACCAGGGAAGTGGAGGTTGCAGTGAACTGAGATCGCACCACTGCACTCCAGCCTGGGCAACAGAGAGAGACTCCATCTCAAAAGAAAAAAACATGGTAAGGTGATAAATATATACGTATATTTTAGCACACTAAAAAATGAAGGAAATAGATGGGTGGGTGGTCTCCATGTCAGACTGTCCAGGTGCAAATTCTGGATTAGGTGTGACCCTGGGCAAGTTGTCTAACCTGTCTTTGCCTCCTTCCCACCTCCACAAAATGGAGACAATCACCCTGGAGTTTAAGTGAGACCATCCAGAGAGAGGAGCCACAACTGTCAGGGATACAGAGAAAGAACAGCAGATCACAGAGGGCCTGGAGGTTCTTCTACTGGGGCCTATGGGCTCTTAGGAGCGCAAAGGGTGGGTTTCAATCATCCATGGACTCCCTGAAATATATGCTAAGTGTTGTGTGTGTGCAGTCAGTTGGTGAGAGCCCCTAGTTTTTGTTCCATTCTCAAAGGGGGTCCATGATCCCAAAATATTTGGAGAGTCCCTGGAAAGGCAGCTTTGTGTTCTGCTTTTCATTTTTTAAACCCAACTCTTGGCCGGGCGTGGTGGCTCACGCCTGTAATCCCAACACTTTGGGAGGCCGAGGCAGGTCCATCACCTGAGGTCAGGAGTTCAAGACCAGCCTGACCAACATGGTAAAACCCTGTCTCTACTAAAGATACAAAATTTATCCAGGCGTGGTGGCGTGCACCTGTAATCCCAGCTACTCGGGAGGCTGAGGCAGGAGAATCACTTGAACCCAGAAGGCGGAGGTTGCAGTGAGCCGAGATCGTGCCATTGCACTCCAGCCTGGGTGACAGAGCAAGACTCCGTCTCAAAAAAATAAATAAATAAATAAAATAAACCCAACTCTTTGGGGACACCCAGCTCTTTGGGGACAGACATTTTGTTAAGTACAGTTCACACACCTTCAACTGCATCTCCCAGGCCCCCTGAGCTACTGCTTCCCACCAAAAAGCGGGCATGCACGATTCCAGACCACATCAGCCTCCACTGAGAAGTGCCGGTGTTGGGAAGGGGCCAGACTATGCTGAAGAGTTGGGGGGTGGTGGGGTCCACTGCCAAGGCAGGTGGTTGACCCCTGGACCTGCGGTCTCCTCTGGTCTTTGGCTCTGCTCCACTGCTGGGTGGGGCGGAGAGGGCAGGAGGGGCATCTCGGCCTTGGCCAGGGTCACAGGAGGCTTGGGGAGCCCTGCAGGTGCTTGGGAGAGAGTCACGCACAGCAACGCCTTCCCAGCAGCACTAGGCAGAATCGGGGTTCCCTCTTCTCTTGCCTAAGAAGGCATTTCCTCTGCGAGCTTTCTCGCCATCATATTAATTCACTCAACAGATGTTTTTTCTCAGACCTTGCAGGGATGAATTAACACATATTTCTAATGGGCACTGCCTTGGTTTCTTGGAGCCTCCATAACTAAGTACCACTAACTGGGTGGAGGTCAGGAGTCTGAAATCAGGGTGCAGCTGGCTTCGCTGTGGAACCTGCAGAGGGGAATCTGTCCCATACCCTCCGCCCTCCGCTCGCTCCTGGTGGGGCCGGCAGCCTCTGGCGTTCCTGGGCTTGCAGCTGCGTCACTCCAGTCTCTGCCTTGTCTTGCGGCTGTCCGCTCCCTGAGCATCTGTCTTACACGCTGTCTCCCCGTGTCTCTTCCTACAGGGACACCAATCACATCGGATAAGGGCCCGCCCTCCTGCAGCATGACCTCAGCTTAACTTACATCCTCATCCACATCCACAAAACCCCGTTTCCATGTAAGGTCACATTCATAGGCACTGGGGGTCAGGATGTCAACATATCTTTTCGGGAGACACGATTTGGCCCACAGCAGGCACCTATGACATGCTGGACACAAGCAGGGTGCCAGGGTCCAAGAGCATGGAGGGGCTGACGCTCCCGTAGTGGGAGAGCAGAAATCAACAAACCCAGTACCCCCAAGTGCCCACAGGTGCACGGTGAGAAAGAAACCAGGGCAAGGCCAGGCACGGTGGCTCACGCCTGTAACCCCAGCACTTTGGGAGGCTGAGGCTGGCGGATTGCTTGAGCGCAGGAGTTCAAGACCAGCTTGGGCCACATGGTGAAACCCCATCACGACAAAAAATACAAAAATTAGCCAGGCATGGTGGTGTGCGCCTGTGGTCTCAGATACCTGGGAGGCTGAGGTGGGAGGATTGCTTGAGCCCAGGAAGTCAAGCCTGCAGTGAGTTATGACTGTGCTACTGCACTCCAGCCTGGGCAACAGAGCGAGACCCTATCTCAAAACCCAGGGCAATATGGGAGTGGAGCTGGGAACCAACCTGAGACCTGGACCCAGGGGTCAGGGAAGGCCCTCCAGGGAGGGGGGCTTTGAAGGAGAAACCTGAAGGGGGAACGGGGGCACGGCATTTGTGGCAGGGGGACAGCAGGCAGGACAGGTGCAGTGCCTTCTAAGGACTCAGTGTGATGTGGCTGTGGTGGGTGAGTAAGATTCCAAAGAAGAGCAGGCAGGGCCAGATCACGCCAGCCCTGCAGCCCCGGGAGGAAGTTGGTTTTGGTTGAAGTTTGGTAGGAGGGCTACAGGCAGGGGAGAGGTGTGATCTGATTTCCGGTGTTTGGAAATCTGAGTTGGGGGTGGCGGTGCTGGAGGCCTGCAGGAGACTGGGCGGGCCCTACCAAGACTGACAGCAGCCTGGCCGGGTTCTGGCAGGGACAGGGGCTGTGATGTGGGCCGCCTGGAGGTGGTCTTTGGTGGCAGTGTTGCTGAGTAGCTGATGGGAGCAGGCGGTGGGAGGCATCATGGAGGACTCCCAGGCATCTGGCTTTGAGACACTGGGTGGATGGAAATTTTGCCTTGTCAAATGGGGACAGAGGTGAGGGGATTTTCTGGAGGGGAATTTTTTTTTTATTTCTTAATTTTTTATTTTTATATTTTCATACAGCAAAGTGGACCTTTTGGGGGTACAATTCTAGGAATTTTAGCACGTGGATAGAGTCATGCAACCACCACCACAGCCTGGGCCCACAACAGCCCGTCTCTCCAAGAACTCCCGTCCCGAGACCCCTGGAAGCCCCCATCCTGCTCCCTGAAAATCTGCTGTAAGTGGAGTCGTGCGGCAGGTGGCTTTTTCAAGGGGTCTCCTTCGTTCTCACTGTGCCTCTGAGGCTTATGGCGTGGCCGCCTGCGTGGCTCGGGCTCCTCACTCCTGAGTAGGACTGTGCCGTGTGCACTGCACACCGTGGTCTGTTTACCCATTCTCCGTGGAAGGACGTTTCGGTGGCTCCCAGTCTGGGGCGATTATGAGTAGAGCTGCTATAAACATTCGTGGAAAGGTTTTTGGGTGAACATAAGTTTTCGCTTCTCTTGGGTAAACACCCAGGTGTGGACGGCTGGGTCGTCTGGTGAGCGTGTTTAACTCTATGAGAAACTGCCAGGCCGTCTTCCAGCGCGGCTGTGCACTGGAGGAAGCCTGACTTCTATTTTGGACCTGTTGGTTGTGAGCGTTTTGGAGGCATCCGGAGCATTTGGGCCTCTGAGTGTGAAGCGCAGGCGAGACTGGGCGCGGGGAGTCCTGAGCTCCGCGGTGACGATGACGCCCGCCGTGGGGGCGTGCGAGACTTCCGAGAGGAGAGCCGGGGAGCCGGGCGGGCTGCAGCCCTGAGATCAGAGACAGGGGGAATCTGGCAGGGCGGTGCCCCAAAGCCACGCGGGAGCGGTTCCTGCAGGGCAGCGGCCACCTGTGTCCATGCTGCGGCGGGTCCAAGTGGAGGAGGCCAGCGTGGGCCCATGGACCTGGGAAGATGGAGGTCACAGTAGACGCACCCAGAGCAGAGCCCGGGAGTCCGGGATGAAGGCCGTCGTGGGGTGGTTTCAGGGGTGAATGCCAACACTTTTAAAAGAGTGAAATAGGGGTAAAAAAGAGGGGGTGTAGGCAAGCTTTTGAAAACGTTTTGCTCGGAAGGGGAGCAGAGAGATGGGGTGTGAGCTGCTGGGGGAATGGGGAGGGGAGAGGGCTCTTCCTGAAAGGCGGGAGGCGCGGCAGCGTTGGCGTTGGGATGGGAAGAATCCACCAGGACTGAAGATAGCTGTGGGGAGGGCGGGAGGGACGCTGGGGACAGGAGCCGAGGAAGTGATCGGGGTGGGCGGAGAGCTGACAGGACAGAGGGCCCACCAGCATGTGTAAGGAGGAAAGGCTGACTGATTTCATATTTAGGTCAGAAACCCTGCTTCTAACACCTTCTAGAGACTCCATGTCCATCTTGACAACCCAGGGTGGCCCACCCTGGTGGCTCACAGAAGTCCCTTTGTCCTGAGTAAAGAGTGGCACATCACGGTGCCAGCGAGCAGCCTGCCTGAGATTCCAGCTCTTTCCATTTGCTCTTTTCTGGCAAGTCTCTTCCATTTCTCCAGGCCTCAGTTTCCCCACCTGTAAAATGGGATCCCGCTCTTGTAAAGATTGTCTGAGACTTGCCCGCTCAAGTCCCAGTACTCAGGAGGTGCCTGAGGAAGGGGAGCCATTGATCCCTTGAAGGAGTCGGTATTTTGTCACCTGAACACACAGACCATGTTCCTCCGTCACTCGCCTGGGGCTGAGTGGAATTCCTTGGCTTTATCTCCAGCTCTGTCCTCTGTCCCTTCATCAGTCAACAGTCATGCAGGAATGAGAAGCTCAGTTCATAGTAGGTATAGCCAAAGGTACTTTGGAGGAGAGTGCTGCTGCCAACAGCGGACGGGGGACTGAGCCCCACCCAGTTCTGCCTGGGCCACTCCCTCTGGGTCTGTGGCCATGACACCCGGCAGGCTCCTGTCCCCCCGACCCCAGCTCTGTGGCTTGCTGGGCCTCACCAGCTGCGATTGGGCAGGACAGATGGGGTTGGAGAGGGGAAGTTGAGTGGGGAGAGGACAGGCCACATCCAGGCTCATCCTCAGGCCTTGTTCTGCCCCTGGGCTGGGCTGCCTCCCTCCACATCTCAGCAGAGGGAGCGTGGGGTGGGTCATTGTAGAGGATCCCTGGCCCTTCATCCCATGTGAAGCCTGTTTTAGACTCACAGATGCTCCCTTAGATGTACCCGCCAAGTCACACACACACGCAGCCATTCACTCATCTGTAACATGCCCCTGACTCACACATAAACACACACCTGCCCCACCCACACATGTGAATCCGCTTCCAGAAGCACCCAGTCATAGACACATCACACTCCACATGGCTGCCTTGCACCCCTGCTCACAGACGCGGACCCACAGGGTGAGCGGAGGCCTCCGCAGCAGCCCGGGGTTCACCAGAGGCCTTGGCTTGACTGCCCTGGGCTCAGGGCTTCTCTGTGCTTCTCCCCCATGTTGAGGCACCCACTTCATGCTTGGGTTCCTGGAGGCCTCTTTCCACTCTGTGGGACAAAGCCCCCTCTGGGCTTCTAACCATCCCTCCATCCCACTCTCAGCCTGAACTAGGTCCCAAGGTGGACCCCCTATCAGCAGCCTTGCCCCCTAGAAGAGAGGTGCAGGCTGGCGTCAGGATTTGGTTTCGGGACATGACTGGCCTCCCTCCCTCCCTTCAGTCTTGCCCTTTCTGTAGTTTTTTGTCCCTAAACACAAACCCAGTCACTTCTCTGCACAATATCTCTAGTGGTCTTCTACTGACCTTAGACTCAAGTCTGTGCTCTGTGACCACAGACTTTCCCTCTCACCTCCTTCTGTAGCCTGGGCTCTGAGACTCCCAAGATCAGCCACCCCAAAGGCTGGGTCTCTCGGGCTGGCCTAGGGGCTAGTCCTTCTGCCTGGAACATGACCTAGCCCTCCCCAGCCTTCCTGTCTGGCAAACTCCTCACCCCTCAGGACTTGGCTCAGAGAGCACCTCTCTGGAGCTCCTGAAGGCTGGAGACCTGTGCAACCAGCCCCTCGGTCCCCTTCTCCAGCCTTGGCGGCTTGTGACAATTCCACAGCCTTGCCATAGCTACCATAGCTATGCACGTACACGTCTGACACCCGCCCCCATAGGCTCTGAGCTCCAAGGGAGCAGGGATGGGGTCTGGCTTGTTCTCACCTTAGCACCAGCACCCAGAACCAGGTAGGCGTGCTGTATATGTGTGGAATTCATTCATTCATTCAGTCAGTCAGTCATTCATTTATTCATTCATGAACAAATGAACTTACATGAACAAAGAAGTCTTACTATCTGGAACTCTTTCCAGAGAAGAAAGAGACTGGAATATAGGCGCTAGGAGGCAGAGAGGCAGGACCAGCTGGGCTTGCTAGCACCCACCCTTGTCGCCTCCCACCCTTCCACCATCACACCCTGCTCCTTCTCCTGTTTTCCTTGTGTGAGAAATGGGCCTCTCTGGGCTACCACCTGGGCCTGGTCCTTCCCTCGGGGGTGTTGGGCCTTCCTGCAGGGGAAGAAGAAACCTTGCTGAAGTCAGCTAGGCTGCTTAGGCTGGGGGTGCCTTCGCAGGCCCTGGTCATACCCACCGTGTCACCCCTAAGCCGCACACCCAAGCCTCCCAGCACCCGCCCGTCAGCCTCTGTGTTGTGTGCAAGGAAGCTGCCTCTGGCTTTGTAATGGGTAATAGGATTTATCAATAGACTGAGGAGGTGAGGTATGTTAAAGCACTTAATAGAAAAGGGCTTCGCACAGAAGCCCAAATTTGATTTAGCCAATGAACTCAATTGCCGGCCTGATTGCGTTCCAGGAGGCGCAGCAGCCAGCATTTGTCCATGTTACCCTGGAAAAGCCAGGCTGCGCCAGGCGACCAACCCAGACCACCCAGACCTCCCCTCTGCCCCCACGGCTCTGTTGTTGGTTCCTCGCTTTCTCAGGATCTCAGGTTTGAATGGCAGTCCTTTGACCCAAACAGTCCCAAGTTCTCCAGCATCCAACAGCCTCCTTCCCTCTAGTGCCCAAGGCTTCCCCATCCCATGAATTAGCTAGAAGTGCAGTTTGCTACCATGTTCCTTTCACCATGATCCTCAAATCCGTGTGTCCCCTGGTCACTTGTCACCTCTTACTCAAGCTGGCCTCTGCAGGCTTCCCTCCTGACCATTTGTTTCTTCTCTGGCTGCTGCCCATCTCCCCACACTGCTTGCCTGAGCCAAGGACACATCTCTCCCAACCCCCCAAAGAAGACCAAGATCCCCAGGCCACAGTGTTTCATGACGTCTTGACTCAGGCCTGGGCATAGCAGATGGGAATTACCATGTAGAAAAGAAGGACTTGAGGCCGGGCACAATGGCTCATGCCTGTAACCTCAACAATTTGGGAAGGCAGATCACCTGAGGTCGGGAGCTCAAGACCAGCCTGGCCAACATAGTAAAACCCTCGTCTCTACTAAAAATACAAAAATAAATTAAAAATTAGCCAAGCATAGTGGTGCATGCCTATAATCCTGGAAACTCAAGAGGTTGAGGCAGGAGAATCACTTGAACTTGGGAGGCGGAGGTTAAAGTGAGCTGAGATCGTGCCACTGCACTCCAGCCTCCAGCCTGGGCGATGACAGAGTAAGACTCCATCTCAAAAAAAAAAAAAAAAAAAAAAAAAAAAAAGAAGGACTTGAGAGGATTTCCATTAGCCATCACCAACCTTGAGGCCGTCCATCGTCCATCCATTGGCCACGGCCACCCACCGGCTGGGGAGGAGAAACCTCTTGGCCATGTAAGCCCGCAGCCCCCTCCCAGGGCAGCATCATTCCTCACTGCAGTCCAGGTCCCCAACCCCAGCTCTGTGAGTCCTCAGAAAGCGAGGGCCCTTGTTGCTTCAGCCTCCTCCTTCATCCTGCAGAACACGCCAGCCTCCCTTGTGAGCATCTCCAAGCCACCGTAAGATCTGGGATTTGCTTTAGGTTATTTTGCCCATAACCCAGAGGCTCATGAAAAATGTTTTTTCCCAAAACAAAAGAACACTCTTCACCCAAAGATAAATGCGCTATCTGGCAAGAGAAATTGGAAAACATTGCTGGCTGTGTTAAAATAGTAGTCTAACTTTAGCCCCCAAGGTACCAGAGCTCTGCGAGGCCAGTCTCAGTATACACGACATGTAATAATGTGGGGACGGGTGGTAACATACCAGGAAAGAAGGACCAGGCAATGTGATTAATGACCAGGAACCCCCATGGTCCTGCAAAGAGGTGCTTTGAGACAAGTTGGGGACTAGCTCTCCCAGCCCAGCACCTGCCCACCCCAGTTCAGAGCCATTGCCGTGAACACTCTGAAATCCCCGTGGGGCTTTGCCTTTGCAGAGAGCCAGCCCTGGGGCCTCCTCCTCCCTGCCCAGCTCCAGCACCATCCCTGGCTCGCTCACCCAAACTCACCGCTTCCTCCGTCATTCCCCGCAAGGAGTGGATGACATCACTCTTTCCGGCAGCCAGGAGTTGACCTACATTCCACCCGCCCTCCTGTCTGGGAGACTCTCCAAACCCCCCGCTCCTCTCTCCCTGGGAGGAGGGAAGGGCCCCGCTCACGATTTTTGTGGAGTGACGGTGCCAGGCCCGGGTCCAGATGGTGCCCCCGCAGCAGCTCCCAGGCACTGCCTGCCCCTCCCTGCAGCGCAGGGCACGCTCCTGCCTGGCACGGGCCAGGGCCCCTGTCATCCTTCATGTGGCTGTCAGGCCCCCAGCTGGGCCTGCCACGTTTCCCAGAGAACTGGTGTTATCTGGGCTGGGCTCTCCCCTGGAGGTGAGGCCCGGTGCTGCCTACTAACAGTTGTGGTCTCCAGGGGCTTACTAGGGACTCATCCATTCAAGAAAAAGGGAAACTTAGCTGAAAAGGTGGCTGTGGCTCTGTCCTTGCTGGCAGCAGGGCCAGCTTCCAGCAAGCAAGTGAGTGCGCCCCATGTCAGGCCGTGAGAGAAGTCAGGGTCTGAGCAGAGGGGCCAGACAGCCACACGGGTGAGCCGGGTAGCAGGTGGGCCTGCCAGATGAAATACGGGATACCCAGTTAAACCTGAATTTCAGATAAACAAGGGAATCGTTGTTTTTTAGGGTAAGTATGTCCCAAATATTTCATGGAATATACTTGTACTAACAAAATCATTAGTTATTTATCTAAAATTCAAAAAAAATTTTTTTTTTTTTTAGAGACAGGGTCTTGCTCTGTCACCCAGGCTGAAGGGCAGTGCAGTGGCACAATCACGGCTCACTGCAGCCTCAACCTCCTGGACTCAAGCGATCCTCCTGCCTCAGCCTCCGAAGTAGCTAAGATGACAGGTGCTCACCACCATGCCCTGATAAATTTTGTGTTTTTTTTAATTTTTTTGTAGAGATTGGGGGGGGGGGTCTCACTTTCTTGCCCAGGCTGGTCTCAAACTCCTGTTCTCAGGTAATCCTCCTGCCTGGGCCTCCCAGAGTGCCCAGATTACACGCATGAGCCACTGCACCAGGCCTAAAATTCAAATGTAACTCAGTGTCCTGTATTTTTATTTGGGAAATCTGGCAACCATTGTGGCATGGGGCTCTGTGGGGAAATGACTCCAAGAGGCCAGTGGGGGCCAGGCATGGTGGCTTATACCTGTAATCCCAGCATTTTGGGAGGCCGAGGTGGGCGGATCATTTGAGGTCAGGAGTTTGAGACCAGCCTGGCCAACGTGGTGAAACCCCATCTCTACTAAAATACTAAAATTAGCCGGGTGTGGTGGCGGGCGCCTGTAATCCCAGCTACTCGGGAGGCTGAGGCAGGATAATTGCTTGAACCCAGGAGGTGGAGGTTGAAGTGAGCCAAGATCGAACCACTGCACTCCGGTCTAGATGACAAAGCGAGATTCCATCTCAAAATAAGTAAATAAATAAAGGATAAATATCTGGCAATATGTTACTGAATCCTCCAAGAGGCCAGGGGGTGTGTCACCTCTTGGGGCGCCCCAGGGGCCTGGAGAATAGGTTGATTATCTCTATTTTGGGGAGCTGCAGGCTCTGAGAGAGGCTCTGGGGTGGGTGTTGGACGGGACAGCATGAATAAGGGGCCCTGCCCTTGGGGTCAGGCACCTCAGGGCTGCCAGGTAAGGCCGATCTTGGCACCTGGGAGCCCATGTACTCTCATCTCCGTCCCTCCCTCTATCACCTGTTGGCTGTTGACAATAGCAACAATAATAATAGCTGACGTTTCCGGAGGGCATGCTCTGTGCCAGACCCAGTGCTGAGCCCTCGAGGGTACCAGCTCAGCTTGCCCTTCCCTGACCCTTGACAGTCCTGCCACATGGAAACAGCCACTTCCTAGGGTTACAGGACACCGACTGATTCCCCAAGGCTGGTCACCTTCCTGCCTTTGCCTAGCTTGAGGGGTCAGAGGTTTGAACCCGACTGTCTGGCCACCGCGCTACCTGGTGCTGCAGCCCAGCCGTGACACTCACCGGCCTTTAACCCAGCAGGTGCTCCATGCCGGTTGCTGCACACAGAGCTCCCATGCATTATCCCCTTCCTCCCTTGCTTCTTTCTGCAAACATTGAGCACCTACTGTGTGCCAGGCAGTGTGTTAGACATTTACCAAAAATTAAACCCAGAGAAGTGACTTGCTCAAGGTCACCTAGCCAATCAGTAGCAAAACCTGGGTAAGAATCTGGCTGCTGACTCAGCCTCTCTCTCTCTCTCTCTCTCTCTCTCTCTCTCTGTGTGTGTGTGTATGTGTGTGTGTGTGTGTGTGTGTGTGTGTGTGTGTGTGTGTCCCATGGAGCGTTCTTGCTGCCGTCTGAAGAGCTAAAGCCGTAGGATTCTGCAGTGGGGCAGGGGTGGAGAGGGAACAGCCCTGGTGGCCTGGGAGGGGTCCGCTGGCCTCATGGGCTGGCCAGCATGCCCTATCTCTATGTTCATTATTAAATCATCCTTTCTGATGGATGAGCTGAAAAGTGCTGTGTCGGGGGATCAGGTGGCCCAGGTGATGGTTTTCTGGTGAGATTGATGGTTCCTGAGGGTCAAATTCAGAGAGCGATCGCTTGGGAAAATTGATCCCACAGAAGAAGGGGAAATATCTGGGCTGGAGTGCAGCAGGAGCCCAGACTGCCCGCCCAGGTCCAGATCCAGGCAGAGGCTGGTGCCAGGAGGGCACGTGGCAAAGGGGGCTTCTTTCTTCTTCTGTGGCTGCATTTCCTTGGCTGTGGCTGGGCCACAGAATTGGTAAGCAGGGCCATGGGCAGCAGGCATGGGGGCATCTGGCTTAGTGGCCCCTTTCCTGGCCTTCTTTGTCCCCATGGAATGGACGCGAAGCCAGCACTGAGAGAGACGCAGGCAGCAGGTGGCTGTGAGATCCAGCTCTAGTGCCATGCAGCCCCGAGTGCCAAGCCTGCTTCTTCCACCCACAGCCCTGGCCCTTGACCCATCTGAGCCTCGCATTCTCACCTGTAAAGTGGGAAGGACAGTGCCTTCTGCGTTTTCACGAGGATTTGTTTAATAATGCATGGCGTCTGTCCACGTAGGAGCACTCAGCAAATTATTTCTATGTGCTTGCTTATTTATTTCATTTACTTCATCTCCCGAGGGCCTTCCAGAATAGGGCAGAGAAATCACAGAAGGCAGGCAGCCTGAGGCAGGGAGGGGAAGGGTGTGCCTGTGTCTGGGGGAGCTGTGGGGTGGCTGCAGTTCCAGGAGCCTGAGTCTATCCAAGAGCCAGCACACTGAGACTCTTCAGGCTCTGCCCACTGCCTGCCCACTTCCTAAAGTGGGGTTCACCAGCTGTGTGGCCTTGGGCAAGTTGCTTAACTTCTCTTGCCTCATTTCCTTGTCTGTGAAATAGAGATAGTCATAGTATACTCTGCATAAGGTTCCTGTGAAGAGGTGATAACTTCACTTGTTGAAAGCTCTGAGGATCCCTGGCTCTAGGAGCTCCTGAGTATAAGAAATGGAAAACTGGCATGTCCTAGGCACCTGTTTGTCTCATGCAAGAGCTTTATAGACCGTCTCCCACTTGATCCTTCCAACAACTCCATGAGGCAGGTGTTACTGCCATCCTTATTTTACAGATTAGAAAACAGGCCAAGTGAAATTCAGCAACTTTCCTGAGGTCACACAGTCGTTGGCAGAACATCCCAGGCCAGTGGGGCCCAGGGGATGGGGTTACCATCTCTCAGTCACCCAGAAAGACAAAAGGAAGGCACACAAACCCCAGTGGGCACCGCTCTGTGCCAGGGCTTTTGTTTCACCCCAACCGTGATGAGTGTGGGTGATGTGGCCGGTGTGGTCCATATCGCTCCTCAGGGCCAGTGTCACTGGTGTGCGTGGCAGCCTGTGGCATACACAAGATATTGTTTCCCGCTCTTCAGGTGAGAAAAGCGAGACTCAGGTTGGCTAAGAATTTGTGCAGGCCACACAGCTGTGTGCACCATGAGCTGGGCAGAAGCCCTGCCCACCAGCACCATGGGGGCTCCCGGCTCCTGCCACACAGGCCACCCGGGAGTGCAGACACTAAGTGTGGCTCTGAATCGAGCTGCTTGGATTCAAGTCCTGCGTCTGCCCCTTACCAGCTGTGGAACCTCAGGCAGCTCACTTCACCACCCCAAGTCTCAGTTTCCCCATCTGCACAACGAAGATAATAATGACATGTCATTCAGGGGATTGCTGTGAAGGGCTAATGTTCTAATTCGGGTGGCACTCTCAGAACAGTTCCTCATGCAAAGTGAGCACTCACGCATCAGCTGTCTACCCAGGAGACTTCCTTTGAGGCACAATGTGATAGCGTTTTGTTTTTTTGTTTTTTTTGTTTTTCTGGTTTTTTTGAGACCAAGTGTTGCTCTTGTCCCCCAGGCTGGAGTGCAATGGCATGACCTCGGCCTACTGCAACCTCCACCTGTTGGGTTCAAGCGATCCTCCTGCCTCAGCCTCCCGAGTAGCTGGGATTACAGGCGCATGCCACCACACCCAGCTAATTTTTGTATTTTTAGTAGAGACGGGATTTCACCATGTTGGCCAGGCTGGTCTCGAACTCCTGACCTCAGGTGATACACCCGCCTCGGCTTCCCAAAGTGCTGGGATTACAGGCGTGAGCCAACGCGCCCGGCCCCAATGTGATAGGTTTATAAAAATAGGAAAACAAATCTCTGAAGATTTTTAGGAGAGATACTGCAAGAAAAGCCTGGAAGCTGTAAGCCCTTCCCTGTTTCCACACATCCCGATCATTCATTCACTCACAGCTTTACCCAGATGTGATTCACACGTTGTACAATCCACACATGTAAAGCGTACAATTCAGTCGCTTTTAGGTTATTCACAGAGTTGTGCAACTATCACCACAGCAGACTTTAGAACATTTCCATCACCCTAAAAAGACACTCTGGCCGGGTGTGGTGGCACACGCCTGTAATCCCAGCTACTTGGGAGGCTGAGGCAGGAGAATCACTTGAACCCAGGAGGCAGACATTGCAGTGAGCTGTGATCGTGACACTACACTCAGCCTGGGTGACAGAGCAAGACTCTGTCTCAAAACAAAAAAAAAAAAGAAAAAAAAAGTCATCTACCTATCCTAGACATTTTGTGTAAATGAAATTATACAAGATGGCTGGGCACGGTGCTTCATGCCTATAATCCCAGCACTTTGGGAGGCCCAACTGGGAGGATCACTTGAGGTCAGGAGTTTAAGATTAGCATGGCCAACATGGCAAAACCCCATCTGTACTAAAAATACAAAAATTAGCTAGATGTGGTGGTGGGTGCCTGTAATCCCAGCTACTTAGCAGGCTGAGGCAGGAGAATCACTTGAACCCAGGAGGTGGAGGTTGCAGTGAGCCAAGATCATACCACTGTACTCCAGCCTGGGTGACAGAGCAAGACTCTGTCTCAAAAAAAAAAAAAAAAGAAAGAAAGAAAGAAAGAAATTATACAATATGTAGTCTTTCATCACTGACCGCTTTCACTTGGCATAATGTTTTCAAGGTTCTTCCATGTCATAGTGTGGATCAGTATTTCATTACTTTTTCTGGCTGTATAGTATTCATTGCCTGCTTACACATTTTGTTTTTCTGTTGATGGATATTGGGTTGTTCCCACCTTTTGACTATTATTAGCAATGCTGCTATCAACATTCATGTACACATTTTGTGTGGACATGTTTTCGTTTCTCTTGGTTATATACCTAGGTAGAATTACTGGGCAACTCTAAGTTCACCTTTTGTAGAACTTCCAGACCACTTTCCAAAGCAGCTGCACAATTTTACATTCCCACCAGCAGCGTATGAGGGTTCTGATTTCTCTGCATCCTCACCAGCAGGTGATTATCCGTCTTTTTGACTCTGCCTATCCTGGTGAGTGTGAAGTGGTATCTCATTATGGCTTTGGTGTGCATTTCCCTGATGGCTGTAATGTTGAACATGTTTTCATCTGCTTCTTGGCCATTTGTATGCCTTCTTCGGAGAAATGTCTGTGCTGATCCTTTCCTCATTTTAAAAACTGGATTATTTGTCATTTTATTATTGAGTTATAAGTGTTCATTAGATGTTCTAGATATAAGTTCCTTTTTAGCTATGTCATGACTTGCAAATTTTTCTCCCATTCTGTGGGTTGTCTTTTCACTTTCCTGACAGTGTCCTCTGAAGTACAAAAATATTTAGTTTTGATGAAGTCTAATTTATCTATTTTTTTTTCTTCTGTTGCTTTTGCTTTTGGCATCCTGTCTAAGAAACCATTGCTTAATTCAAGGTCATGAAGATTTGCTGCTATGTTTCCTTCTTCTTTTTTTTTTTTTTTTTGAGACAGAGTCTCGCTCTGTGCTCAGGCCAGAGTGCAATCTCAGCTCACTGCAACCTCTGCCTCCTGGGTTCAAGTGATTCTCATGCCTCAGGACCTCCCAAGTAGTTGGGATTACAGGCACCCACCACCACACCTGGCTAATTTTTGTGATTTTAGTAGAGACGGGGTTTCACCATGTTGACCAACTTCAACTCCTGACCTCAGGTAACCTGCCTGCCTCAGCCTCCGAAAGTGCTCAGATTACAGGCGTGAGCCACCGCACCTGGCTCCCTACGTTTCCATCTGAGAGTTTTCTAGTTTGCAGCTCTTTGATCCATTTTGAGTTAATTTTTATATGTGATGTGAAGGGTCCAACTTCATTCTTTTTACGTGGGTCTCCCATATTATTTATTTATTTGTTTACCTAATAATTTCTTTAAATTAATATACTTTAAAAATTTGGTTTCACTTAGGCAGTATTTTTGTGATCCCAGGTCTTATGAGTCTGACATTAAAAAAAACATACTGTGTATTCAAAAACAAATAATAGCCTGTAGAGCTGTTTTACAGTCCATGCGCCCATCTCCCCCAGTCATCTCGTACATCCCACTTTGGGAGCCAGTGCTGATCATGATGAGTTTTATGGGGAGGGAGAGTGTAGCAGGGGCTGATTTGAGGTAGGGGTTGTGAAAGGCCTCCCCAAAGAAGTGGCATTTGGCCTAGAATCTGACACCACCTCTAAATATTAGCTCTAGGAGAAGGGGCAGAGCCTGTAGTACATTCCAGGCAGAGGGAACAGCATGTGCAAAGGCCCAGAGAAAAGCAAGATCAGAACATCTGCTGGACAGAGACATGGAGAGAGAGACAAAGAGACAGGAGAAGACGGAGACATGGAGAGAGGGGCACTGAGAGAGCCAGAGAGGCCAAGAGGTCATACACAAACACCATGTCCACACACACCGACACAGAGGCAGTACCACCCACAGTGACCTGCAAAAGTCAGAGAGACCAGAAGCACCTGCATTGACCAGGTGCCATGTGTGTGCCAGCCTTGCCAGCCTTTCCCCACACAGTGCCAGCTCCTCCCTGCAGCCCTGCTAGACAGGGCAATTCTCTCCTTTGGAAGAGGAGGCACTGTGCTTGTTCTGGGGCTCAGCCAGCGAGTTGAAGAGGCCGGGACATCTTCTCCTGTTCCCGAGGAAGACAGGACTGATAGGAGGGGCTGGCCAGGATGGAGCCTGGGCAGAGCCAGCTGGGGAGGGACGTCTGGATTTGGGTCAGGAGAAACCAACTGTATGACTTTGGGCGACTTCTCCCTACCAGCACCACCCAGCCTGTCCAGCTCTGACATCCAATGGCTACCTATTATCACTGTTACAATATGCTTCTTGGATTCGGCCGGTCTTCTATGCATCTTTACTAAGCCAAGGTCAATGTTATCACCCAAAGTTGATGGCAATCTTTTCTTTCGGTAGCTGATATCTAAAAATATCCCTTCCTCAGGCCAGCAGTGCGGAGCACAGCCCCGGTTCCGTACAGCTGAGGTGTTCCTCTCCAGCCAGCTCAGGGGGGTGTTAGATAGGAATTCAGAAGTTGCGAATTAAAACCTCCCCAGGTCAGATTTTGCAGACAAACTCTTGTTAGACAAAGTCAGACAGGTTTCTTCCCTGCAGGTCTTGTCAGAGCCTTTAATCTGCTGAGATGTATTATGACCCTCAGTGGAGTGAGGTAGGATCAAGGAGCAGATGTCAGGGGATTTGGAGAGCATCATATGCTTGACCAAAAAGGTTTAAGCACAGAAACTTTCTGTGCCAAGGACCATCTCTGGGATCTGGCATCTCCAGAAAGAAGGGCCGCCCGTACCAATAGGTGCCTGCTGTCCCCCTCTGTGCCTTTCCCAGAGCTAAGCACATAGCAGTCCTGCAGCACGCATGTGGCAATGGAGGGATGAGAATGCCAGGGAAAGAGTGAACAGGCTTTTTAATGCTCTATTTATTTCAGCTTGGTGTTCCAGTAAAACCTCGGCAGGGTTAGTGTCCAGGCTCTCAGGGGAAGATGGAGTTAAAATCACACAGACTTCAGCGGTGGCTAGTGCTGCTGGCCAGGGCTCTTGCTCTGCCTCAGAATTCTGTTCCAGAGAATTCCAGAGACGTCCTTCGTCCTGGGAACTGAGCATCACGGCACAGTGGATACATGTAACCTAAAGCGGTGGGTTCCTGAGTGCCCCCTCTCCCACGGCCCACCCAGGACCTGCAGGATTCTCTCCTCCTCCTGGGAGGAAAGGCGTCAGCTCAGAAACTCACTGCCTTCTCCACTCTGGCCTGACCTCATGTTTCTAAATAACATTTCTAAAACATGGACTTTAGGCCAGTCGCAATGGCTCACACCTATAATCCCAGCACTTTGGGAGGCTGAGGTGGGCAGATTGCTTGAACTTCAACCAGGAGTTTGAGACCAGCCTGGGCAACACAGGGAGACCCTATCTCCACAAAAAATAAAAATGAAATTAGCCAGGCATGGTGGCACGCGACTGTGGTCCCAGCTACTCGGGAGGCTGAGGAGGGAGGATTGCTTGAGCCCGAGAGGCAGAAGTTGCAGTGAGCCGAGATTGTGCCACGGCACTCCAGCCTGGGTGACAGAGTGAGACTCGGTCTCAAAAAGCAAAAAGACTCCATTGCCTGGATTTACCATAATTTCCCTAACCATTCTGCAGGATAATTCGAGGACAGAGAGAAGACCCCAAGGAGGAAGGCAGCCCTGGTTACCAAAGCTGGCAGATGGGGGTTAGCTGGAAGCCCCAGGGCTGGTGGACGCAGGGGCCGCTGTTTCCCCACCCAGATCCTTGCTCTGGAAGGCGGCCCCCAGGGGACCCTTCATTCCCACTCAGACAGGGACAGAGGCGGGACAGAGCCGAGGGAGGAGGGCTCAGATGAAGCACCTGGCAGGACTGAGATATGAGGGAGGCCGGATGCGAGGAGGGAGCTCTGCAGCCTGTGGTGTCCAGGAGGATTTGGGGAGTGTGAGGTGAGAAAACAAAAAGCGTCACCCCTCCCAGTGGAAGGGGAGCATGAAGAGAGAAGAAAATGCCAGTTACACATCCTCAAAACAATCTCTGAATGGACGAGAGCCAGTCAGGGGGAAACGGAAGTTGCAGTGAGCCAAGATTGTGCCACGGCACTCCAGCCTGGGTGACAGAGTGAGACTCTGTCTCAAAACACAAAAAGATGCCGCACACCCCAGGCGGGACGGGTGGGCCCAGGTGCCCTGCCCTGGTCCAGGCCTCTATTCGCAGGATCTCACTGATCTCTCCCTGCCCAGGCTTTTGTCTCCCAGACAAACCAGTCTCCATGAAGCAGCCACAGCGTTATAAAATATGGCCCAGAGCAGGACACGCCTAACCAGTCAAAGGCTTGCAGAGTAAAATCCCGCCTCCGTCTCCTGGTCTGGCCTCCTCCACCCCCCAGCCTCATTGCAGACCTCACGGGTGGAACTTCTTTCAGCCCTAGGGCTTTCCTCATGCTCTTGCCTCTTTCTAGAAGGTTCTCCCCTTCTGGCCCGGCAACTCTTGATCCTCCTTCAGGTCTTAGTTTAAAACTGTTCTTCCTGGAAACTGTGGACTCCCGTGATGCCTTCTTCTTTGCACAACCCGTGGGCTCTTTTAACAGTTGAACACTGGAAGAGGTGTGTGATTCGTATTGTTATAATTAATAGACTTTATTTTTAGAGCAGTTTTAAGTTTACAGAAAATTGAGCAGATAGTACAGAAAGTTCCCATTTCCCCACCCCCCTGCACAGTTTCCCCTATTTTGGAGTATATGTGTTACAATGATGAGCTAACACTGATACAGTGTCATTCACTAGGGCCTGTTATTTACATTAGGACTCACTCTGTGTTGGACACTTCAGTGGGTTTTGCCATATGCATAATGCCACATATCTACCATTGTGGCATCATAAAGAATGGTTTCACCGCCCTAAAAATCCCTGTGTGCCACCTATTTATCCTCCCTCCCTGTCCCCTCCAATCACTGATTTTGTTCATTGTCTCCCTGCTAGACCCGAAGCACCATCAGGTCAGGGAGCCATCTGCTTTGTTGACATTATACTCACTGTTCCCAGCTCAGAGCCCCTGCCACATAACAGGTGCCTGATAAATATTTTTCTTTGCATATTTTAATAAAAATAGGATTCTACTAAACCCATTGCTCTGCAATTTGCTTTTTCCAAATATTGACAATATATCTTGGAAATCTTCCCATATCAGAATATAGAGCACACTCTGTCTCTCTTTCACTTTTTATTATGGAGAATTTCCAACACAAAAGAAGATGGTGTCTGCCATGATGAACCTCTGTGTACCTCTCACCCGACTGCAGTTACCAACTAGTGAATCTTCTTGTTTCATCTGTACCTCTGCCCATCAGATAATTTCATCTGTAAATATTTCTATGTGTATCTCTCTCTGCTTTTTTTTTTCCTTTTGAGATGTAGTCTCGCTCTGTCTCCCAGGCTGGAGTGCAGTGGTGCAATGGCTCACTGCAACCTCTGCCTCCTGGGTTCAAGCGATTCTCCTGCCTCAGCCTCCCCAGTAGCTGGGATTACAGGTGCACCATCACACTTGGCTAATTTTGTATTTTTAGTAGAGATGGGGTTTCACCATGTCGGACAGGCTGGTCTTGAACTCCTGACCTCAAGTTATCTGCCTGCCTTGGCCTCCCAAAGTGCTAGGAATACAGGCATAAACCACCATGGCTGGCCCTTTTGTTTTGTCTTGTTTTGTTTTTGTTTTTGTTTTGTTTGTTTTTGTTTTGTTTTGTTTTGTTTTTTTTGGAGACAGAGTCTTGCTCTGTCTCCCAGGCTGGAGTGCAGTGGTGCAAACATGGCTTGCTACAGCCTTGAACTCCTGGGCTCAAGGGATCCTCCTGCCCTAGCCTCTTGAGTAGCTAGGACTGCAGGCATGTGCCACCACACTGGCTAATTTTTTTATTTTCTGTAGAAACAGGATCTTACTATGTTACCCAGTCTGGCCTCAAATTCCTGGGCTCAATTGATCCTCCTGCGTCAGCCTCCTAAAGTGCTTGGATTATAGGTGTGCACCACCACGCCTAGCCTGTGTGGTTCTCTAAAAGATAAGGACTTTAAAAAACATAACCACAATATCATCATCACACCTAGTAAACATTAGTATCTAATATAGGCAATGTCCAAATTTCCAGTTATCTCATAAATATACGTTCCATTTGTTTGCGTGTTTGATTTTACAGGATGTTTGAACCAAGGACCAGAGGAGCTTCACTTCTGCCATTAATTGGTATGCTTTTGAGGTTTCTCTTGCTCTAGGTCCATCCTTTTTCCGTATCAATTTTTTCTCCACGCAACTCATCTGTTGGAAGAAGTGGGTCATTACTGCCGGAGTTTCCTCGAGTCCAGATCTTGCGGATGGCATCCCCTGGTGTCGTTCAGGGTGATGCTCTGTCCTCTGTCTTTCCTGTGCGCTCACAGCTGGGTCTAGAGGCTTGATCTGATTCAGGTTCAGTTGCTTTGGCTTCGGGTGGGGGTGTGTTCTTCTAGAGACGCTCACTGTCTGCTGGCCTCTCAGTGGGAAGTTCTGGGCTGGTGCGGCTCAGTGCCTGGAGCTATGCATTCATCAGGGACTGCAAATTCTCTCGTGAAATGCTTCTATAAAAAGAAGCTTCCCCTCATCAACTTTCGGTTACCCCGAGGTACAGTTTATATAGGACAGGCAGGATAAATGCTTGATTCTTTCCCTTTATTTACCAGTTTTCAGAATAATGAGTCGCCTATAAATATTTGAATGAATGGATGAATAATACACCTGTGAATGAACTGACGGGGGTGTGGGAGTTGGGGGTTCTATCTGTTGCCCTCAAGGGCGTGGCTGTGGGCCACAACCTGACAGCAGAGGTCCAGCCTGAAGCCAGGTGCCTTTCTACACAATGAAGTGCAGCCCATGGCCAAGTCTCTGTCTACACCAGGTGCTGGCAGCAGCCTCTGTCACCCATCAACCCACATCAGTCAAAGGCTAGGGTGATCAGAAGCTGCATTACTAAGAATCTAGCATCTGGGACAAGGCAGTATCATCACTCTCCCCAACTGAGATGTGAGGAATCCTTGAAACCAGCATCAGAGCAGAGAGGAGAGCCGCGCAGTGACTGCAGGTGTGGCCTTTGGAACACGGCGTTGATCTCTCTGCAGGAAGGGGAATCAAGGAGTTTCTGGCCTAAAGGTTGGGCTGGTGGCCTCCAGGGTTTCTTCCTGGGCAGCCCAACACCCTCCTGGGCCCCTCCTGGGAGGCGCTCCTTTCCCCAGAGGCCAGG
The DNA here is from genome assembly GCF_000001405.40 of Homo sapiens. NCBI lineage: Eukaryota > Metazoa > Chordata > Mammalia > Primates > Hominidae > Homo > Homo sapiens. The sequence goes on from NC_000009.12 coordinate 132,226,797, forward strand.
CCAGGCTGCCCACAAGCTCTCTGACATCTCTGCCCTCTCGGTGTCTCCCCAGGTGCAAGTGCAACCTGCACGCCAACCTGTGCTCCATGCGCGAGGGCAGCCTGCAGTGCGAGTGCGAGCACAACACCACCGGCCCCGACTGCGGCAAGTGCAAGAAGAATTTCCGCACCCGGTCCTGGCGGGCCGGCTCCTACCTGCCGCTGCCCCATGGCTCTCCCAACGCCTGTACGTGCCATGCCCCGGGGCCACGAGCCCACATGGCTATAATCTTCCCTGCCCGTCAATCCCAGGAGCTGTGGATCATACACACGCACACAAACCTGCACACAGGCACATACGTGTGCACATGCATGCAAACGTGCACACAGAAACATACGAGCATGCATGCACAGGCATGGGCACACATATGAATGCAAAAACACGTGCATGCACAGAAACACACGTGCGTGCATGCACCCCCACACACACACCTTGTTCTACAGCTCCCAAACGCCAGGTCTCATAACAAGTCCCTCTAGCATACCTGCATCCTGCTGAATGCTAAGCTGCCCTTCCAGCCCTGGTCCACAGGGAAACCCGAGAGGAGCTGCTCAGCAGCATTCCTGCAACCCTTCGCCTTCTTGACCCTGAAGGCTGGCAGGTGGCCCCCATGGGATGGCAGGGAGTGATGGGGTGGGACCCCCACTTCAGGTGAGGGGATCAGTAGCATCATCCCTGATCATAAGCATCTCTGGGGTGTTTGGAGCGAGCCACCAAGGCCAAGTGCTGCGTGTTCAGCACTCACCTCCATCCTCAGAGCAACCCCTGGGAACTGAGCTTCCGTTATCCCTTTTTACAGATGTGTCCTCTACGGCCTGCACCAGAGTCCCCCCGCACGTGCTCTCTGCCCACCCCTCTCCTGTCCTCGCCCAGCCATGCCAGGGAGCCATCCTCAGGGCCTGCCCACTCACATCTGCATCATAGACCCCCTTCTGAGGACCACCCACCCGGGCGCGCTAGCGTAGTCCACACTGTCTCCATGAAATCAGAATGCCAGGAAGCCCCTGGGCTGCAAGTGGAGAAGGCCACAGACTGCCCCTGGGGTGGGCTCTCCCTGACCCCCACCACTGCCACTTTACGGCCGTTCTCAAGTGTGTGGTTGGTGTCCGAGGCCCTCCTAGGCACTTTGTGCATCTCGCTTCACCCTCACACAGCCCCGCAGGGTGGAGTCCTTATTACGGTCCCTTCTCCAGATGAGCAGACTGAGGCCCAGCGAACCTCGGGGCCCTCCCAGGTTTCACAGTGAGTTGCATGCCAACGCCAGGGCTTAGGGCAGCTACTGGATCTGATGCTCAGACCAGGCCTGGGCAGTGGCCTCCTGCACCCCATCTGGGCATCCTCCCTCGACGGGTGAAAGATTTATGTGACTTTAGGCTGATCAAAGCTGAGAGCCACGTGCAGAGGCCATGACAGGCATGTCACGCGTGTGCTACAGCAGGCGGTGAGACAGGCCTTTGAAGGGGTGACTTGGCAGGCACCCGACAGCACTCTCGGGTCTTCAAAGGCACAAAGAGCACTCCGGGGGCTGACAGCCCACTCCAGCCGCTGCCTCCTCCCAGCTTCCTGTCCCCATCTCTTTGTGGTCCAAACCCTTTCCTGAGGTCTCTCTTTAGTGGCCGTCACTCTCTCCCTGACTCACAAATTTGCTGCCCTTTCGTCTGTCCTGAGGGCCGCTCTCTCTTCCCTCCTCTCTGTCTCAGTTCTCTCCACCATCACACCCTCCTTTTTTTTTTTTCTTAAAGATAAGTCTCTCACTCTGTCGTCCAGGCTGGAGTGCAGTGGCGCAGTCATGGCTCACTGTAACCTCAACCTCCTGGGCTTGAGCGATCCTCCCACTTCAGCCTCCCAAGTAGCTGGGACTGCAGGTGCACACCACCAGGCCCAGCTAATTTTCGTGTTTTTTTCAGAGAAAAGGTTTTGCCATGTTGCCCAGGCTGGTCTCGAGCTCCTGAGCTCTAGTAACCCTCCTGCCTTGGCCTCCCAAAGTGCTGGGATTACAGGCATGAGCCACCACGTCTGGCCATGTCTGGCTTTTTTCTTCCACTTGCCCCCTGCGCCTGGAGGGTTCTGCCCATCTCTGGCCACCTGAGACTCTTACCTGCCAGTCACACCTAGGAGGATCCACTGTCCCCACCCTCACCCCCAGTCACCACCTCCAGTCTAGCCAGCGATGGATAGACAGGCCTGTAGGGGCTGGGCAGCTGGGTCTTCCTTACTTAGGGGAGACTCCTGAGCTGGCCCCACCTCCTGCTTCCCTGGGAGTCCCCGGGAATTGCCTTTGAGGCCCCCAAGCCCCAGGAAGGAGGGGTTTCTTCTGGCATTTGCAGGGTCACAGGTGAGGCTGGAGGCGCTGCTGTCCTCAGCACCCAAGTCTCCTGCCTTCTCTGGGGTGCCAGCAGGAAACAGCCCAAAGAGACACAGAGGCTAATTTTGCCCTCACCCTGCCCCTACCGTGACCCCTCCTCAGTAAGTGGCACCGACACCCACGGGGCCAAGTGCAAGTCTGGGGGTCACCTTGACTGGAGACCCTCCTCCCGCCACGTTCTTTGAACTTCCCTCCATCCGCTCCAAGTCTCTCCCAATGCCATCCTCAGCCCTGCAGCAGCCCTCACTCCCGATGCCTTCCCACCTCCTCACCACTCTGCCCCCACCTGGCCAGCCCATCACCCTCCAGGGCCCAACTTGGAGCCCCCAGGACCTCCCCGTGCCCTGCCTGATGTCCCGCCTGTCCCCACAGAGCCTCACTTGGTCACCACCCAGTCCTGGCCCTTGCTTACTGTGGCTGCACCCCGAGGTGTCCTCAGGGTCTAGCAGGTGGCTGCCCAGACATGGAGGTGGAGGAAGGAGTGGGTGGGGATGGGCTTGTCCTCCCAGGCCTCCCTGCCTGTCCTGCTGGCCACAGCCTTGGCTTGCCCAGGAGAAGCCCATGGGCCACACATCCCACTGCCAATCCCACAGCGTCCTTTCTCGGGAACACCGTGGGGAAAGCTGTGGCACCAGCTCCTTCCTTTTGCAACTCTGATGAATCTCACCCAGGGATTTCAAGGCCCCTGGTCACACCAGGATCATAGGCCTCCCCCATCCCCTGGACACACAGAGACACACCTGGATTCAGGTCAGGCCTCGCCCACTCTCGGCTATATTTCTCCCCAAGCCGTGTGTCCTCAGCTGTAGAATCAGGACCATAAGGAAGTTCCCTCATAGGGTTCTTGTGAGGACGGCACGATTTACGCAGGGGATGCTGACACCGTGCCTGGCACGTGGGACGCACTCCACCCGCGGCAGCCGCTCCCATGGCTTCTCAGTGAGTTTTCCAGCCACACTGCACTTCTTAGACAGGAACACTCCATACGATGTCCCTGTCCTGCACTGGAGGGCCCAAAAATCTGAAATAAGAGGAGGAGTGCGTGTGAAGCTCCCAGTGGAGCGTTTGGCACCTGTCCAGCATGTCCCCAAGGGCAAGTCACGGCTCTGAGATTCAGTGTCTCCTTCTGCAAAATGGGCCAATAGTGGTTCCTCCCTCCCAGGGCTGAAGTGAGGATGAAATGGGATAATCCACCCCCGTCCCCACACCCTGCAGGTCATCATGATTGCTAGCAGTTGTGTGGTGGAGCAGGTGCTCTTGAGGGAGCGACACCTCCAGGTGCTCCCCTGCCCTGCTGGCCCCTCTGCAGGGAGGTGACACCCAGGCCCCTTCCCCTGGGGCAGCCAGCTCACGCCCGTCTCTCTCCCACAGGTGCCACTGCAGGTTCCTTTGGCAGTAAGTACACGCCTGGGGAGGGTGGCCAGGGCCCCCACTGCACGAGCCTCTTTGCATGTCCTGGAAAAAGCTGGAGAGAAAAAAGGGGCTTCAGTGTCCCCTCTGGGACTTGGGCCTATTCACTCCCTCCTCTAATTACACCCCATCTGCTTCTCCACCTCTCCCCCCTCCACCTCCCCCCCTCCACCCATCCCCACTTCACATCATATGCCATGTGTCATGTGTCATTTTGCTGTGGCCTGTGGCCCAGCAACTCTCAGGCTCTCCCAGGAGCTCCATCAGTGCTGCTTTGGAAAACGGGACAGGACTTTTTGCAGGTCTCTTGGCCCCTGGGTGGGCTCCCTGCTCCTCCTGCCACCCACGCCACTTCTCTCACCTGGATCTGGGAGAGCAGTCTCTCCTGCCAGTCAAGAGTGGGGTGACCTTCCCCCACCAGGGGCAGAATCCACCCCCTAGCCTAACCATGGGGGCAGCCTCCCTCTGGGCAGCCTCTGCAGCCAGCTTGTCCCAGGGCTCTGCTCGTCCAGGTCAGCTCAGGTCCCAGGGGAGTCGGACCAGGGAGGGGCATCTGCAGGAGGTGGGGGTCCTGAGAGTTCCCCAGGAGGGCGAGGGCGACATGGCGCCCACAGGTTATCAGTAAATGTCATCGAGACTGTCCCCAGACACTCACAGGGTGCCAGGCACGGTCTCTCCTTTCAGCCTTGCAAACCCCTCCCCCTGGGAGGTCGCCATCTGCTCTGCGAGGCAGCAGGAGAGGACTGGCCAATGTCAAAGAGCCAGCCGGGAGCAGACCCCAAATCTCAGAGATGCTTCTGGGGTGCACCGTCACCCTCCACCAGGGCTCTGTGGGGCCCCACATCCCACCCAAGTTGTCCCTCCCGGACCCAGGGGGCCCCTGGCTGGGAAGCCAGTGAGCCGAGAGGGCGCCAGAAAGAAGCTGGACCCTGCAGGGACGCTGGTCTGCACAGCCGTCGTAAGTTGCTTCTCTGTGGTGTCCCCACCCCGGCAACCCCCCAACCCTCTCTTGCTTTTCCCATCTCTCACCAGGCATCAGCAGGTCCCAGAAAGACCCCGACCCCAAAGGCCCTGTGGCCACTGCGGCCACCACAGCCATGACAGGGGCCCCTACTACTCCTGTCCCCTCCACGTCCACTGCCTGGGCCCCCATGGCGCCCAGCACCCCACAGCCCACAGGTGGGTGCCAGGGTACAGCGACCCCTGTCATCCCACCCTCTCCTGCTTCTAGCCTGGGTCCCTGCCTCTCTTGGGGTGGGAGGGTCGGCAGCCCTGGGCAGAGAGCAGGGGCTTGGCTCTTAGAATAGAGACGCTAGAACCCTAGAGCTGGGAGGCCACAGGCCAAAGGGGCTTGAGGACACCTGGGTCAACCTGTTCCTGAGCCCAGCCAGGGGATTCAGGGATCAGTTCAGCTTCCAAAGTCGTCTTCCTCCTGCCCTTCAAGCCATTGCTTGGAAGGGCTCCCAGACCATTGTGGCCAGACGGCTGCAGGAACTGAGAGGAAAGGTGCTGGGGGCAGCGAGGCCATCCTGACATGCAGCCAAAGACTGGCCTTATCTCCCAATGGTGCTTCTGCCTCCGTGGTCCCTGGAGCCCCGCCCACACCCTGTCCCCACCTGGCCCCCAGGGCCTCTCTGTCCTTAGCCCCTCAGCAGCACACCGGTGGGATGGATGGAGCAGGGTTAGCCCAGAAAGCAAATGTCTCTGATCAGCAGGGCAAAGGGAGCCTCTGGAGCTGAGTTTGGACACCGTGGGCTGCTGGGAATGTGGAGGCTGTGTGTGTAGTGCAAGGCCAGGCCAGGGCCAGACGTCCTGCCCCCTCAGGGGTCTGCCACAGACAGGCATGGAAACCTGATTCTCGCTCCCCTCCAACGGAGGGATTCACGTGTATTCAAGGCTGGGGGTGCTGGAGTGGGCCTCTGCTCTCACCTGGACTCACCTGGGGAGTATCCCTGCACTCTGTGCAGTGCAGGTGCCAGGGGTCTGAAAGGATTTATCCTTCCCAGAGGGCACCAGGAAGACGATGACCAAGGGGAATTCTTCCTGGTCCCAGCCAGGGAGGGGTGCTCCAATAGCCTGCCACACCCTGTCCCCCGCCACCCTGCAGGGAGGACCTGGTGGGGACTCCTGGCCCCTTGGGTAGTGCCCTGGCCCTCCATCTCTCTGATCCAAGGAGACCTGCCCCACTGATCCTTCCCCCTTGGGGGGTGGCATTTCTAAAGGGCAGAGTCCCCTCCATCAGCTCCTGCCTCGGCCTGTTGCTGGGTGGACACTCAGGCTCCCCAGACAGGGGCAAATGCTGAGAGAAAGACCTCCTCCTTCCTAGGCCATCCAGAGCAGCTCCCCTGGGGGCAGCACACCCCACCTCTTTCTACATCCTTCCTTTTCTGCAGGAGGCATTTACAGGAGGCAGGGGCTAGCCAAAAGATTGGAGGATTTCCGGGAAGCCTCCTGACCCAGGAATCCTCTTTGGGGTGGAAGACATGGGTCACTCTGAGAATTCTGGACTTCAGACATAGGTTGGCCCAGCCACAAGGGACCTGTGCTTTGCTGCTGAGCCTGTGGTGGGCAGACAGAAGCAAAAACAGTGGTGGTGGGTGCTGTGCCTGTCTCCAAACAGGGGTTTGGCTGGGAGGCCAGATACTCTCCATATCACATGTGCAAGTGCACACATGCACACACACACATGCATGCACACACACAGGCATGCACACGCACATGTACACACACACACACACAGAGGAATCCATTTGCAGAGCTGCTTCTGACTTGGTGCCAGGGCAGCCGTGGGAGGCTGGGCAGATTGTGCAAAGTTGGGAATTAAAGAGGAAAAGTCAGAGGCCAGAGTGGGAAATGCAGGGGAGGTGAGGGTCCCCAGGACCCCCTCAGTGAGCAGAAGGCACACCCTCCCTCTCGGCAAGACAGTGCTGCTCTGCACCCTCAGCCCTGTATCAAGAAGCAGGACATTAGGGGAGGAGGTGGCTCCAATGTGACAGCCAGTGGCCCCTACAGCCCACATCTAGGGGCTCCTCCCTCCTCTTCAGCAACTGAAGCCCCTGTCCAGAGCCCCCATTAATGAAAACGATCATTGCAGTAGCTGAGGGTGAGTTCTCCTGGGCTGTGCTCGTATCATTGTATCATCATATCATTGTATTCTGGGCTCACAGCTCCGTGAGATGGAGGCTGTTATTTTCCTAGTCCCACAGGTGAGGGGATCGAGGCTTAGGAAGAAGCAGCTGGATTTTATGATATGTAAATTACACCTCAATCAAGCTGTTTCAGAAGAAAAAAGGGGCAGCTGCTCAAGGTCTCAGAATTATGGAGAGGCACGGGCAGGATTTGAACTCAGGGCTCGCCAACTCAGCCACCCAAAGCTATTGTCCTGAGGCCTCCAGGGGCTATGAGGTAGAGCTATCTTTTTTTTTTTTTTTTTTGAGATGGAGTTTCGCTCTTGTCGCTGAGGCTGGAGTGCAATGGAGCAATCTCAGCTCACTGCAACCTCCGCCCCCCCAGGTTCAAGCAATTCTCCTGCCTCAGCCTCCCGAGTAGCTGGGATTACAGGCACCTGTCACCATGTTCAGCTACTTTTTGTCTTTTTAGAGAGACAGGGTTTCACCATGTTGGTCAGGCTGGTGTTGAACTCCTGACCTCAAGTGATCCACCCGCCTCAGCCTCCCAAAGTGCTGGGATTCCAGGCGTGAGCCACCGCACCCGGCCAAGTAGTGCTGTCTCCAAGGCCTGGCTTGCAGGGCTTCCCAGTTCCAAAGGAGCAGACCGGGCTTCCATGGGGCCTTGGCACAGCACACAGGCCATGGCGAGAACTTGCTTCCCACACACCTGAGTGTGTCCCTGGGCAGCCAAGCCAGGACTCTCTCCCTCCCCAAGACCCTGGTCCCTGAAAGATCCTGAATACCCCCGAGTGCCTCCCAACAGGTGCTTCGGGCTCTTTGAACAGAGTCCAGCTGGGCCTCTGAACTCCTGGGCCAGATGTTTCTCCCGCCTGCCAATGTCAAGCTGTCTGGAGGACAGCGCTGCGGGCGGAAAACGCCGCTGGAGACACTAATCCTTTCCTGGGCTGGGCCACGGAGGATGGAGGGAGACAGGCTCTGAAGCAAATGCCTTCAGGGCTGGCTTTCTCATGGCTCTAATTAAGCCCTTGCCAATTTGGGCCTGGCGGCCTCATCTTCCCACTGAACATCATATTAAAGTCAATTCATGTCCAAAGCTCCCCGCTCCCAGCTGGAAAGTCTTCCGCACTTGTTAGCTGGTAGCTTTTCCTTTTCTTTCCCCACAGCCACCGTTGTGTATAATCCCTTCAAGAAGCGGAAAACAGCAGCGCTCCCCTGTCCCTCTGGGTTTGTCCTTTGAAATTTGGGCACAGGGCAGTTCTTTGCCAGCCCTGCCTGCCTGCCTTGCTGGCTGTGTGTCCCGTTAGTCTACGGGCTGAGCGTTGTGTCACTGGTTCATGCTGGGGTCCCTGGTGAAAATGGGCCAGGCCAGGGGTCAGGAAGGTAGAAGGGCAGTGATCAGGGAAGCAGGTCAGATGCTGGGGAAGGCTCCGGTCCCTGGATTGCGGCTGGACAGGAAGGACACCTTCCAGGACACTTCTGGACACATGTAAGATCTTGGCCGGAACACATGTCCCACTTCGCAGCCATTAGCCAGAGACATCAGCTCAGAGAGGTCTGGGCCCAGAGGCGGGACCTGGTCTAGCTCTGTCCTTCAGTCAGAACGGGGACGGCACAGGGAGTGTAGAAGGGTCTCGCTGAAGAATATGCAGATTCTCAGGCATGGGTTCACCTCTCATCTATCGGGCTTTAAGTCTGCATGTGCCCTCCACAGGCTGAAATAGTGTAGATGCTGCCTATGTAGTAGATTTGGACCCAATTCCTTTGGCCAGTGTAGACAGAGCCTCTCCTTATAGTGCTGCTGCTTCTAAGGGGCCTGTGGGGTGCGGGGCTGTGATGCCTCAGTATGTACCCAGCTTCCCTCAGCACCACCCCCTCGCATAACTTGGTTTCTTCTCTTCTTCCCCCCAAGAGTGGACCAGGCCATCTACGGCTGCCCCTCTCTCGAGCAGGTGGTCCCAGGTGGCCTCCCGTGCAGAAGGTATGGGGGGGCAAGGCCTGTGATGGGCCTGAGACCCCGGGGAAGCGCCCTCTTAGACTCGTAGGCCCCTCCCTCTGTAGTGGAAGTAGCAGGTGTGCATGGTGGGGACCTGAGGTTGGAGGGGGGCCGCAGGAACCAACTGAGGGCACGGGTGTAGAATGTCGGTGCCTGGGGAGCTCTAGGGCACAGTGGTGAGGGAGCGGCCTGGTAGAGCAGGTCTACCAGCTCTGCCCCCAAGCTCACCTGCTTCAAGAGGTTCCATGTGGCACCCCCACGCCAAGCCCTTCCACCAGCACTCCCTCCGAGGGCTTCGGAGTCTGGTAGAGGCCCCGCCTCCCACGACAGGAACCCCCCTCTCCAGCTGCCCTTGCTCACAGGACACCTGGGCAGTTGCTGGATCAGAGAGTCAGAGGGGGCTTCCTGCAGGAGCGGGGGCCATGAGACCTCGGAGGGTGGACTGTGGTGGGTGAAGGGAGAAGGCAGCACATTCCAGGCCGCAGGGCCAGCCGGGGCAAAGGCTTGGCAGTGGGATGGCAGGGAGCCTGACAAAGTGGAAAATGTGTGGGTTAAAGGAGGGAGGGCGGGGTCCTGGAAGACACTGACATCCTCCTGCTACGTGGGAGGAGACACAGGGCTCATCTGTAGCCATAGACAGACATGCCAAGGAAACGCGCAGGCCTGCCCGACTCTCCAGAAGGGAAATTGTCCCTGGCCCCAGCTCACCAAGCCTGGGTGGGGAATTAGGGCCTGAGGTCTAGGGAACAGGTGAGCTGTTCCTTCCAGCTCACATGTTCAAATTTCCTCCAGCCCCAGCTCTGAGCAGCGAGCAGGGCTTTGAGCGCCCTCTACTGGCAGGAAGCTCTGGCGCTGGAAGCATGTTTAGAGAGGGTCTGAGGCTCGGTTCCTAGAAACCTGGAGGACCTGGGCCTGGTGTCCTCTGTGGTGATGGAGACAGAGCTGGCGGGAGCCATCGCTTCCCTACCCTGGGCCAACCAGGGCACCACAGACCCCCAGAGGGAAGCCAAGGTAGTGACGATCCCGGGACAGTGGCCTGCTCACCCACAGATAGGGCGTTGGGGTCCCAGCGGGATTCTGGGCAGTGGAAGGCAGGTGCCGTCCGTGTTCCTGGCTTGACAGCACTTGCGAGTGGGACTCCAGGGACAGCGAAGGATTCACTTCGGCTGGAGCAGGAAGAGTGTTTCAGAAAGGAAGGGAGATGCCAAAGTCCTTAAATGCCAAGTTTAGTCTCTGGGTTTGATGCTCCAGGAAGTTTGGAGAGGCGGTGGGGAGAGCAAGAGACGGGCGTGGTGTGCAATGTGATGTCAATCTATCTAAAAACAGTTTGGCTTCCAAGAAGGTCTTAGCAGGGCGCGGGGGTGTCAGGGGTTACAGAAGTCATTTGGAGGATTAATCCAGCCAGATGTGTCCATGGTCTCAGAGAGGGGACCAAGGGCAGGGCTGATTTGCAAGCTTGGGATGTGCTGTGTTTCCTTCAGGAAGGGGCCCCACCTCCCTGGGCTCTTCGAGGAGAGGGGCTGTGTGATTTGAGGCCAGAGGGGCCTCTCCCTCCCTCACATCTGAGCAGGCGACAAGGCTGCCTGCCCTAGAGCTGGCCCAGGGCGGCTCGGAAGCCTTTGCTGGGCTCTTCCCTGGGCAGTGGGACCATGACAGACGAAAGAACCTGTTTCTCATCTCTCCAAGCTGTGGGCACCCCTGCCGCTGCCCCTGCCCCTGCCAAGGGCTACAAACTTTTCCAGCTCAAGCCCAAATCTCCTCAAGTGATGCCTATTGAAGAATTCCAAGGTAAGAGGATGGACCTGGGGCCCCATCAGCCCTCCCTGACACCTGTTCCCCATCCGCCGCTGGAAAAAGACGGTGCAGGATAGAGGACCGATGCCTGGCTCCGAAAACCCTCCTGGAGTAGCTGGGTCAAGGTTAAACTGAGTCTCTCTTCCCTACAGGCCTCCCTCCCCAAGGGAGCTGGGAGCAGGTATGAGTCAGAAGCCAACTTGGGCACAGTGGGCAGGCCACACAGCAGGCAGAGCAGATGCCAGAAATAGCCCATCCCGGCTCCCCTGGGAGGTGTGGCCCTGGGGCTCGTGTTGGTTGAAGCAGAATCTGGGACACACGGGTCACCGATGCTGCTCTTTGGGACACTTAGAGGATGCCTCATCTCCTCATTATCTCTGGAGGGACAAAGTGAAGGGGGCAGGACTAGGTGGCCCACAGGTGGGAGTGCCCACCATCTCTCCTGGGCACAGGCTGTTTCTCTAGTCTCCCATGCCCTTGACCACTGGGTCAGTCCCTCATCCCATCACAAAAGGGAAGCTGGGTCCTCTAGAGATACACAGATGGTGTTTCAAGAGGGTGGCCGTTGTCCTTCCTTGTTCGGGGGCAGCCACATTGGCTTTCTTGCTGGAGGGTGGGTGGGTGGGTGAGTACTGTGTCCCTTCGTAGGAACATCAAGGGATGCCCCCCCATTCTTAGGGATGGTGACCTTCCTCACCAAATCCTCCATTGACAATGTGGGATTCACCTCCAATCCCTGAGAGCCTTGCCCCAGGCAGTCACGGGCTTGTCTGGTCCTTGGAGCGGAGCTGGTTAGGCAGGGGTCAGCCTGAGAACCACGTAGGGGTGGGGTGCAGGAGGCGGCAGGACATGGTGGTGGTGGTCCTTGGTATGAAACCATGTGCTTCCAGGAGCAGCGAGTCAGAAGCCGGGCCAGGACCAGGGGGAGGCATGCAGGTTCCCAGGGCTCCTGCTTTAAAGTGGCACTCACTCTTAGCATCCTGCAAAACAATCAAACTTGCAGAAAGCTCAGGCTAATAAGAAAGGGTCTGGCAGGTGGGCGTTTTCCTCCCAGCCATCTTCCAAAGCAGCATGGGCAGGAGCTCCTGGCCCATTGCATCTTGTCCAGCGTCCATCCATGCATTCATCTACCCGAGGATACCACGGCGAGCGCCGTGAACCCAGGCGTCGCCCTCCCCCAGTGCACAGCCAGGTGGCATGACCCTGCCCTCCTTGCATGAATCACTTTCTAATCACCCCGGCATGTGGGCATCCTTCAGCGAGCGCTTGGCCCTGGTGCCCAGCCAGGCATTAGCAGGAGCTGCCCACTGGCCCTCCCTGGTTCCCTGCCCACAGGGCCAGGTGGGAATCCCTGGGCTCAGCCTACTCAGGTTCTCCTCTGGGCTCAAAGCAGGGAGGCCTCTCTCTTCCTGAATCCGATGGAAGGGTGGGAGGCCTAGGGCACCTTCCGGTACCTTTTCCAAAGATGCCTTCCTCCGTCCCTGCATGACCTGGGGTGAGTCCTTCCTCGCCCTGTCCCTCAGTTTCCCTGAATGCTCGCTGACCATTGGTATTTCTCCCACTTGGCCGGCCCAGACTGCGAATGCTACGGTCACTCCAACCGCTGCAGCTACATTGACTTCCTGAATGTGGTGACCTGCGTCAGCTGCAAGCACAACACGCGAGGTCAGCACTGCCAGCACTGCCGGCTGGGCTACTACCGCAACGGCTCGGCAGAGCTGGATGATGAGAACGTCTGCATTGGTGAGAGGGCACGGACACGGCACAGGGAACTTGCTGGAATGCGTGCAGGGTGCACTGCCCTGCGAGGTGGCCTCTGGGGCCCCCTGCATCAGAATCACCTGGGGAGACTGTGGGAATTCTAACTCCAGGGCCCTCTCCAGTTGAGCATCTCTAAGGACAGAAAGCTCCAGAAACTGCTCTATTAGTAACCTACCCTTGCGGTTCTCCGGTAAGTTTTGCACTGGAGTTGCAAAACTTACCAGTGGCCCTTCCCTCTCTGGGCAACTGGAGGGGACACTGACCCTTCCTGGCTCCAAAGAGCTGTGACTCTGGCAGGTGGCAGGCACTCAGTGGCAGAGGCCACTGAGCATCTGTCTGGGGCTGGTGTGTGGGGGGGTCCCCCTCCATAGCTCCTTTCCAGAAAGGTGGAGGAGCAGCCTATCCCTCCTCCTGCAGGGGCCCAGTTGGGGGCCAAAAGATCGCCTTGCTGCGTGCATTTGTGCAAGTCCCTTCCCGTTCCTGGGCCTCAGCTTCCTCATTCATCAAATTGGGAGGCAGATCAGATCAAAGGTTTTCAGCTCTTTTTTGTGGCTGAAGCTTTTCTTCAAATGCTTTACCAGCCCAGGTCCAGCTATAAAGCTGCTCTTCACCCCTGGTGGGCACCCAGTCTGCTTTCTTCCAAGTTCTACTCAAGGACTGGCTTTTGGGTAGAGAAGGAAGTCCATCAGGGCCCTGGGCCTGGGCAAAGACCAAAGCCATGACCGCCAACCAAAACGCACCAGCCTGGAATGGTTGCCCCTGTCGTCAGTAGAGGCCAGGTCTCGGCCTCAGGGGCTGTCCCCCAACCCTGCCCAGCCAGGCCCCTTGGGACACCATCACCCATCCCCCACCCAGCAGGAGGCTCTGGCTGCCCAGAGGAGGGGCTCCTGCAAAGCTGGAGCTGTCGGTCTGAATTCTGGCGGCAGCCTTCAGATAATTCCATCAACTCTAAGTGATCAAAGCCGCTGACGTCACAGGGGGCCAGCTGCAGGGACAGGGCAGGGCCTTTGGATCCAATTAGAGGTGCCCACACCCTGGCACCCTCCTCCTCTCCCTGGCTCTCCCTGCCTCCACCCCGAGAGCCAGCACTGAGCTGCAAGGTTTCTCAGGGTGGACGATATTCACCCTCTCCCACAGAGCCCCAAGGCAACCAACTGGGCCCACCCCGGGAGCAGGAATAGGCTGTTCCTCCACTCCCCTGCAAAGGAGCTATGGAGGGGGGCCACCCCACAACACAGCAGCCCCAGACATGCTCAGTGGCCTCTGCTGAGTTTCTGCCACCTGTCGGAGTCATAGCTCTTTGGAGATGGGAAGGACAGCGACCCCTCTAGTTGCCCAGAGAGGGGAAGGGGCTGACCCAGGCCACACCAGTGCCAGGGCGGGGAAGGTGGGGCTGGGACGTGTTTGATCCCAAGGAAGGAAGCCAGAGTCTTCTCTCCAGGCCTGGCCACCCTGGGAAGTCCCCACCTGCCGTCCAGCCGCGGGCTCACGTGGACCCAGTGTGGGGAGCATCCCCTGGGGAGTGTGGAGATGCTCCCTGCGAGGCCGGGAGAGTGGGGGTCCGAGAAGACGGCGCCCACACGTAGCCCTGACCGCGCGCCCGTGCCCGTGTCCGTCCAGAGTGTAACTGCAACCAGATAGGCTCCGTGCACGACCGGTGCAACGAGACCGGCTTCTGCGAGTGCCGCGAGGGCGCGGCGGGCCCCAAGTGCGACGACTGCCTCCCCACGCACTACTGGCGCCAGGGCTGCTACCGTGAGTGCGCGCCGTCCCCCGTGGGCGGGGCCTGCGGAAAGGGGACGGGGCAGGACCGAGGCAGTGGGCGGGGCCTAGTGGGACGGGGCAGGGGCGGTGGACTGGGCCTAGCAAGACGGGGCAGGGCCGGGGAAGTGGGTGGGGCCTAGTGGGACGGGGAAGAGGCGGTGGGCGGGGCCTCGCGAGACGGGGCAGGGCCGGGGCAGTGGGTGGGGCCTAGTGAGAGCGGGGCAGGGTTGGGATAGTTGGCAGGGGCCTGGTGAGATGGGGCCGACCCGGGGGCGGTGGACGGGGCCTAGCGAGACGGAGCTGGCAGGTGGGCGGGGACAGGATGCTGCTGAGGTCCGGGGCCGGGCCGAGGGGCGGGTCCAAGAGCTCGGGGCGGGGCCTGATGCGACCTGAGGCACGGTGGTGCCTGGTGGGAACTACGAGAAAGACCGAGCTGGGGTTGGTTGGAAAGGTATTTGCGGGGACAGAGGGAGGGAGGCTGTCCAAGTCGGCGTTAGCCGCGGGCACAGGGTGAAAGGAGGCTCCAGGCGCGTGGAACAGCACGTGCACAGCTCTGGAGACTGCAGGCGCGTCTGAAGAACAGCACCGAGGCCAGTGGGGCGGGGAGAGAGGGGCAGCGGTGGGAGGCAGCCGGGGGCCAGATCTCGCCCGGGCGCCGTCACCCTCCGAGGGGGGACGTTTCGCACCCAGCGCGCCTGGAGCCTCCTACATCCCCGGCCCAGACGGCGCCCCCGGGATCTCGCACACCCTGCTTCGCAGGAGCTCGGAGGTTGGCGGGGGGACCGGGCCACCCCCCGTGCTGACCGCCCCCTCCGCCTGCAGCCAACGTGTGCGACGACGACCAGCTGCTGTGCCAGAACGGAGGCACCTGCCTGCAGAACCAGCGCTGCGCCTGCCCGCGCGGCTACACCGGCGTGCGCTGCGAGCAGCCCCGCTGCGACCCCGCCGACGATGACGGCGGTCTGGACTGCGACCGCGCGCCCGGGGCCGCCCCGCGCCCCGCCACCCTGCTCGGCTGCCTGCTGCTGCTGGGGCTGGCCGCCCGCCTGGGCCGCTGAGCCCCGCCCGGAGGACGCTCCCCGCACCCGGAGGCCGGGGGTCCCGGGGTCCCGGGGCGGGGCCGGCGTCCGAGGCCGGGCGGTGAGAAGGGTGCGGCCCGAGGTGCTCCCAGGTGCTACTCAGCAGGGCCCCCCGCCCGGCCCGCGCTCCCGCCCGCACTGCCCTCCCCCCGCAGCAGGGGCGCCTTGGGACTCCGGTCCCCGCGCCTGCGATTTGGTTTCGTTTTTCTTTTGTATTATCCGCCGCCCAGTTCCTTTTTTGTCTTTCTCTCTCTCTCTTTTTTTTTTTTTTTTTCTGGCGGTGAGCCAGAGGGTCGGGAGAAACGCTGCTCGCCCCACACCCCGTCCTGCCTCCCACCACACTTACACACACGGGACTGTGGCCGACACCCCCTGGCCTGTGCCAGGCTCACGGGCGGCGGCGGACCCCGACCTCCAGTTGCCTACAATTCCAGTCGCTGACTTGGTCCTGTTTTCTATTCTTTATTTTTCCTGCAACCCACCAGACCCCAGGCCTCACCGGAGGCCCGGTGACCACGGAACTCACCGTCTGGGGGAGGAGGAGAGAAGGAAGGGGTGGGGGGCCTGGAAACTTCGTTCTGTAGAGAACTATTTTTGTTTGTATTCACTGTCCCCTGCAAGGGGGACGGGGCGGGAGCACTGGTCACCGCGGGGGCCGATGGTGGAGAATCCGAGGAGTAAAGAGTTTGCTCACTGCTGCCTCCACGGCCTGTTTTCTTTCTGTGTTGGGGACGGTGGGCAGGTGTGGGGCTTACAGAGGAATCCACAACACAGCCTTAAAGAAACGGTTTCCCTACTGGGGCCACCATTTCCCTGGGCCTTTCTGTGGATTCCAGCAGGCAGTGCCCCCTCCCCGCAGGCTTGGCTGGCAGAGTTTTCCACCCCGCGGCCAGGCTGCAGGTGCCCCACCTGTTAGGAGCCTCCCCACACTGAAAGGCTGCCTCCCTCCTTTCCCAAAAAAGAAATCCGGAGTGTATTGGCCCTTTTCTACAGAAGTCCAAGGGAAATGACTCAGGGAGAATCCTAGCAGAGGTTGAATCCAATGCTCTGATTTATACTGTGTCTCGGTGGCCACCTCCGATGGATGTGTCATCTCAGACCTGTTGCAGCCGGAGCCTCAAGTCCAATATCAGATGAAGCTGAACCCACAATTCGGCCACCGCCTCCTTCCAGAGTTTCAGATGGCCAGGTGGGCAGAGGCGGGCAGTGCAGAGACCCCAGACGTGCCGGCCCTGTCCTCCCTACCTTCTCAAGATTAGGAAGGGGTGCTGGAGGGGACAGGGGCAGCTTGGGAGTGGTGAGGAAGCTCCTAGATTCGGGGCTCATCCCCTGGGGCCTCTGATTCAGAGGATCCAGCAGTTCTCCCATCTCCGCTTGGTGTCTCCAGCCCTGGGGCCACACTTCCCCCTCGGTCCAGCCTCCTGTCCACCTATGTTTATTTCAGAGCAGTGCCGGGGGTCCGGTCCTGGTTGCTAACTGCTGCCACTGCTCCACCTGCAGGTGCTCCCAGCACTGGCTTCTGCCACCACACCTGTTCTTTCCCAGCTGCGAGGTTTAGACCTGGGTCCTTCCCTTGAGTCCCCAAAGCTAAGCTAAGACCAAGTGGAACAAACTTGGCCTTGGGGACAGCAGGAGATTACAACACAGAAAAGGAGGGGGAGGCACAACGGGACACTGCATAGGACTCACAGTGTCCCGAGCCCACACACCAGCCCCTCCTGGCCTCCTCTCTCTGCTCCCACCCCCAGCACCCTGCTGACCCGGAAGTGCCTTCCGACAGGCCCTGCATCCTCCTGCAGCTGGCCCATCTCTACCCTCACATTCTTCCTTACGCACAGAACCCCACTGCCTGGGACCCAAAGTGCCCAGATAAAATAAAACACCTCTCTGGGGCTTCTTGTGGATAGGAGTGGCCAGGGGACACAGCTCTGGGCAGTGAGATGTAAGCAGGACTGATGGGTGGGCTTCCAGAAAGTTCTTAAAAGTCATCCCTTCCTCCACGCCCCACAAAGCCTCAGTTGTCCAAGTTTGTGGCTCTGGTTTTTCTCTCTCATCCCTCCCTCTGCTCTTCAGTCAGCAGGATGGGGAAGGAGCCTTCTTGAGACACTGAGCATAACAGTGTCACCCTCAGGATAGTGAAGGGTGGAGCCGGGGGTGGAAGTTGCAGAGCCTGGGACACCTGCCTTGGCTGCAACCTCTGCACTGCTTTTATTTATCTACTTATTTTTATAGAGTTGAGGTCTCACTATGTTGCCCAGGCTGGTCTCAAACTCCTAGGCTCAAGTGAGCCTCCGGCCTTGGCCTCCCGAAGTGCTGAGATTACAGGCATGAGCCACCGCACCACCTGCCTGTCTTACTGTGTGAGAAAAAAAATAAACGGTGATGTGATTAAAACACTAGAATTTGGGTTTTCTGTTCCATGCACACTTTCCAAGTTCTTGGCCCTGCCTGATTGGCATCCGGGCCCCCTGAGCCCTCTAAGGCCAGAGAGAGACTGAAACCCACCCTTCCTTGGCCGCAGCCCCCCATGGTGACCCTCAAGTCACCAGGAAGAGGAATGTCCATGACTCAGGCCGAGGAGTCCACCTCTGTCCAGAACAGGACTGCCCCTGCCTTCTAGTGAGCACAGGGCAGCTGAGCAGAACTCACCCCAGAGAAACAGCAGCGCTGGCCGCAGTCGGTAAACAGCAGGCATTTCCTCCTAGTCATCAAGATGATAAAATGTCACCTAGAAGCAGAACTAGAGGCAGAACTTGAGACAGGGACAGCAGGGCCCAGCCCCAGTGGCCAGCCCTGGCCGGATCCACGAGGCTGGGGGCCCTGGAGCGTCAATGACATCCCAGCACTGTTCTTGTCTGGAGGCAAGTGGGCCACCCTCTGTCAGGCACCAGTGCCAGGCTGGCATGGGGGCTGCAGTAGAAGCCCCTGGTGCAGAAGGTGGGCGGCTGGGGGCTGTGAAGAGGCCCACACGGTGGTGCAGAGGGCATGCCTCTTTATGTCACCCTGGGTGTGTCCCCGAACACCCTCGAGGGGTCTGGGAGGTGGGGGGCCTCTGTGGGCAGTCACTCTGTCCTCCTTGACCTCCGTCAGCTGGGCCCACACTGCGTCAGCTTTTCTGGCACCGGCCTGTGCATTCAGGGCTGGGGAGGTGGAGCTCTTTGTAAATCAGAATGGCAGCCCCAGTCCCCGGGGACACACTCAGGCCCTGACCTCCCCGGAGGGTGGAGGGAATGTTGCCAGTGGCCATTTGGAAAAACTCTGACATCTTCCAGGCAGCAGGAGGAGAAAACGAGGTCAGCAGAGCCAAAAGTCCTAGGCCATCCTCTTTTCAAATGGCACACCCTTGTCCCCAGAGCTCATATTTTGACACCTGGTTCTGGGAGGTGAGGAGGAAAAGGCTCCCATTGTGCGCCTTGGATCATCATCACCGCATCCCCAGGCGCTGCGCTTACATTACTGCATCAACCCTCACCTGCACCCTAGGGCAAGGTTTTCAGCCTCAGCACCATTGACCTGGGGGGCTGGGTAATTCTCCATGGTAGGGCGTGGGGGCTGCCCTGTGCACGTGGGATGTGCAGCACCATCACTGGCTTCCATGTGGCACTTCAATGTGCACCGTCCCCAGTTGTTGCAACTCAAAGTGCCTCCAGTAATTGCCAAATTGGGGGCAAAATCGTCCTAGATTGAGACTCGCTGCCTCAGGAGGAAAGGATGGTCATGCCCATTTTACAGAGGGTAAGTGAAGGCTGGGAGAGGCAAAGTCACTTGCCTGGGGTCACAGTTTCTAAGAAGCAGAGAGGAGAGTTGAACCCAGGGCTGCCTGACTCCAGAGCCCAGTGTTTCACCCCCAGGCCAGGCAGCCCTGGGCAGGCATTGGGCATCCACTCCCCGGCGGGCGGCTGCAGCTGCCCCCCCACCTCCATGCCTCCAGCTGCCTGCCTCCTTTGGCGCCCACAGCCAGGTCAGGCTGAGCAAGGAACCCTGGGGAGCCCAGCTTCCTCTGAACCGCTCTGCTGTCAGGGGAAACGCCTCCCCTGGCCCTCTGCGGCAGCATGGCCTGTCCCCTGCCCCCACCCACTCCCCTAAATAAGCAGAATTGCTGCGTCGGCATTTCCTGCCCAGCTCATGCCTTACAGTTACGAGGCATTTATGGGAGCTTGGGGAGCAGCCAGCAGCATCTCCCGGCAGACCTGAGCCCGCCTCCCTGTCTCCCCAGGGGCCTGGTCCATCCCGGCACATCCCAGCCAGAAGAGTTAAGGGAAAGGCCCCAGGAAGAAAAACATTACTTATTTATTTTTCCGTTTAAACCACCTGTCACAACTTGTAGGAAAGTTCGAAAATACAGAAAAGCAAAATCATAATAATTTTTCTATTAAACTCACCCACAATTCTTCATCCAGAGCTAATAACTGTTAATACTTTTTTTTTTTTTTTTTGAGACGGAGTCTCGCTCTGTTGCCCTGGCTGGAGTGCAGTGGCACGATCTCGGTTCACCGCAACCTCCACCTCCTGGGCTCAAACCATCATCCCACCTCAGCCTCTGGAGTAGGGGGAACTGCAGCTGTGCACCACCACGTCCAGCTAATTTTTCATATTTTTGGTAGAGGCGGAGTTTTACTATGTTTTCCAGGCTAGTCTCGAATCCCTGGGCTCAAGCCATCCTCACTCCTCAGCCTTCCAAAGTGCTAGGATTACAGGTGTGAGCCACCACGTCCAGCATAACTGTTAATGTTTTCTGATAGATATTTCTAGTGTTTTTCCATAAAATAAAACCCACACTCAGACATCGCCCCCCACCCCTGCAATTGCTAAGCCCTAGCACTGAGGCTGGACATGCCTTATTTCAAGGGTCCCTTCAGTGATGCTGAGCGTGGGATCAATTAATATAATATGGCCATCTTACAGCTCCACATACCAGGGCTCTGAAAGCGTCCTGGCCAGGGACCTTAGCCACAAGCACCGAAACAAAACACCAGGTGATTTAAGAGGCAGAGGAGATTAAAGGATCACAGACCCCTCAGACACATGTCAGGAGAACAAGGTAAGAGTAGGGAAAGTGGGCCACGCGGTGGCTCACACCTGTAATCCCAGCACTTTGGGAGGCCAAGGCAGGCAGATCACCTGAGGTCAGGAGTTCGAGACCAGCCTGGCCAACATGGCGAAACCCCGTCTCTACTGAAAATATAAAAATTAGCCAGGCGTGGTGGTGGGCACCTGTAATCCCAGATACCTGGGAGGCTGAGGCAGGAGAATCCGTTGAACCTGGGAGGTGGAGGTTACAGTGAGCCGAGATCGCGCCACTGCACTCCAATCTGGGCAACAAAGCAAGACTCCGTCTCAAAAAAATAATAATAATAAAAATAAAAACTAGCTGGGTGTGGTGGCAGATGCCTATAGTCCCCCCCCCAACTTGGGAGGCTGAGGCAGGAGAATCCCTTGAACCCAGGAGACGGAGGTTGCAGTGAGCCGAGATCACGCCGCTGTACTCCAGCCCGGGCAAAGAGCAAGACTCCGTCTCAAAAAAACAAACAGCTGGGCTCAGTGGCTCATGCCTCTAATCCCAGCACTTTGGGAGGCTGAGGTGGGTGGATCACCTGAGGTCAGGAGTTCGAGACCAGCCTGACCAACATAGAGAAACCCCGTTTCTGCTAAAAATACAAAATTAGCTGGGCATGGTGGTGCATGCCTGTAATCCCAGCTACTCAGGAAGCTGAGGCAGGAGAATCGCTTGAACCTGGGAGGCAGAGGTTGCAGTGAGCTGAGATTGTGCCACTGCACTCCAGCCTGGGCAACAAGAGCAAAACTCCATCTCAAAAACAAACAAAAAAACAAAAAAGAGGAGGTAAAGTGGAGTCAGGAAGGGCACCCAGTATCCCGCCCAGGGTGGCTGGAGAGCCAGAGCTTCAGATGCTGCCTTGGGCGCTGCCCTGGGCACATCCCTCACCCCCAGGGCTACCCCCTGCTGGCCTCCCCACCACAGCCCCCACCACGCACCCGCACCCTCCAGTCCAGCATTTGCCACTCCAGCAAGGGGGGGTGGGCTCTGTTTCCTCAACCAGAGGAAGAAAACAAAGAAAGAATGTCCACCACGGAGCGGGTGTGTAAGTTGCCCGGGGTCGCACAGCCAGGAAGAGCCAGAGGCCAGGATTCAAATGCACTCTCTTGGGCAGGCTGCACAGCCCTGCACCTTTTTTTATTTTATTTTTTCCCTTTATTTATTTATCTTATTTATTTTTAACAACAATGGCCTCATCGTATACACATCCTTCTTTAGCCTGCTATATAAAACTTAGCACTGTATCTAGACTATCAAAGGAGGCCTTTTAAAATAAAAGAGAGGCCGGGCGTGGTGGCTCACGCCCACAATCCCAGCACTTTGGGAGGCCGAGGTGGATGGATCTCCTGAGGTCAGGAGTTCGAGACCAACCTGGCCAACAAGGTGAAACCCCCTTCTCTACTAAAAATATAAAAAATAGCTGGGCGTGGCTGCAGGTGCCTGTAATCCCAGCTACTCAGGGGGCTGAGGCAGGAGAATCGCTTGAACTCAGGAGGCAGAGGTTGCAGTGAGCTGAGATCATGCCATTGCACTCCAGCCTAGGTGACAAGAGTGAGACTCCATCTCAAAAATAATAATAATAATAAAAGAAAAAAGAAATGCAAGGCCAGGCACAGTGGCTCATGCCTGTAATCCTAACACTTTGGGAGTCCAAGGCGGGCGCATCACTTGAGGTCAGGACTTCCAGACTAGCCTGGCCAACATGGCAAAACCCCGTCTCTACTAAAAATACAAAAATTAGCTGGGCGTGGTGGCAGGTGCCTGTAATCCCAGCTACTCGGGAGGCTGAGGCAGGAGAATCGCTTGAACCCGGGAGGCGGAGGTCGCAGTGAGCCTAGATCATGCCACTGCACTCCTCTGGGTGACAGAGGGAGACTCCGTCTCAAAAAAAAACAAAAAGAAATGCAAAGCCCCACCTTTCATTTTTTGCCCAGCCTCTCACCCTCTTCCCCTCCCAGCCTGGGCCGGCTGGCAGTGGGACTCTGGCTCCCAGGGCAGGGGGTTGCCATGTACCCTTCTGACACCTCAGGGTCTGGCCCAGTGCCTGTGCTCCTGGTGGCACAGGAGACCTTGCTGCCCCACAGGGGCGGCCAGGTGGAGGCACCTGCGGCCAAAGTGCTCCAGATGGCTTCCAGCCAGAGGCTCTCTCCCTGGATGATGGAGCAGGTGGCCCTTGGGACCCAGCCAGGAGTAGCTGGAGTGAGGCCCAGAGTCCTGGGAGCTCGTGCCTTTCACTGCTGACCCAGTGCCCGCATTTCTGCCCCTGAAGGGGAGGGCAGCTCCTCAGGCAGAAGGACGGTGAGCTCTGGAACCTGATTTGGGCTTGAAGCTGTACCCCACACCTGCCAACTATACATCCTTGGGCAAGTTCCTCAGTCTCTCTGTGCCTTGGCCATCTCATCTGTGAAATGGGGATGTTAAAAATAGCGCCTGCAGGGTGGGGCCGTTGTGAGGAGTGAATGAGTTGAGCCGCGCAGTGTTTAGAACAGGGCCTGGCACCAAGTCAGCCATCCCTAAGTGTCAGCTGCTGTGATTGCTTTGTTTCCTCTGTGCCCCCTCCCCAAAACCTGCTAGGAGGGTTCAGGCTCACTCACACCTCCTTTCTCACTCATCATATTCCTGAGCACCTCAACGTGACCAGCCTGGCCCAGTGAACCAGACAGACACAGGCTCTGCCCTCCCGGAGCTCCCGGTGGGCCCCTCGCTGCCACCTGCCTTACACACCAGGCAGGATTGAGATTCTTTGTAATCTGCAGAGGGGCCCAAGCTTTTGTGCCAACAAGAAGGACCAGGAAGACTCCCGAAGCCCCTGCCCACCCCACCACCCTCACCTGGCCAAGCCCGGCCTGACTCAGCAGGCCCCAGAAACCTCGGTGCCTGTTCCTCAAACACCCGGACACCTCCTTCCCCTTTCCCCTCCTGCCCACAGAGGGCTTAAGATTGGGGATGGGGTTGTTTGGGGGGTAGGGGATGAGGGCAGAGGGAGGCTCACAGGACTGGGGAGGTGGGGCGTGAATGGGACAGTTGGGAACCAGGAAATGGAGTTTCCAGCGCCCTTCTAGCAGGCACAGCTGACTGTGCCACCTGCCTTCAGAGGTCTCCCCATGCCCAAGAAAGGACGCATGGGCCCCCTGGCTTGGCCCAGCAGGAACATGAGGGCCAGGCAGGGCCAATTCCCAAGAAGCTGAGCCTGCAAGGGACCCGTGGAGAAGATGGGCCTATAAGTTGAGGACGGGGCTCCTGGTGGCCCCCACAGCCCAGGCCAGGCTTGCAGTGCTGGGGAGTACAGGCCTGGACAATGCCTTTGACGGGGTGGCTTTGAGACCTGTGACTCGAGTTTTACACAGCCAGGCAGCGCTAACCCCGGAGACCAGGATCCCGACCTCTGGGTGTCAACACGGCGCCCCCTGCATTTCCAGGGCTAGGACAAGAGCACAGATGGAGGCTCCTGTACCACGTGTCTGGATATTTAAAGCCGCCCATCAAGCTGTTGAATAAAGTTCAGCCAGTCCTAGACAAGCAATCCCTTCACAGTGACCTGAAAGGCTGGGCTCAAATCTGTACCCTTGGACTCCTCCAGCTGTGGCCAGCACGTGGTGGGGTGGCTGGGCCTGGCTTCCCCAACCAGTCACCCTACCCAGGCTCTGATCCTGGGTGGCCTAGAAGGAGTGTGCAGGCTCTGGGGGGCACGCCCCTTAAGCCCATGGCGGGGTTGGGGAGGCCCTGAGCAGGGCTGGAGATACCCAGCCTCACCTCCTGGGGCCCCCTGGGGCCACAGAAGCTATCAGGCAGCCTCTGTGACCCCTCTTGGAAGACCGGCCACAAATACCCACAGTCCCATGGTGCACATAGGGGCAGAGCTCTGGGGTAGCAGGAAACCTATGAGTGGAGACATTTGGGCCCACCCCCAGCCAGCCAGCTGCCTGCTTGGCCAACGGCAAATGTGTACTGCTGTGCGTGCCACGCTGGACAGCCCTGTGCCAGCCACTGGGGCAGCCAAGGGAAGTCTTGAGTGAGAAGCAGCCTCAGTTCAGACTGACGTGTCAGGGGGACGTAAGCCCTGGTGTTGCTGGTTCTTTAGATCAGCATTTCCCTGGGGACAAGTTTCGTGGAAGACAATTTTCCGATAAATAATCAGAGTGGGGGATGGTTTTCAGGTGAAACTGTTCCATCTCAGATCATCAGGCATTAGATTCTCATAAGCAGCATGCAACCTAGATCCCTTGAATGCACAGTTGACAATAGGGTTCATGTCCTATGAATCTGGCAGGAGGTGGAGCTCAGGCAGTGATGCTCACTTGCCACTCGCCTCCTGCTGTGTGGCCCCATTCCTAGCAGGCCATGGACCGGTACTGGTCTGTGGCCTGGGGGTTGGGGACCCCTGCTCTAGATGTTTCAAGAAAAACCAGAAATCTCAAGTTTAATGTCAACCTTTGGATTTTCAAACATTGACAACTACCTTGTCTATCTTTAAAATCATGGGGACCAATTCTTCAAAAAGTCAAACAGAATTCACATAAGATCCAGCAGTTCTGCTCCTAGTACAGGTCCTCAAAGAATGGAAAGAAGGTATTCAAACAAAAGCTTGTACACAAATGCTCACAGTGGCACGATTCACAATAACCAAAGGCTACTGGGAAAACAGCACAAAAGCCACATTTGGGAAATAAATTGTCCATCAACTATCCATCAACTAATGAATGGATAAACAAAATGCTGTACAGCCACACAGTGGACTGTGATTCAGTCAGAAAAAGGCATGAAGCACTGATACACCTACGATGTGGGTGAACTTAAAAACATTATGCCGGCTGGGCGCGGTGGCTCACGCCTATAATCCCAGCACTTTGGGAGACCGAGGCAGGAGGATTACCTGAGGTCAGGAGTTCAAGACCTGTAGGGACCAGCCCTACAGGATCTGTGGGTTTTTCTCCCTGTGTGGAGAGATGAGAGATTGTAGTAATAAAGACACAAGACAAAGAGATAGAAGAAAAGACAGCTGGACCCGGTGGACCACTACCACCAAGACATGGAGACCGGTAGTGGCCCTGAATGCCTGCCTGCGCTGTTATTTATTGGATACAAAGCAAAAGGGGCAGGGTAAAGAGTGTGAGTCATCTCTAATGATTGATAAGGTCATGTGAGTCACGTGTCCACCGGATAGGGGGCCCTTCCCTGTTAGGTAGCCGAGGCAGAAAGAGAGAGGACAGCTTACATCATTATTTCTTCTATGCTCTTTTCAGAAAGATCAAAGACTTTAATACTTTCACTAATTTTGCCACTGCTATCTAGAGGGCAGAGCCAGGTGTACAGAGTGGAACATAAAAGTGAAACAGGAGAGTGACTGCTGAAGCACAGCATCACAGGGAGATGGTTAGGCCTCCGGATAACTGCGGGTGGGCCTGACATCAGTCAGGCCCTCCACGAGAGGTGGTGGAGCAGAGTCTTCTCTAAACTCTCCCGGGGAGAGGGAGACTCCCTTTCCCGGTCTGCTAAGTAGCGGGTGCTTTTCCTTGGCACTGACGCTACCGCTAGACCACGGTCCGCTTGGCAACGGGTGTCTTCCCAGACGCTGGCGTTACCGCTAGACCAAGGAGCCCTCTGGTGGCCCTGTCTGGGCATGACAGAGGGCTCACACGTCTTCTGGTCACTTCTCACCATGCACCTTTAGCTCGTATCTCTGTATGGCCTGGTTTTTCTTAGGTTATGATTGTAGAGCAAGGATTATTATAACATTGGAATGAAGAGTAATTGCTACAAACTAATGATTAATGATATTCATATATAATCATATCTATGATCTAGATCTAGTATAATTCTTGTTATTTTATATATTTTATTACACTGGAACAGCTCGTGCCCTTGGTCTCTTGCCTTGGCACCTGAGTGGCTTGCTGCCCACAAAGACCAGCCTGGCCAACATGGTGAAACCCCATCTCTACTAAAAATACAAAAGATTAGCCAGGGGTGGTGGTGGGTGTCTGTAATCCCAGCTACTTGGGAGGCTGAGGAAGGAGAATTGCTTGAACCCAGGAGGCAGAGGTTGCAGTGAGGTGAGATCGCACCATTGCACTCCAGCCTGGGTGACAGAGCAACACTCTGTCTGAAAAAATATATATATATATATATTACGCCACACGGAAGAAGCCAGACACAAAAGGTCAAAAAATGTATCATCCTTTTCTATGAAATGCCCAGAATAGGCAAATCCATGGGGACAGTAAGTAGACTGGTGTTCGCCAGGGGCTTGGGGAGGGGAGAAGGGGGAGTGCCTGCTTAATAGATACAAAAAATTAGCCAGGTGTGGTGGCTTATGCCTGTAATCCCAGCTACTTGGGAGGCTGAGACGGGAGAATCACTTGAACCTGGGAGGCAGAGGTTGCAATGAGCTGAGATTGCACCATTGTACTCCAGCCTCGGCAACAAGAGTGAAACTCTGCCTCAAAAAAAAAAAAGAAAAAAGAAAATTTGAAGTTTTTAGCCTCCAGTGTGGCAGCGGATTCAGGCAGGCTCATAGACAGATGCTCAAGGCACTGGTGAAGGACCTGTGGGCCACAGCGCACTCCCACGGCCGCGGAGTTTTACCCCACAGATGGCTGATTAATTACAAAGACGGGAAGCTTGTGGACACCCCCTGGAGCAAGTGACCAACTCAATGCCACCAATAACGGGACAAACATATTTTGTGCTCGTGATACAACAGCACAGGAAAGACACACCACCACTGACACAGTGTTCTTCCCCCAAATATGTAACCTGACTCTACGCACGAGGAAACAATCGGACAAACTCAGATAGTGAGGCGTTCTCTAAGATAACCGGCCTGCACTCCTCAACAATGCCCATACGTGTGCAGGAAGGCTTATGTTGGAAAAAATAATAGTAAAAACAAGAAAATAAATAAAAATGCCAATATTGTGAAAGACCAACAAAAAATAAAATAAAAAGGGAGTGGAGTTGTTCTGAATGAGGAAAACTAGATACAGGACAGCCACGCACAGTGCATGATTCTATGTTGGATCCAAATCAAATCCTTTTTAAAAAAAAAAATATAGCAATAGGCCAGGCACGGTGGCTCATGTCTGTAATCCAAGCACTTTGGGAGGCCGAGGTGCATGGATCACGAAGTCAGGAGTTCGAGACCAGCCTAGCCAATATGGTGAAAACCTGTCTCTCCTAAAAATACAAAAATTAGCCAGGCGTGGTGGCGTGTCCCTGTAATCCCAGATACTCAGGAGGCTGAGGCAGAAGAATCGCTTGAACCCGGGAGACGGAGGTTGCAGTGAGCCAAGATTGCGTCACTGCACTCCAGCCTGGGCGACAGAGTGAGACTCTGTCTCAAAAAAAAAAAACAAAAAAACAAAAAAAAAAATCAGCAATAAAGGACATCTTAGGACCATTGCAGAATTGTAACTATGGATGATATATTAGCTCGTGTTATTATATCAAGTTTAGATGTGATAATAGTGTTGTGATCATGTAGAAAAATGTCCTTATTCCAGCCGGGCGCGGTGGCTCACGCCTGTCATCCCAGCACTTCGGGAGGCCGAGGCGGGTGGATCACGAGGTCAGGAGATCGAGACCATCCTGGCTAACACGGTGAAACCCCGTCTCTACTAAAAAAATACAGAAAAATTAATCGGGCGTGGTGGCGGGCGCCTGTAGTCCCAGCTACTCCAGAGCCTGAGGCAGGAGAATGGCGTGAACCCGGGAGGCGGAGCTTGCAGTGAGTAGAGATCGCGCCACTGCACTCCAGCCTGGGAGACAGAGCGAGACTCCGTCTCAAAAAAAAAAAAAGGAAGAAAAATGTCCTTATTCCATAGAGATACATGGTGAAGTGTTTGGGAGTGGAATAGCATGACACCATAGCATACTTTCAGATTGCTCAATGAAAACTGAACACGTAGACAGAGGAGCTCATGACAGCCTGGGCAACATCACGAGACCCCGTCTCTAAAAAAAGAAAAAAAGAAACAAGGGAGTGCAATGTGGTGAGATTGGTGAATCTGGGCAATGGCTATTTAGATATTCCTTGTACTATTTCAACTTTTCTTTAAACTTAAAATTTTCAAAATAAAAATTTGGATAAGAAACAGGCCAGGCGCGGTGGCTTATACCTGTAATCCTAGCACTTTGGGAGGCTGAGGTGGGTGGACCACCTGAGGTCAGGAGTTTGAGACGAGCCTGGCCAACATGGCGAAAACCTGTCTCTATTAAAAGTACAAAAATTAGCCACATGTGATGACACATGCCTTTAATCCCAGCTCCCCAGGAGGCTGAGGCAGGAGAATCTCTGGATCCAGGGCAGCGGAGGCTGCAGTGAGCAGAGATTGTGCCACTGCAGTCCAGCCTGGGCGACAGAGTGAGACTCCATCTCAAAAGAAAACAAAAACAAAAATTAGCTGGGCCTGGTGGCAGGTGCCTGTAATCCCAGCTACTCAGGAGGCTGAGGCAAGAGAGTCACTGGAACCCTGGAGGCGGAGGTTGCAGTGAGCAGAGATTGTGCCACTGCACTCCAGCCTGGGTGACAGAGCAAGACTCTGTATCAAAAAAAAAAAAAAAGAAAGAAAGAAACAAAAAATGTTGAATGACTATTAATAGAGCTAGACTGATGTGGTTGCATTTATGAGAAGTGAGGAGAAAAATTCTATCCCTTCCACATACCATGCCCAAAAATAAATTCAAGTGGTTAAAGACATAAATGAGAAAAGTGAGGCTTTAAAACACTTAGGAGATTGATTAATTCAACTACATTAAAATAAAAACCAGCCAGGCGTGGTGGCTCACGCCTGTAATCCCAGCTACTTGGGAGGCTGAGGCATGACAATCTCTTGAACTTGGGAGGTGGAGGTTGCAGTAAGCCGAGATCACGCCACTCCATTCCAGCCTGGGCAACAGAGCGAGACTTCATCTCAAAAATAAAATAAAATAAAAACCTTCTGTACAACAAAAGACATCAGTAAAGAAGCACAAGCCACAGAGCAAGATAAAATATTGGAAATAAATGTGATACTTAAAAGATTAACATGGAAAATATTTGGAGAATTTTTCTTTTTTTTCTTTTTTTTGAAATGGAGTCTCACTCCGTTGCCCAGTCTGGAGTGCAGTGGTGCAATCTTGGCTCAGTGCAACCTCCACCTCCTGGGTTCAAGCAGTTCTCCTGCCTCAGCCTCCCAAGTAGCTGAGATTGCAGGTGCACGCCACCACACCCGGGTAATTTTTGTATTTTTAGTAGAGACAGGGTTTCACCATGTTGGCCAGGATGGTCTCCGACTCCTGACCTTGTGATCCACATGCCTCAGCCTCCCAAAGTGCTGGGATTACAGGTGTAAGCCACCGCGCCCGGCCAAGAGTGATCACCAAAGTAGTAAAATAGTGAAAAATGGAAACAACCCAAACACATAGGACCGAGAAGCTGGATGTGTGGCCCGCTCCCATGCTGGAATTCTCTAGCTCTTCCAATGAGTGAACTGCAGAGGAATCCTCACCCTGAGCCTGGCTGACACGTGGGACTGGATAACCCTGTCGTGGGGACTGTCCTGCCTATAGTAGGATGCTCAGCAGCACCCCTAGCCTCTACCCATGAGACGCCATAGCATCCTCCCGTGTGACAACCACAGATGTCTCTACATATTGTCAAATGTCCCCCTGAGGGGGCAGAATTGCCCAACTAAGAACCACATTAGACAGGGCACAGTGGCTCACGCCTGTAATCCTAGCACTTTGGGATGCCCAGGTGGGCGGATCACTTGGGGTCAGGAGTTCAAGACCAGCCTGGTCAACATGGTGAAACCCCGTCTCTACTAAAAATACAAAAATTAGCCGGGCGTGGTGGCAGCCGCCTGTAATCCTAGCTGTTCAGGAGGCTGAGGCAGGAGAATTGCTTGAACCTGGGAGGCGGAACCTGGGAGTAACCTGGGAATTGCTTGAACACGCCACTGCACTCCAGCCTGGGCAACAGAGCGAGACTCCGTCTCAAACAAACAAAAAGAACCACATTAGAGCCATATGAATCCTCATGGATAAATCTTAAAACATAGTGCTGGGTGGAAAATCTATATCACAGAAAGGTGGATGCAGTATAACACTTTTCATATGAGGGCTAAAAACACACCAAGAAAACATGATGGCTGCGCACATATGTAGTGAGGTCTCAGGCTCATGTCACTTCTGCAAAGGGAGAGAGGGACAGAGCATGCCACAGGGCTCCAACTGTATCTATAGTTCTTCATTTATTTCCTTAAAAAGTAAAAGATCTAAGGTAAAGAAACAGGAATGGTGGGTACAGGGTGTTCCTTATACTATTATTATCCTACTCTGTATGCGTGAAATAGCTCCCTTTAAAAAAATAACAGGAGGCCGAGATCGCGCCACTGCACTCCAGCCTGGGCGACAGACGAAGACGCCATCTCAAAAAACAAACAAAACAAACAAAGAAACAAACAGCTGCCTCAAAAACAGAAAAGATGACGAGAAGGAGAGGTCTTAGAACGCATCCTTATCTGAAGGACAGGATACAGTCTTGTTTTAGGAAACTCCAGCTGCTCTGTGTCATTGAAAGGGAAGAGGAGAGACCAGATGGTCCAAGTTCACCAAGGCACTGGGAAGGACCTGAGACTGACTGCAGGCCCTTCATGAAAGCAAAGCCTGGGTGTGTTATAACCGCCAGTCCCACTCTCCCACAGTGAGGTCCATCCCGGCAGGGGCTGAGTCCACCTTGACCACTGAGACAAACAGACCTCGTGATGGACTCAGTGTTTTTAAATTGTGGAGCTTGGACAGGGAGGGGCGAGATGGAGAACGAGGTATACACAAAAGAGAACAATGTGATGAGGGCATGAAGTGTGCTTACCAACCTTCCCTCACCCAGAGGCTGGAAGAGATTTTAGAGCTTAACAGAAAAAGAGTGGGAAAAGGACACTGCTGGGCAAAAGACATGAACTAAAGACTTCTCGGCTGTCCCCATCAGTGGCACGGTGGTCTCAGCAGTACCGATGTGGATACTCAAGAACGTGAGGCTACCGTGGAAATGCTTTGCTTAAACCACACGTGAGTTTCCAAGGAGTGAAGATCCCCAGGGAAAGCATCTAGGACCCTGCCGTGTTGGCCCAGCTCTGGGAAGTCAATCGACGTGGACCCCTTACTGTGTTAACTGCTAATCAGCCTTCTGTAAAAATGATATTGCAAATTCACCTGTAGCCGTCTATTTTGTTCTCTTGCTGGTGAGGAATAGGAACTGATGTAAATTGGTGAAGGTTTACTGGAGCCTGTAAGAAAATATTTTATGAAATTAAAAAAAAAAAAACACAAGAGGCCTGGTGTGGTGGCTCACGCCTGTAATCCTAGCACTTTGGGAGGCCGAGGTGGGTGGATCACGAGGTCAGGAACTCGAGACCAGGCTAATCAACATGGTGAAACCCTGTCTCTACTAAAAATACAAAAATTAGCCGGGCGTGGTGGCCCGTGCCTGTAATCCCAGTTACTCGGGAGGCTGAGGCAGGAGAATCGCTTGAACCTGGGAGGTGGAGGTTGCAGTGAGCCGAGATCGCGCCACTGCATTCCAGCTTGGGCGACAGAGCGAGACTCGGTCTCAACATAAAAAAATAAATAACAAGAAACATCACCTGTCTGCGGAAGGCGTACTGTGCTCTGGCCCTGGGAGCCGGCTAAGGGATGTGGGGCCAGGGTCAGAGTGTGGCAGATGGGCCTCTTCAGACAGGGACCAGCTTCCCCAGGGAGGCCTCCTAGCTGAGCCTGGTAAAAGGATGAAGAACATTCTAGGGGGCCAGGCTGGAGAGCCCAGGAATTGCAGACAGAAGTGAGCCAGGCAGGGGCACTCCACATGTGTGTGGGTGCGAGTGTATAATAAATAATGGCTGCAGGGTGAGCCCCAGTTCTGCTAAGGCAGGAGGCAGGGGAATGACTCTTACGGCTTCAGGGGTCTGAAGAGGGGCAGGGGGATGGGAGGCTGGTGATCCTAGTTCAGCAGTGGCAAAGCCGGTGTCTGAGGGAGCCTGGTGGGGGGGTGACCCTGGGTTTCTGCCTCCAGCCCTTTGAGAAGCATGGGCTTTGCGTGTCCTGTCTCTTGGGGTCACACGTGGGAGTTACTGAAGTGAAGGCCCAGGCACATCCGCCTAACAGGGGCGGGGCAGCTGCAGTCCCGCCCACGGCCACCGGGGGCGGTGTGTATGGTTCTCCGCACAAGCCGAGGAGCTGAAGAGCACGGGGAGGATGAAATCTTGCCCGCTCTGCTCTGGCCGTCTGGGTGCAGCTGCGTCCTCCTGGAGGCAGGAAGGGGCACCAGGCGGGCTAGCGTGCCACAGACCCACAGGTGAATGGGCCCACAGCCCAAGTCCTCACCAATGCTCTCCTAAGCAAAGGGAAAGTATCCAGGGAACCTCGGGGTGTTGTTAGGGTTAATGTTTACGAAAGGCTTCGAAGAGGGGCCGGGCGCGGTGGCTCACACCTGTAATCCCAGCACTTTGGGAGGCCGAGGCAGGCGGATCACCTGAGGTCAGCAGTTCGAGACCAGCCTGGCCAACATGGTGAAACCCCGTCTCTACTAAAAATACAAAAATTAGCCGGGCATGGTGGTGGGAATCCGTAATCTCAGCTACTAGGGAGCCTGAGGCAGGAGAATCACCTGAACCCGGGAGGCGGAGGTTGCAGTGAGCCGAGATTGCACCACTGCACTCCAGCCTGGGTGACAGAGCAAAACTCCGTCTCAAAAAAACAAACACCAAACAAACAAAACACCACAAGAATACCAAGGGCTGCATCCCCAAACCAGTAAATCAGTAATGCTAGGATGGATCCCAGGCAATCAGAATTTTTTTTTTTTTTTTTTTTTTTTTTTTTGGTTGTTGTTGTTTGGGACAGTCTTGCTCTGTCACCCAGGATGGAGTGCAGTGGCACAATCTCTACTCACTGCAACCTCCGCCTCCTGGGTTCAAGCGACTCTCCTGCCTCAGACTCCCAAGTAGCTGGGATTACAGGCGCCCACCACCACACCCGGTTATTTTGTGTTTTTAGTAGAGACGGGGTTTCACCATGTTGGCCAGGCTGGTCTCGAACTCCTGACCTCGGGTGATCCGCCAGCCTCGGCCTCCCAAAGTGCTGGGATTACAGGGATGATCTGCCGCACCCGACCTCAGAATTTTTTTTAAAAGCCCCCAAGTGAGCCCAATGTGCTCCCTAAGGTTAAAAACTCAAGGCTGAAAACTACCAATCTGACAATTCTGTTGCAATGCTGCTTGAAAACAAAGATAACTGTGTCTACTGAGCTGACAGGACAGCAACAGAGTTCCTCCTCCTGCAGTTTCAAACACCCAAACTACGAATATGCCATTTCTGCCATTTGACTTGGCAAATGCCTTCTGTGTAGTAGGACAGGGTGACGATAACTCACGTCTTTGGAGTCATGGAGGGATCCCTTGTGTACAGAAACTGCCTTTGTGGTGCTGTACAACATTATCAATTCTATTTGAGCTGAGGCTAAATTTTAGTTTCGTCCCTCAATTATTTATTCCTCAATGAATGGTGAAACCCAGGAGGTGGGGGCGATTGTGGGGGCGGATGGGTCAGGAAAGAGATGTCTGGTGACTTCAAAAACCATCACTAAGGCTGCTGCATAACCAATTCCACAAATGACCACCATGCAGCACTCATCTCTCGCCAGGCCATTGGGCAAATTTATTACTCCCCCTAAGTCCCAAACACACCATTTTACCCTCCCTGGTAATTTGTGTATGCATACTGAACAAGCCAAGCAGGCCAAGTGGGCTGTGTGCACACACTTCTGGGTACAGAAGGAGACACAGAGGCGGAGGTCAAGTGCCTTTTAACAGGCACAAGTGTGGGGAAGCTGACTACATTTCCTGAAGTTTATTGTTTTATAAAGTGTGTTCCACTTCCATAACCATCAGCAATTACCCCTGGCAAGGGCAATTCTACCCTGTCCCTCCACCAGTGCTTCTGGCAGCTCCTTTCACGGGTCACTGTTCATCTGTTCCTCCTATCTCACCTCCACCCCAATTCCAGCCTAATGATCAGCACATATTTCTGTTGGACCAAACTTCAGTCTGTAACTAAACAGCACAGCTGGCCTCAATGCACCTCATTACTGTACAGAGAAGATTCCAAAAGGAGCTAGGAAGGAGGGCCGGGCTGGATAATGAAACTTTTTATATCTGAATTGCACAAATCCCCACCAAGTAATTTCAGCATAAAGCAAACCAAATGGCAGACGAAATGATGTTAGTACCTTGTAGTTTACTTCATAATACATAACCTCTAATCCATGTCCATCTTCTTGTTTCTGCTTTTAATTCTGCCATTTCCTCTTAAAATTTAGGGTTTAACAAAGACAACAGGGCTGTTTGCCAAATCGCAGCTATTAATTCACAGCATAGAAAAGTCAAAGCTATAGCAAAAAATTGCTAATCTGCACAACTTTAAAAAATAGTTCAGTACATTTTTGTTATAAAATTCATTTACAGGAGGTTATTCACATGTACTTGTCAAATTTACTCCTGATAATTCACAAAAACATACAACTCAACAAACTGTGCACAATAAATCCAAGGCAAATTATATACAAAGAAACAAAACAAGCTTTTAAGTAGCACATATTCATTTGAAATAACTAATATTGAAAGAAGACAGGGAACTTTCTTTTAATGCCATGGCAAAGACGAAGCGAAGAGCCACACTTCACACCTTGTAAAAAGAATAGCCCTGTTCAACAACGCTGCGCTGACAGCCACATCAGGAGGGGCCACGGTGAACATAGGAAATGGCTTTGGCAAATACTTGTACCAACTGGAACGAGTGAAGTTTCAAAAGTAATGTGAGGTACAACTGCATTCCGCTGTGAAAGGCCGTCACAGGACACAGGCTCGTCTGTTAGAAAGGATGATCTAGTTCTACCATTAATTCTTGCAGAATCAGATCTGCTGAGTGGTGAACCAACAGGTGAACACAACGTAAGAACAGGCATCAAACTTCACTGGAAATAATATTGTTCAGTGTGTGGCGGCAAAATATGCATTTTAGAGAAAACTTATTTCTCAAATCATGTGTTAATAGTATTAACATGAGCAGCGTGAGAGACATCCTGACCCCAACGTTTTTGCCATGCCTCCCTTTAGAAGCTTAGGAGTTTGTACATTCCCTAAGTGGTCAGCACTACAAGTGTCTGCTAAAATGGGCACTTCATCAAGATAACAGGAAAGCAAACTTAAAGTAACGAGATTTCTTCCCAAAGGCACATGGAAGAAGCTGATAGAGCCCTTGACCCAGACAGAATGGGACCCATCCCTACCCGTCCTGAACTGTCGCACACTGCATGGCCAAAGACAAACTCTCCACCCCCACAGAGGAAGCAGTGGCTGACTCTGGGGACAAAGCACTCCAGGAAGTCACCTGCTCCCTGGGTTTCAGGAGTATTCAGTTGACCGTCTGGACACCAGTGAGGGAGACACAGGTAATGAAATCAAATGCTCAAACTTTTGGCAACCGAAAGTTGTTTTTTAAAGCTCTTTATAATCTGCTCAAGTAGAATTTCTAACACAAAACCCTTTTTTGCTTAAAAAGCAGATGACAAAGGAAATGTCAAATAATGCACATGAATCTTCAGCTATTTTCCTACCCCCAAATGAGATATGGGGCTGCACAGCATTCACTACAGATCCCTAGTTTTTACAACTGTCAACTGTACATTCTCATGTTTAGGATACTCCAGTTCACTGCGTGGATATTTGGAAAACTGGACAAAATCAGGCAGCCCACCCCTCCCTTGTCCCGAGCTTCCTCGATCTCCATTCACCATGACCAATTTTTTCCCCCACAAAAGCACTATCACCTCTAATAGTAGCTGGAAACACCTATCAGATATTCTAAACAGCATGTATTTTTACCAGGTAGATGATTTCTGAAGATCACAGGAAGTCTACCACTCTCTTCCCAGTTCTGAACTCCTCTGGTTACGCTTCATTTTAAATCGGGTGCTTCTTTCCCGCCCAAAATATTCTATTTGGCCTGCCCCAGTGGTTCCCAAGCTGCCTGGTGATCAGAATCCCTTGGGAAATGTTGAACACACAGCTTCCCAGGCTTTCTGGAAAACTAGTTAGATCTGTCTGACAATCTGTAAGCTGAGGCGATTCTTCCACAGCTGACCCAGCGCTAATCTAGCATTTGGCAACCAAATGTCTGTACCTCACCAGTCACACAAGGCTCACAATATGCTGGGAGCATTTGAATGATAGCTCAAGAATTATTCTTTCACTCCATATTCTTCTCTCTCAAGAAGATTAGGAATTTTAGCTAGGGAACTATGTGCATACTGAAACAGGTAAATGAACTCATCACAGAAATATAATACCCTGGGCCAATGCACTCTATCTAAAAATGCACCATGTCAGCAAGACTTTACCTAACATAACCGTGCTGCCCAAAGTGTCCCCTAGGAGACTCCAGGTTTTTGGGGGGGTTTTTGCTTTTTTTAATAGAGCCAGAGACACCTGACCCACCAGCACTAACTCAGCTTATTCCAAGCTAGGCTGTTAAATAATTATCTGTCTTGCTCTAACAATGGTTGAAAGGACCCGCCCTCCTCCCATCTTTTTTTTTTTGGTAATATAAAGTTTGTTCTGTTGAAAACTGATTAACATTTTAAACAGGGGGAAAGAAAAGCGGTCTACTAGATTAAATTTTAAAAGGATTTTGTTATTTGCTATACAAATATACATTTCAACTTTTACAACATTCACTCCAGTCTGACCTCCTTGTCTATAGAAGACTAAGAGATCAACATTTCCAGTCTCTGACTTCAAGGACATTATTACGGATACACAATGCCCTCTGAAAGCTTTTGCAAATGACAGAAAATACTGAAGATGACCAGAGGCTCAGGTGTTAAGGATGCATTTTCCATGTTTTCCAACAGCACACAAACTCCTTACAAAAAACAAGCTTATCTAGATGGTCCCACGAGCTGGTCATCTTCAGTTTACAATATGCTGTGGCTGCTGGCCCATGTCACTGGGCTTTCCTATAAAAGCTTTCTTTTCTTGGAACTGCTGTCCTCCTGCTCCAGTGTCCTCTTGTCCCACCTAGAGTTCCTCCTGGTGTGATGGGTCTCGGAACCACACTTCTCCTGCTCCCCTTCACTGAAAGCCCTGGCCTCTCTCCTGTGACAGAGCTCCTCTTCCGGGTCATCACATTTGCTCTGACACGTGGAAGCCTCGGGACTGGCAGCTGGAGGTTCGCCCCGCACGGGAGGTTTGTGGCTGCTCAGAGCAGCCACTACAGCAGCGGGCTGCTGTATATGGCTCAGGTCCTGGTGAACGACAGGGAAGCCCGGCTCGCCCGTAGGAGGTGTTGCTCCAGGATGCTGGGGGCTCGAGGGTTGTGGATCCCAAAGGAATATTCCTCCTTTGACCTCAATGCCCATCCTCTTCAGCAGTCGTGGGTCCTGAAGTTGGTCATGAACAGGAGGTCTTTCAGGGTCCTTTGAAGTAACAGTAAGAGTAATTTCCTTGGAGTCAGAGGGTGTGTGGTATAGAGAAGCAGCAACAGATGTCTTGGCAAATCCACTGTCTAGCTTGCTGCTGGGCAAACCACCCTGGGGTCTGGACCCCTCTGGGGCTATGGTAGGAGGGTGAGTGAGACTTCTCTGCAGCACAGGCTTGAGTTTCAGAATCTTCACTGCATCATGTCTATAGTTTTTGTCACAGGTCTTAATAATGGCACCACGCTTCTGAGCATCCTGAATCAGCTGATTCCAATGCTGGTTTTCCTTGAAACAATGAGAAGGGAGAAATAATTACACCCCAAAGAGACACTGCTTGGGAAGCATAGAGTTCCAGCTTTCATTTCTGAACAAATAATACATATTATTGTATGAACATATTCTCAAGATTCATTACTCGTCAGACAAGGATGAAAGGAAAAAATAAATTCAAATAAAAAATGATAAAGTCCCATTCCTAAAAATAAGACCTGGTCACAACCTATAATGGAGAACTTCAACTTTTGTTTTTTTTTTTTTTTTTTTTGAGACAGAGACTCACTCTGTTGCCAGGCTGGAGTGCAGTGGCGCGATCTTGGCTCACTGCAACCTCCACCTCCCGGGTTCACGCCATTCTCCTGCCTCAACCTCCCGAGTAGCTGGGACTACAGGCACCCGCCACCACGCCCGGCTAATTTTTTGTATTTTTAGTAGAGACGGGGTTTCATCATGTTAGCCAAGATGGTCTCGATCTCCTGACCTCATGATCCGCCCGCCTCAGCTCCCAAAGTGCTGGGATTACAGGCAGGAGCCACCGTGCCTGGCCGAACTTCAGCCATTTTTATCAGTGCATTCAACTGCAACGCAGGTCTGCACTAGTCACTAGGAGCATCATGTTGCTATTTATATTTCAATAAATTAAAATAAAAAATTCTGTTCCTAAATTGCATCAGCCACATTTCAAGTACACAGCGGTCACACACGACTAATGGCTATTGTACTGAGCAGTGCAGACACAAAACATTTCCGTTATCACAGAAAGGTCCTTTGGACATTGGTGATCTAGAGTACTGCCTACACCTCTTGGCAGGGCTAACGTTCTGAAACAGGAAGGTCTGGTTTCAGAAAGCAAACTTCTGAGTGCATGTGACTATTCTAGAAAAAGGCCCAAGGCTTTCACTGGATTTCTAAAGGCCTCCCAAACCCCGAATGGCTAAAACATCTTCATCCACCGAGATCTCAAGATATCATCTCACTTTCTGCCTGTTTCCTACAGGAGCTTAAGATATTAAATCCCATCGGGAAAGTTGCCAAACACATGCACCTCTCCTCTCTTCCCGAGTTTCTTCAGAGGAGGCTGCTGCTTTACAACCACTAGAATTCGGGTCTCTTTAGAAAGAAGAAAGAAAAGAAGAAAAAGGATAGCTACCCTCTCATGGGGGCTCCTGTACTGTTCATAAAGGTATGTTAGGGAAGCAGTGAGGCTGCACAGTATTTACTTGCTGTGTGACCTTGGTCAAGTCACTTGACCTCTCTGAGCCTGTTTCCTCATCTGTAAAATAGGAGTAATATTTTATTTAATGGATTCTAAAGTGCACGTTGCTTTCACATTTTAGCATTTCTGACCTTGGGGAGCCTCTTGGCCATGTACCTATCCTTGGAAATTACATGATGAGGCAATTATAACCCTTAGACTTTTAGTCAATAAACCATTTAAAAATAATGCCTGAAAACCTTCTACAGACATTTTCTGATAAGACAAGATAACACCAGCATTAAAACTTATGCACTGGGCCAGGTGCAGTGGCTCATGCCTGTAATCCTAACACTTTGGGAGGCTGAGGCGGGCGGATCACCTGAGGTCAGAGGTTCAAGACGAGCCTGGGCAACATGGTGAAACCCCGTCTCTACTAAAAATACAAAAATTAGCCAAGTGTAGTGGTGCACAGCTATAATCCCAGGTACTTGAGATGCTAAGGCATGAGAATCGCCTGAACCCAGGAGGCGGACGTTGCAGTGAGCTGAGATTGTGCCACTGCACTCCAGCCTGGGCAACAAGGTGAGGCTCTGTCTCAAAAAAAAACCCCCAAAAAAACCTTATACACTGGAGATAAAGGGTTCTAAGAAATCCTGGAGACAATGGTGTAACTCTTAGCAAATGCTAAATTGCCAACCTTATTATTGCACTTGGGATGAATGACAACACTGATGACTATGGATTGGGAAGTGATTCATTCGTGCTAAATTCTGAAAGTGAAATATTTTTAGGAATATCTTAACCTATTATTTTACTTGTATTTTCTATGTATGGATAAGAATATGGTAAAAATCTGTCTAAAGTCTTAAGAGTCCTTTCAATAAATATGAAAGTTCTAAGTGAAAATAAGGCACTGTGTCATAGTCTAATAATGGTACATAAAATAGTGGTGTATATTATAATGAATGGTTTCTTGAATTTGATGAACTATGGTAATAAGCTGACTTCACAGTAGTTTTTCAAGGTTTGGAGAAAGTCATGTGACCAGAATAAAATGCTTGGCCCGGTGGCTGGCATACTGAAGACAGGTCTGTGGAGGGAGCGCCAGGCTCTGGGGGCTCAGTTCTCTTTCTCACTCAGATCTCTAGAGATCCTTAGCCTGTGGCTCAAACACATATGTGAAGCAGATGGCCTTGCAATTTTTGCTAAGTTCACTACACCTAAACTTGGTGTTTAATCCATTCCTAAGATCACAGAAACAGTTCTGAGCAGGCACTATTAGCCTTGGTTTCTCAGAGGAAATCAAACGCTTTAATGATTGATCCCATTCCCATAAGGGGAACTAGGCTAAAAACTTAGAAACAAAAGCAAATGAATCCCCAAAACAACAAAGAAAAAGCCCAAGGACAAAAAAAGTTAGGAAGCCCAGCTGACATGTCGGGAAGTTTCAGATTCTCGTCTGTCTCTTTTTGTAGCACTGCCTTCCTAGAGTGAAGACAATGTCGGTGCCATTAGCTGGAGGTCAGTGGTCTGCACAGTTGTGCAAGTGTGACCCAGGGGCTCCCAAACACTGTCTAAACGGAATGTGAAAAAGGGTTACAGAATAACCTTGCAAACCCTACTTCCCATGTCCTCCTTGGGCTGCCCTGCCTCCTGCACCCCACCCTTCACAATCATGATGCGCCTCATCCATCCAGAGTGCACTGCCAAGACACATCAACACCATGAGGTGCCAACTTAAGGGAGGATGAAAAACAGTAGTGCCCACAAAGCCTCCTTTAATCAAGGCATCACTAAAAGATGTATCTCTAGCAACATTTCATTTACTTGTCAGGTTTAAACATGATCAAAATCTGTGATATTAAATATATTTGTCTTGTTTTGCTCAACTGTACAAATAAGTGTTAACAGGCTATTCAATTGATAAGAGATCACGTTTTAACACTCAGATGCTTATGGTCACAGGAAAAGCAATTTTTAAAAATCCAAACCTACATTTTGAGATAACTATAGATTTACAGGAAGTTGCAAGGAAAGTACTGAGAGGTTGCATGCACCCTTCACATGGGTTCCCCAAATAGTGATAAAAATCAACTTTTTAGGCCGAGGTGGGATGACTTTAGCCCAGGAGTTTGAGACCAGCCTGGACAACATGGTAAGACCCTTTCTCTACTAAAAGTACAAAAATTAGGTACATGCGCCTATAGTCTCAGCTACTCAGGAGGCTGAGGTGGGAGAACGGCTTAAATCCAGGAGGCGGAGGCTGCAGTGAGCTGTGATTGTGCCACTGCACTCCCGCCAGGGGAAAACAACTTTTTAAACTTTCAAGTTATACAGAAATTTTTGTGAGAGAGGTGTAGATCAGTGAGATTAACTTAAAGGCTTTTAATTCTAAAAAGAGATTACCCCAGTGAATCTTAGCCTAAACAAGCAGGAATGGAAGTACAATTTCAAAGAGAGGAAAAAATAAAATAATATTGCTTTCTATTCCACTGGATATATTTAAGAGTGATGTAATAATTTTAATTGCTGTATTTTAAAATGTCAATATTGATAATACATCAGAAGCATAATCTTCAGTAATATTTAAACTTACAAAGATTTTTTCTATCAACTTAAAAATAGGAGGTACATAAAAATAAACGGTACACAGCTTTTAAAACTTCCTTCAGAGCAGGCACACAGACGACAAAGGCTGGAGGTGATAGAGGAGTGAAACAAGAAAGAAGGTGTATCTGAGCGCCACCTGGTGGCAGGAACCAAAACCAGGGGAAACAGCCACCAAGTTGGCTCTTCTTAGATGAAATCAATGACTTCATAAAAAAGAGAAATGAGGAAAACTACAAAGTTATTACCCCTAATAAGACAAACAGCAAATACGTGCTACATCTAGCTGTGATATCAGTGAATTAAGCTGTACCATTTGTCTACTGAAGTTGGAAACTCGTACACCTCTTCCAGAGGGGCGCCTGTCCTGGCAGAAGAATGCCGGAGGCGCTAAGTGCTGGAGAAACAGAGTGAGCAGCACAGCTCCCAGTGCCAGCAGAAAAGCAGAGCAGAGCACGCGCCTGCAAACTCTCTCTGGCATTAAGCTGGGCCAATAACAGCCACATTTACTGAGTGTTTACTAAGTGCCAAGCAATTGCTTTGGCACTTTACATCTGTGGGTTTAATATACCTTCTTAACAATAATCCTATGATGTGGATAATTTGTTTTAAAATGGTCACCTTGAGAGCCCAGTGTAGATACTTGGGTTCTGGGCTGAAAAAAGGCGAATGGTTCACGTGTACACAAAAGCTCCTAGGAAGAAGTTGCTGGAAAACATAACAACCATTATTTTGTAATCCAGAAATCATTTACACTTTGATGGAAAATAAGAACAAAAACTCAATCCAACAACAGTAACAATGGGTAAACTTCTGAGCTCTCTGGTACCTACCATCAGGGTCCTCAAATGTCCGAGGATGAAGAGGCTGTACTTGGCTCGTGTGATGGTGACATTCAATCTCTGCAAACTTGCCAGGAATCTAGGCAATAAAAAAAGAGTTCCTTCTTTGTCTAGAATGACTTAACATGCCCATGTGAGACAAAGGTGGACTCTAGAATGACTCAACGTGCCCGTGTCTGACAGAGGTGGAATCTTGAATGACTCAGTGAGCCCGAGACACAGGTGGACTCTAGAATGACTCAGCGTGCCCGTGTGAGACACAGGTGGATTCTAGAATGACTCAGCATCCTCATGTGAGACACAGGTGGACTCTAGAATGACTCAGCGTGCCCGTGTGAGACACAGGTGGACTCTAGAATGACTCAGCATCCTCATGTGAGACACAGGTGGACTCTAGAATGACTCAGCGTGCCCGTGTGAGACACAGGTGGACTCTAGAATGACTCAGCATCCTCATGTGAGACACAGGTGGACTCTAGAATGACTCAGCGTGCCCGTGTGAGACACAGGTGGACTCTAGAATGACTCAGCATCCTCATGTGAGACACAGGTGGACTCTAGAATGACTCAGCGTGCCCATGTGAGACACAGGTGGACTCTACAATGACTCAGTATGCCCATGTGAGACACAGGTGGACTCTAGAATGACTCAGCGTGCCCATGTGAGACACAGGTAGACTCTAGAATGACTCAGCGTGCCCGTGTGAGACACAGGTGGACTCTAGACTCAGCATGCCCATGTGAGACACAGATGGACTCTAGAATGACTCAGCATGCCAGTGAGACACAGGTGAACTCTAGAATGACTCAGCATGCCCATGTGAGACACAGGTGGACTGCAGGCAGCTTTTCCGGGACTCCTTCACTCCTCTAGAAGTCACAGTGCTTTCTTACTCTCCGTCCCAATACAGGGTACCGGGCACAGAAGAATTCCTATTAAAAACAGGAAACAAACCAAAACCTCGGGGCTTCCTTCAAAGTGATGCATCTATCAATTTCCTATTTTTACCTGGATAAGATAATTGGAAATTTTAACAGTGCAATCTTGAAGCCTTGAAAAATCCTAAAAATGTGGTACCAGCCTAATCACTTTATTCTTACATTTAAATATATCTAGACTGTTAAGATATTGTAGAACTAGTGTAGAAATACATGAACACCAGATAAATATTTCAGTAGATCAGAAAAAGAGCTCAGAAATAGAATTGATGTATGATAAAAGTGAAATTTCAAATTAGCTGGGAAAGAAAGGTCTATTTATAAACTGACCCTGAGATACAACTGGGCTCTGTATATGCAGCCCATCCCAGGGAGGGGCAAAGATTACTTTAATTACTATTTTATTTGAAAACGAACTAATTTATAACCTGTAAATTCTGTCTGCTTCTCATGACAAGAAACAAATAATCATGTAAGAGTCTTGGGCTTGGGATATTTTCTGTCACTCATACAGGTGTCCTTAGCATCTTAAATAAACTGACAGTAGTTAAGGTGAACAAATTTAGCCAAAGCAGGAAAACACAGAAAACAATGACACTTTGACACATACCATGGGGAGTAATATGCCTCTGCAAAGTATAATCTAATTATTTATTTGAATCTTATTAAATAAAAGAACAGATTCACACTATGAAATGGGTTAATATAAAAGACACCAAGGCCGGGCGCAGTGACTCACGCCTGTAATCCCAGCATTTTGGGAGGCCAAAGTGGGTGGAGCACTTGAGCTCAGGAGTTTGAGACCAGCCTGGGCAACCTGGCAAAACACTGTCTCTACAGAAAAATACAAAAATTAGCTGGGCGTGGTAGCACATGCCTGTAGTCCCAG
This sequence comes from Homo sapiens, assembly GCF_000001405.40. NCBI lineage: Eukaryota > Metazoa > Chordata > Mammalia > Primates > Hominidae > Homo > Homo sapiens. The sequence continues at coordinate 132,271,452 of NC_000009.12, forward strand.
CTACTCGGGAGGCTGATGCAGAAGAATCGCTTGAACCCAGGAGGTGGAGGATGCAGTGGGCCAAGATTGCACCAAGATCTAACAGTGGGTCTATTTCACAACTTAAAAGAGAAACTTTCATAGTATTACACAGGTTTTCACAAAAGAAAATTAAAAAAGCAAATGGTGTTCTCTAACAGTGATAATGAACCTAATCCTGAACTATAAACAAGCAACAATGTATACAAGTATAAAAGAGCAACAATGACAGTAACTCACCCAATTGAACCTTGGATGCTATTTGCTCTGACACACGTAACAATAACACAATCCTTCTGCCGACCCTGGAATGCATCCACAGTGTCTACTTCTGCTGGTCTATTTACAAAAGAGAAACATATTTACTGGAAAAAGGAAGATAATTATTAAGTATACATATTTATAAACTAGTTTTTTGGTTTTTTTTTTTTGAGACGGAGTCTCACTCTGTCGCCCAGGCTGGAGTGCAGTGGCGCGATCTCAGTTCACTGCAAGCTCTGCCTCCCGGGTTCACGCCATTCTCCTGCCTCAGCCTCCTGAGTAGCTGGGACTACAGGTGCCCGCCACCATGCCCAGCTAATTTTTTGTATTTTTAGTAGAGACTGGGTTTCACTGTGGTCTCCATCTCCTGACCTCATGATCCGCCCGCCTCGGCCTCCCAAAGTGCTGGGATTACAGGCGTGAGCCACCGCGTCCGGCTTAGTTTTTTGGTTTTTGACAGTCTAGCCTCACTCTTGTCCAGGCTGGAGTGCACCAGCATATTCATAGCTCACAGTAACTTGAACACCTGAGCTCCGTCTCAGCCTCCTAAGTGGCTAGGACTACAGGCATGGACCACCACCCTAATTTTTCCATGTTTTGTAGAGATGGGGTCTTGCCATGTTGCCCAGGCTGGTCTCAAACCCCTGGCCCCAAGCAATCCTTCCACCTCACCCACCCAAAATGTTAGGATTATAGATGTGAGCCACCATGCCTGGCCTTACAGTCTTTATTTTTAAAGAAACTTAAAAAAAAAAAGAGAGAGAGAGAGAGACAGAGTCTCACTGCGTTGCCCAGGCTGGACTCAAACTTCTGGGGCTCAAGCAATCCTCCTTGCCTCAGCCTCCCAAGGAGATGCATGCACCACCATGCTCGGCTGCTAAGACATTTTAAAAACATTTTCTTGGAGGTTAGCCTGAATTTCCTCCTCTCTCCATTCCCTGGCAACCACTAATACACTTCCTGTCTCTACAGATTTTCTTATACTGTGAGTTTCACATAAATGGAATTACAAAATGTGATTATTTGTGACTGTTCCCTTAGCATAACATTTCCAAAGTTCATCCATGTTGTAGCATGTAACAGAACTTCATCCCTTTCTTCATTAATATTTCATTGTACCACATAGTACAAGTTATTTACTTAGTGTTAAGGTGGCAGCGCTCCCCAAATTGATCTACAGATGTAATCCAACTGCCTTTTTTACAGAAATGGTCACGCTGATACTAAGTCTTTGGCTGGGCATGGTAGCTCATGTCTGTAATCCAAGCACTTTGGGAAGACTGTGTGAACTCAGGAGTTTGAGAACAGCCTGGGCAACTTAGGAAGACCTTGTCTCTACTAAAAATGAAAAAACACACAAAAAATGCAAAAAACAACACAACACTAAGTCTTCCAGTCCATGAAAACAGGATGTCTTCACATTTATTTAGGTGGTTTTTTTTTTGTTTTGAGATGGAATTTCGCTCTCGTCGCCCAGGCTGGAGTGCAATGGAGTGATCTCAGCTCACTGCAACCTCTGCTTCCCGGGTTCAAGTGATTCTCCTGCCTCACCCTCCAGAGTAGTTGGGATTACAGGCGTGTGCCACCATGCCCAACTGATTTTTGTATAATTAGTAGAGACAAGATTTTACCATGTTGGCCAGGCTGGTCTTGAACTCCTGACCTCAGGTGATCCACCCACCTGGGCCTCCCAAAGTGCTGGGATTACAGGCATGAGCCACTGCACCCGGCCTATTTAGGTGTTCTTTAATTCCTTTCAACAACGTTTTGCAGTTTTCAGCGTACAAGTCTTATACTTCTTTGGTTCTATTTATTCCGAAGTGTTTTATTCTTTTTGATGCTATTGTAAATGGAATTGTTTCAACTTCCTTTTCAGATTGTTCATTGCTAGTTGCATCAAAATATAATCAACTTTCACATATTAATCTTGTATCCTGCTAAGCTTATTATCTCTAATAGTGCCTTTGAATGGCTTTGTTAGGGTTTCTAGAAATAAGATCATGCCACCTATGAAGAGAGAGTTTTACTTTTTTCTTTCCAGTAAAGATGCTTTTTATTTATTTTCCTTACTTAACTGCTCTGGCTAAAACCTCTAGTACAATGTTGAAAAAAAGCATTAAGAGTTTCAAACATCTCTCCTGATCTTAGAGGAAAGGCTTTCATTCTTACCATGAAGTATAACGTTAGCTATGAGTTTTTTGTAAATGCCTTTTATTAATAAAAAAAGTTCCTTTGTATTCTTTTTTTTTTTTTAAATCATCAAAGCATTTTGGGTTCCGTGCAACTTTTTTTTGTATCTACTGAGCTGATTATGTGGGTCTCCTCATTCTTCTAATATGGTATATCATATTGATTTTCATATGTTGAAGCAATCTTGCATTCCTGGGATAAATCCCACTTGGTCTTGATGTATAAATCCTTGTAATAACCTGCTGAATTCAGTTTGTCACTATTTTGTTGAGGATTTTTGTATCTAGTCATAAAGGATTTGGATCTGTAGTTTTCTTGTGATACTTTCCCTTGGCTTTGGTATCAGTGTAATACTGGCTTCAAAAAATGAATCTGAGTGTTCTATTTATTGGAAGCATGTGAGAATGACTTGTGTTCATTCTTCTTTTAATATTTGATAGAATTCACCAGCTTAGCTTGGTTCTGGGCTTTTCATTATTGGGAAATGTTTCATTATTTGTTATAAAGGTCTGATTTTTTCTTTTTTTTTTTTTTTTGAGATGGAGTCTCGCTCTGTCACCCAGGCTGGAGTGATGCAGTGGGGCAATCTCAGCTCACTGCAGCCTCCGCCTCCTGGGTTCAAGCGATTTACCTACCTCAGCCTTCCGAGTAGCAGGGACTACGGGAGCGCGCCACCACGCCTGGCTAATTTTTGTATTTTTTTTCAGTAGAGATGGGGTTTCACCATGTTGCCCAGGCTGGTCTCAACCTCCTGACCTCAGGTGATCTGCCCGCCTCAGCCTCCCAAAGTGCTGGGATTACAGGTGTGAGCCACCACACCCAGCCTACAGGTCTGATTTTCTATTGTTTTCTAGATTCGATTTTGGTAGTCTGTGTGCTTCTAAGTTAAGATGATTTTAAGGTTATGGATCTCCAATATTTAATCTTTAATTTTACTGCTGAGGTAAGAAGGAAACAAAAACATGATTTTCATTCTATACATAAAGGCAATACAAGGGTTAAATCATTTATTTAAAGTGAAATGTTACTTTTAGTCTTGCTAGAACAAGAATTCAGATGAACAAGTCATGGAACTAAAAGGTAAAGACCTGGCAAGTTTCTTAGTCAATTCCACTGCCAAGGAGAATGTTGACATTCCAACTGCCAGGAAGTAACCTGTCTACCCAGGAGCCACACAGCACAAGTCTATGAAAGCCAGCAGCATCCCAGCTTCCTCGTGCCGTATCACCAATTTGCACAGACCACTCCTTAAGAGTTTCCCTTTTCTTCTTTCCTTCTATATCCTCTCATTCTAATTCAACAAGAAAATTGGAAATATTTATAAAAATGCCTCACCCTTTTCTATCGAACTCTTTGTCCAAATCCTTCTGAATCATCGTCTTCTGGGCCTTGTAATGAGTTATTATGCCAATGTTTCGAAAACTAACATCCTTTCTTTTGTCTTTAATAAGCTTAATTATTTCCATCACCAGTTTTATTTCTTGAACATTTATATATGAGCTAAACAAGATGGAAAAAGAAAACACAGTGTTATCAAAACTAATAGCAGGCTAATTGCTAACTTAAGTTCCACTGAGTTTGTTTCCCATTATAGTAAAGGGCAGGCAGATAGGCTTCATCTTTTATTCAGCTAGCAGTGACTCCAAGAGGCTGTTACAATGACCATTAATATGGTATATATGAATAAATGTGAAAATACTATGGTAAATATGAATACATGTGAAATGCCCAGTGAAAAATGAAGTTGTAGAGAGAAAAGAGTTTGAAATCAACTGAAGTTTAGGCACCACTTTCTTCATCTGTTGAAACAGGGAGAGCAGTATTAAGAACAGCAGTATTAATAAGAACAAAGATGTGAATAAGAGATAGCTAACATGAATTAAGGATTAACTATCTTCCGAACACTGAGAAAATGCTTTACATGTATGATCTTCCTTGTCCCTCACCACTGGCTGCATACAACACACACCACACAACCGAGCAGCTGCCATCCACACAGACTCAATGTGAAGGATGTGTCCCACTTGACCCCAGTTGAACAACATGGGGCCCTGGAGCAGGTTCATGTCCTCTTTGTAGTCCTCAGCAGCCTCATATCCTGCACTCTCAACCCCTCCTGAAAACACATGCTCCCTCATGACCATACCGGACCCAAAATGCACCAAGACCAGGGGATGCACTGCCCCATCCCTTGATTCCTGAGGCTACCTTACCCGCCTTGCTTTACGAGCCTTAAATACCCATTCTCCTAACTTTGAGACTTACTAAATGGACAACCCAATCAGCTAGCGATCTCTTCCATCCCTGAAATCCTCATGATGCTCTGCGGCTTAACTCGCAATCCTCTGCTCTCCTCCAAGAGGCCTCATTAAAACCTTTAGGCTGCAGTCCCTCCAGCACTACAATCCCATGGCCAACAACTCCTCTGTATGTGTAACCTCTTCAATGAGTGTTCCCTACTTCCACCTCTGTATCTTATCTAACGCCTGATTCTCGCCTGAGGACGCCACCTGCTCTGCAGCCATCCCATGATGTAGAAGTGGGATTTGTGTTTCCTCCTACTTCATGACAGAGTGGCACTTGTATCCGTGCCAACAAATGCTGCCCCTAGACCATTCCTCCCCTACTCTCTCACAAGAATCCCCAGCTCCTCTGACATTGCTGCTTCTAGCAACACCACTCCTCTTTGCTGTCATATACAGACCACCTGAACACATGCCCTTATTCACAACCCAATACCATCCAACCTCTGTCACTACTTCCTTCCTCCCTTTCACATTTTCATTCAACTGAATTTATACTTAGCCTTCACAGTACTTAACCCAACTGGAATAACTGCTTACCCAGGTGATGACCTGCTGAAGGCCTGTCTTCCCATGAGACCACCATCTTGCAATGGGCACGTCTGTTTCCCTCACTGCTGTGAGCTCAACAAGTATCTACTCAAGCACTTGCTTATGACATTAGGTAATATTATCCCCATTATACAGAAAAAAGAAGCATCAACTTAAGTGAACATGACTGTGCCCTGACACTAGGCAGAGAGATGTGTATAGGAAATGTATTTAACAGAAATATGAATGCAAATCATGTAACAATTCTGGGACTATCAGAGGACTGAGGCAAGAGGAAAACATACTCATTATCCCGTCTTTCTGAACCATCTCCAACATCAAACACAAGGTATGGCTGAAATGGCCAATCTGATGAACATCGAATGGCTTCTGTCTGTCTGTAAAAAAAAAAAAGCAGTCAACATTCAGAATAAAGTCAAGATTTAAGAAAATATCTTGGTATTACTACAATTTTTTCTGTGTGGTGATGTGGGCTGGGGCAAGTAAGGGGATAGCAGGAATATTCTTTTCTAGACGTGTATTAGTGAAAGGTACAAAACAAATTCTATTTCTTTCCTGGTGCTGGGAGAGGTGTCTATATCATTAAAATATAACAAGTATGATTGGAAAGACACTCATAATAGAGTAAGCCACAGAATACTATGTTAAGTATGGTCCCACATTTTTCCTTCAAAAATTTAAAAAGTAAAAAAAGATATGCATAGTAAAAGGACTGAAACTTGGCCAGGTGCGGTGACTCTCGCCTGTAATCCCAGCACTTTGGGAGACCAAGGCGGGTGGATTGCTTGAGCTCAGGAGTTCGAAAGCAGCCTGGGCAACATAGCGAAACCCCGTTTCTACAAAAAGAAAAATACAAAAATTAGCCAGGCATGGTGGTGACTGAGTGTAGTCCCAGCTACTCAGGAGGCTGAGGCAGGTGGATTGATTGAGCCTGGGAGGTCGAAGCTGCAGTGAGCCAGGACTGTGTGCCACTGCACTCATCCTGTGTGAGTGACAGAATGAGACCCTGTCTTCAAAAAAAAAAAAAAAAAAAAAAAGGACTGCTGAAAGTGGATATACCAAAATGTTACCAGTGATTATTTCTGGGTAGTATAAATATAGGTGACTTTTTCCCCTTTTCTTTTTTATGTGCTTTGCTGTATTCAACATGATGGCTATTATAACAGGACAAAATTATTAACCCTTCATGATTTATGCTTTTTATGACAAGACCTAAGACGACAGTAAAATGTCTATTCTTCATAAGTAGCTAAACTACAACAAAATAAGGTCACAAACAATAAGGGGAACTCACCTATTTGTTTTTAAGTTTCTGTTATAAACATAATTAGAAGGGAAGAGGCATATGTCTGGATGCATCCTGTACTGAACAGTGAGCTGTAGAATGGGCAGCCTGCTGATCATGTTGTGTTCTACATTCTCTTCCAGCAGTCTGCAGAAGCGAGCCATCATTGACTGGTCGTAGCCATACTCCTGTGCTTTCTGTGAGGGGCAAAATAAAGCAACAGTTTCCAAGAATTCATTTATATCTTTCCCACTATTATAAACACAATTACTGAGATCTAATACGTATATGGCAACGTTCAGGTAGCATAAGATTACCAACCACAGCTTCAGAGAAAAAAGGTGTTTCTGACTCTGAGCCTCAAAATGCCATGAATCTTTTTTTTTTTTTTTTTTTTTTTTTTTTTTTTTTGGAGACACAGTCTCGCTCTGTCACCCAGGCTGGAGTGCAGTGGCGTGATCTCAGCTCACTGCATCCTTCACCTCCCAGGTTCAAGCGATTCTCATGTCTCTGGCCTCCTGAGTAGCTGGGATAACAGGAATGAGCCACCACACCTGGCCAAAATGCCATGAATCTTGAATATATGTGGAGGTCTTTTCTACTCATATACTGCTAATGAAAGAGATATGATCTTGTGAAAGACAACTGATGCTATTTTGATGCTACAAGACGCCACCCAAAAAAACCAGTAATAAAGGAAATGTAACACAGATTTTAACAATTATTTCTGGGGGTACACCCTCACAGACAGACATATTGAATGCCACTGTAAACAAGCCTTTTGAAGACAAAATTCTTCATTCATCCATCTAATATGTACTAAGCATCTATAATTTGAAGTGCTAAGACCACTAGAGTGAATAAGATGAAGTCTCACAGGACTTAATTTCCAGTGAAGGAAACAGACTCGACTTATGTGTTGACCATCCCTAATCCAAAAATCCAAAATACTCCAATGAGCATATCCTTCGAGCGTGAACTTTAAGCATAAAGTCAGCACTTGGGAAGTTTCAGATGGTGAAGCATTTCAAATTTTTGAATTAGGAACGCCGAAGCTGTGCTAAATGGATTTCACAAACCAAATAATGGGTTATATTCTGCAATCTGAAAAACAGTGACCTAAGTGACAAGTGGGATAAACTGTCTTGATGTTACCACAGTTGTGCCTTGGGATCTACTTTCCGATGGCAGCAACACAGAAAGTTTCAAAAAGGGGAGGGGGAGGGATAGCATTAGGAGATACACCTAATGTAAATGACGAGTTAATGGGTGCAGCACACCAACATGGCACATGTATACATATGTAACAAACCTGCATGTTGTGAACATGTACCCTAGAACTTAAAGTATAATTAAAAAAGAAAAGTTTCAAAAAGTACTTTATCTTAAATAACCCTGAAGTAAAAATGTGCTGAAAACTTCACTAAGATGATGGAATCTTCATGAGTGATGTGAAAGATACTGGCACTGAAGACGTGCAAAGCCTGAATAAACTTGTTTCACAAACTATGGGAGTGGAAGAAAGGCATTACTTCTTAACCTATTTATATGTGTGATTTTAAACAGGTTTGTGAAAGCATAAAATAATTATTAATAGATACATGCCAATTTTCCCTAAATCCTCAAAAGTTTATCTGCGTTAGCTCACAAAACCTAATTTTTAATCTTTTCTTTGGGGAAACAGAAAAGGAAGTTATGTAAGGTAACGCATCTACCTCCAGACAAAACCTTAGTCCATTCTACAAATGACATAGATTTATTAATATATATTCTGACATGGGAGGATGTCCCTGATTTACTGATTGAAAAAAAAACCAATTCTGCACAGAATGATTTTGCCACCTTTAAACAAAACCAAACCCACGTACATATACACATAAACATATACATGTATACAAACCATATACCACTTTTTAGTAACTGACTCACTGTTAACCCCTAGAATACAAACACCATAAGGGCAGGGATTTTGTCTGTTTTCTTCACTGTCATAACCCCAGCCCCTAAACAGTGCCTGAATTATGGTGGCACTCAATATATACATACTGAAAAAGACGAATAAACACACAAATGCCTAGCAATATCTGTTAAAAATACTCACTTTCACTGTAATTACCACTAGAAACAGGTGGTCAAAAAAGGCACCTTATGGAAATGAACTTTGTAATTATTTTCTCAAAATAGCCTGTTTTATTTGTACAACAATTTAAACAGCACAAATGGATTTTTTTTTTCTAATTTTTGTTGTTTTTATCAATCATTGAAGTAGGCAGTAAAGTTGAGGCCCATTAACAATCTCTCTTTTCACTATATGCCAAGGCCCTTCAATGAAATCCTGCATCATTTAAAGAAATGGGATACAGAATTTGCTCTTCATTATTCTCCGTGAACAAAGTTACCTGCAGCAGTTCTTCCCTACACACACGGGTTTTCACTGGGTGACGGGTGTGCTTCTGGGCCACACTCTAACATGATCATGTACCTGCGCTCAAATGTCATACAAAGAACTGCACTATCATTCTGAATAATTCCGAAATCAAAAACCACTAACGATAACCACCTGCATTCATTCCAAGCTTCAACAAAAATGCTTTGAAAATGATCTGTTCTCTAGGATTATTTATGAAGCCACTGCTCAATTATCTGTATAAATAATCTATGTTATTAGTAAAAAATACACATTTCATTAAATTTCAAAACCTCTTCAGATTACTTCAAAACATCTACTGGATCCTGATTCTAATGTGCATTTCCAGGAGAATCTTTCATGAGATTAAAAAAAACCAACAGAGAAGAGTAGACTACAGTCTGGTTCTTCTCTTCCCAAAGTCAGAGCTTGTAATTGAGTCTTTTTTTCCCCTGTACCTTCACTTTCAGATGATGTGAAGGGCACAGACATGTTCTTGTATTAACACTAGAATACCAAATTCTAAAAATGGAAATGTACTCCAAAATTAATTTAACTTCATGTTTTCCTCAATTTGTACATATTTAAACAAAAATGAGGAGGGTAGGATTCTTCTCTTTATTTCTGAAGTTTTTCTTTTATTATTGTTTTGGTGTTTGTATGATTAAAATAAATCAGATTCAGCTCTTAAGAGACTTAAAAAAGGCAGACATGCACACTGCCTTTCCCAAAGCTTGGTTTCCATGGCACGTCATCCATCTAGGCTTCCAAGTCCCTGCCACACTGCTTCTGCCACACATACACAGAAGAACAACTATGACCAAATGGACATTTTTAGGCATTTTTTAAAATTTATTAAGTGCTTCTCTTTTCTTAGTTACTGCTTACTTTTCCCTCCAAATTAAGAGGCCAATCCAAGAAAGATGTCTCTCCCTCCTGAAAACAAAAATTTTAAAAAGCCCCTTCCATTTTAAAGCAATCTGAACATAAAAAACTTACCATAGAGATGACTGTCGGAGGGAGCTGCTTAGGATCTCCTACTAGGATGAGCTTATTGCAGCGATGGATGAGTGGAGTAAGAGTCTCAATTTCACAAGACTGTCCAGCCTTGGTAAGATACAGAAGAGAGAGGCAGTCTTAACAATCTTTGCTATTTATCCATATAGTTTATCTGATTAAAGTTCTAACCATTCAGAAAAGTATCACACTTCTCCTGCACCAAATATCAAAAATACAAATTTTCCCTGAAAACAAAAAAACAAAACAAAACCAACAAAATAAACCCTCCAGGCTGTGTGCAGTGGCTAACACACGTAATGCCAGCACTTTGGGAGGCCGAGGTGGGTGGATCACCTGAGGTCCGGAGTTCAAGACCAGCCTGGCCAACATGGCGCAACCAAAAAAATTAGCTGGGCGTGGTGGCAAGTGCCTGTAATCCCAGCTACTTGGGAGGCTGAGGCAGGAGAACTGCTTGAACCCAGGAGGCAGAGGTTGCAGTGAGCCGAGATCACATCACTGCACTCCGGTCTGGGTGAGTGCAGACTCCGTCTCTAAAAAAAAAAAAAAAAAAAGCAAGACTCCGTCTCAAAAAAAACAATAAATAAATAAAAAGTAAACTCTCCAAACATGTCTAAAAAAAAAATCAAACTTGTATTTTTGAAGTCAGCCACCAACGGGGCCACTACCACTTGGGAACCAGCCGTAAGTTCAGAAGGCCATGCACATCCTAGATGCGTGCTTTTTGTTCCTGCTGGGCATGAGCCTGAAAAATTTTTCTCCTTTAAAGTCCTTTTAAAACTTTATTTTAAATTTTTTATTTATTTTTTAACTTATTTTTTTTTTTTTTGAGAGAGAGAGTCTCACTCTGTCACCCAGGCTGGAGGGCAATGACATGATCGTTGTTCACCGCCTCCCGGGCTCAAGCAATCCTCCCACCTCAGCCTCCCGAATAACTGGAATGACAGGCACACACCATCAACTCCTGGCTCATTTTTGTCTTTTTAGTAGAGACAAGGTTTCACCATGTTGCCCAGGTTGGTCTCAAACTCCTGGGCTCAAGCGATCCACCCTCCTCAGTCTCCCAAAGTGCCAGGATTACAGGTGTGCACCACCATGCCCAGGCCCTTTTCAAAACTTTGTATTTGAGGTTCAGAAATCACATTAGGAGCGTCCATGAGTGTGTTTCCCCATATCTTTCTTCCTTGTTCCTCAGCATGCCTCTTTGATGACAAGACTCAAATTTCTCTTAAATTCAATGACATTTTCTTCAACTATTTAATCATTTCCACTTTTTGTCCTTTCCTTCTGGTGAAAACTGGATCTTGGGTCTCCTGATCACTCAATTCTCTGGTATCTCCTGCTCCATCTCTTTTGTCTTCTGACTCTACGTTCTGACAAACAGTACGTACCCAATAAATGTTTGCTCAAAGAGTGAACTAGGAATAAAAGACATCAGGTGAACATACTGTGGCTCAAAGCTATCCAAAATTATATTAAAACTACTTCAAAAGGTTACCAGAGATATTCTAAGCAGGAGTGAGACAGTCACTCAGCAGAGATTTTGTTAGAAACCATCAGTCATCCTCAAGACTAACCCCCAATACTGGAAAATCCACTTTCACTATGGAGGGTCATTAAGGAGTATATTTCTACATAAGGGAATACACAGGTAATAGCAAGTGAAAATCAGATGCAAAAAAAAAAAACACATTTCCTCAACATTTCAGCAGCCACAATTCATCTAAGACTTACTCCTCATAGTAGTAGTCAAAGTTGTATGGCTGACCGTTCACTGACCTCATCAACAATGACACAGCTGAAGGGGACACCCCCTTGCCCACGGAAAGCAGACTCAAGTAGTAAACCACCACTTGTGCTCAACGTGCAGCAGATGATATGGGACTCTAAGATGATGATACTCTGTGTTTTCTGTGGGCGTCCTTGAACCTAAGAGAACAAAGGTTAAATCAATATTCAGCTGTACATCAATCCTTGACTATGACAGGCCTATGTTTACTATAAAACACTCACTATTTATTAAAATAGATTTATGACAGAAAAATATTTAGTAAAAGTTAGGGGAAACCCTCAAATCTAGGAAACAGCAGAAACATTTAAGATAATCACAAAGCAGAAAGAATGTGTGCTTCGCGGCTGAAACACAGAATATGATTTAAGCACATTAAAAATTTTTATCCAGGGTTTGATTTGGTCAAAGTAGATTACAATCCTTCCTGTAGTCAGATATATGTAGGTAGGTATCTGAAGTAGAGATGTAATAATTCTGAGTTGTGAATTATATGAGTAAAACCAGGGGTGGAATTCAGCCTGAATGTACATTTTTCTGTTAGTTTTTAAGTATATAATATTGCCCTGTCTTTTTTTAGTGCTTTTGCTAGTACTAACAAAAATGCCTGTGAACCTGACAAATCCTCTATTTCCACAGTAAGGAACAGTCTGGTCTCCCTCTCTAACGCAGTGTGCTGTGATGGAGCCGGACGTGAGTGACGCCTCACAGTCACACCTACACTGCTCAGTCAATCAGCATTTCCAGCAGAGATTCAGTTTGCTGCTTTTTGCTACTAAGAAGTAGTGGTGATTCATCTCAGCACATACGATATATTCAACCATGGAATTCAAGGCATTCGTGTGAGCTTTAGGAAGAGGGTGGCACTGTGGTCCTCCACGGCTCACACAGTAAAGCACTGTCAGACACTGTCCTCAGCCACCTAGTGAGTACAACTGCTGAGCATAGTTTCATGGCCCACAGAACACATGTGATGAGCAGCAAAAAACATCTGTGAAGATGGACTTCATCCTTGACTCAGGAAAGATTAATCTGGGGTTCTGTTTAAAATCTGATTAAAATCTGTTTAATCAAAAGCTTTCACATAACTTTTAGTTTAAATAAACTGCTAATGAAAATATGCATTAAATTCAACTATATTTTAGTCACATAGAGAAAGATCATAATCCATTCAGGAGGAAACTTCAGCAAAAATACTACTAACGTCATCAGTTACTATTACCCTCTTTCCCTGACCCCAGTGTGGTTTGATTAGGGCTGCATTCTGACAATCAGGGTATACACCTGGCTCGGCCAAGCTTCAATGAGTCTAAATCTTACAGGATATTTTCACATCCAAAAAATACTGGAGAAAAGCTACAAAATGTTACAGGAGTCTTATGATCCAACACAAGTACAGGGAGTTTATGCTCTAACCCAAGAATTGCAAAAAACAAAAACCAAATATCAAAGTGCTGTACTTTCTTTTGCCGAATTCTGCCCACCATCACTCTACTTCTATCCAGGTTGGAGCTCTGGAGGGCTCACAGTTGCCACCCTCATCCTAAAGCTCATACAGGTGACTTTTTTTTTTTAATAGTGAAAACACCCACAAAGCTATTTTTTTTGTTGTTTTTTTTTTTTGAGACGGAGTCTCGCTCTGTCACCCAGGCTGGAGTGCAGTGGCGCGATCTCCACTCACTGCAAGCTCTGCCTCCCAGGTTCACGCCATTCTCCTGCCTCAGGCTCCCGAGTAGGTGGGATTACAGGTGCCCACCACCACGCCCAGCTAATTTTTTGTATTTTATTAGAGACGGGGTTTCACTGTGTTAGCCAGGATGGTCTCAATCTCCTGACCTCGTGATCCGCCCGCCTCGGCCTCCCAAAGTGCTGGGAGTACAGGCGTGAGCCACCGCGCCTGGCCAAAGCTATTTTCATTAACTGTTTATCTGATGATAATTATCATAATTGTTTTTTGCAGTTTATGGGAAGCAGAAATAGAGCACCTTATAAGAAAGAATTTAAATATTTACCAGACTTAAAACAAAAAAGATAACTTATAACCACCTCTTAGAAATCTTAGATGGTGGTAAGAATTCATTCTTAGGTTAAAGAAAAAAATGCAAATGTTGTTACACCATTTTCTCCACTTCCACAGATGTTTGTAATTTTTCATAACAATTTAAAATGTAACTGAGAAAAGCCCATAGCTGGCCAGGCATGGTGGCTCACGCCTGTAATGCCAACACTTTGGGAGGCCGAGACGGGGGATGACTTGAGGTTGGACGTTCCAGACCAGCATGGCCAACATGGTGAAACCCCATCTCTATTAAAAATACAAAAAAAGGGCCAGGCATGGTGGCTCACGCCTGTAATCCCAGCACTTAGGGAGGCCGAGGTGGGCGGATCACAACGTCATGAGATGGAGACCATCCTGGCCAACATGGTGAAACCCCATCTCTACTAAAAATACAAAATTTAGTCGGGCGTGGTGGCGCACACCTGTAGTCCCAGCTACTCGGGAGGCTGAGGCAGGAGAATCACTTGAACCTGGGAGGCAGAGGTTGCAGTGAGCTGAGATTGTGCCACTGCACTCCAGCCTGGCAACAGAGTGAGACTCTGTCTCAAAAAAAAAAAAACACAAAAGAGGCCAGGTGTGGTGCCTCACGCCTGTAATCCCAGCACTTTGAGGGAGGCTGAGGCAGGAGGATCATGACGTCAAGAGATCCAGACCATCCTGGCCAACACGGTGAAACCCCGTCTCTACTAACAATGCAAAAATTAGCTGGGCGTGGTGGCACACGCCTGTAATCCTAGCTACTCGGGAGGCTGAGGCAGGAGAATCGCTTGAACCCGGGAGGCAGAGGTTGCAGTGAGCCAAGATCACGCCACTATACTCCAGTCTGGTGACAGAGCAAGACTTCACCTCAAAAAAAAAAAAAAAAAAAAATTAGCCAGGCATGGTGGTGCACGCCTGTAATCCCAGCCACATGGGAGACTGAGGTTGCAGTGAGCTGAGATCATGCCACTGCACCCCAGCCTGAGAGACAGAGTGAGACTCTGTCTCCAAAATAAATAAATAAAAGCCCATAGCTTGTCTGAACAGTCATACTTAAATTTTAAAAAGAAAAAAAAAAAAATCAAGAAAATGCTACAGGTGAACTACTTACCTCTTTAATTTTAGAAGCAAGTTCCTGCCTTTCCTTAGAAACTTTGGAAATGTTTTCATCTAATTCTTGCCTCTGGAAAAAAATTCAAATGTCACAATTAAAACTAAACTAAGCATTTTTAAATGCCTTCCAATGGACTACCTCTAATTTTAAAAGAGCCTGTATTTCACCAATGAAAAATGTATTTACCCAGCTTATTTCCTCTTTACCACTGGAGTCCTGACACACTCTGTATGCTGCTGCGTAAGACTCAGCTGTGTTCTGTGCGCTGCACGTGAGCTGTCTGCTTAGCATTCCAGCACTGGGAGCATCACGCCACCCTTAACTTCCAGGTGATTCAAATGAGGCTGTAAATCACACCCCAACCATTCCTCTGGCCACAGTGATGGGCATCTAACACAGGCCTGGCCAATCATGCACCCATCTTCTTAAAAATAGGGATTAGACCTGCTTGCTCACCCAGGGACTAAACTAACTGCTTCTTTGGATATATGGATGCTAAGAGAAAGACTTTCTCTCCCTCTGGGGTTTCAAAGCTGAGATGGTGGAAGCCCTGAGATGCTGACACTCACCTTTCTCAGAAGAAATGGCTGACACACAGAAAAACAAATTATGGAGTGGAGAAATGATATCATGTGACCCTCTGGATCCACCCATACTGAAGCTAATTCCCTTTCTGTCTAACCTAATTTGAACTGGGCTCAACATGCAACTGAAAGGCAACTAATAAACTCAGTATAGCTTTAATATAAGGCAGTACAGCCTATAAGCCAAATGCAAGGCCATGTGCAGGGACTCATGCCTGTAATCCTGGCACTTTGGGAGGCTAAGGTGAGAGGACTGCTTGAGGCAAGAAGTTCAGACCACCCTGGGCAACATGGCAAGACCCAGTTTCTACAGAAAACAAACAAAAAAATTAGCCAGGCATGATGGCACACGGCTGTAGTCCCAGCTACTCAAGAGGCTGAGGCAGAAAGACAGCTCACTTGAGTCCAAGAGCTTGAGGCTAAATTGAACCACAACTGCACCACTGCACTCCAGCCTGGGCCACAAAGTGAGACCCTATCTCAAAAACAAACAAAAACGCAACACCCCATCTATTTTCGTAAATAAAGTTCTACTGGAACACAGCCACATCCATTTGTTTATGTATTATCTATGGCTGCCTTTGTGCTACCAAAAGCAGAGTTGAATAGCTGCAACAGAAACCAACCATATGGCTTGCAAAGCCTAAAATCTTTACTAGAATATCTTGCCCTTTACAAAAAAGTTTTTAAAAAGATTTTTAACAAAAGTAATTTTAATAAAAGAAAAAATGAAAAAAAAAATTAAAACCAAAAGGACAAAAAAAAAAAAAGCAGAAAGAAATGTGTTAATCTGAGACACATTTTTAGTGTCTTAGTACACATTTTTATACATGAATCATGCCATTCCCCAATAAATAAAGGGCATTAAATACTCATTAATTAGGCTGGTCGCAATGGCTCATGCCTGTAATCCCAGCACTTTGGGATGCTGAGGTGGGCAGATCAACTTGAGGCCGGGAGTTCGAGACTAGCCTGGCCAACATGGTGAAACCCCATCTCCATTAAAAATACAGAAAATTAGCCAGGTGTGCCGGCACAACCTTGTAATCCCACCTACTCGGGAGGCTGAGGCAGGAGGATCACCTGAACCCAGGAAGGTGAGGCTGCAGTGAGTCAGGATTGTGCTACTGCACTCCAGCCTGGAAGACAGAGCAAGACTCTGTCTCAAAAAAAACTTGTTAACTAGTTCGTATACCTGAGTTATTATTCAAGAAATGCAAAGATACCTGTATTTCCCGTCCACCTCGGCATAGAGCTCGCTGCCGGGAAAGCTCATCCAGCTGATAATCTAGAAATTCCTTTCTTTTATGCATCGCCTGAACATGAGAAGGTAACTCTTTTTCTAATAAAAATAACAAATAAAAAATTATATGCTATTCTAATTCTAACAAACTCACACACATATACAACACAATGAGAAGGAAAATTAGTTCCCAAAGCCAGACTAATTCTGGAGGCTTCAAATTACCTTTAGTGCCCAAGTCATTTTCCACCAAACAAAACAGAGAAAACACTAGTATATACCACATTCAGTACTTACTCATTCTGTGGTTTACTTGGCTGTCCAAACTGAACTTTAGAACCTCACTATTAATAGACTTTTCTGGACCCAGTCGTACTAAATTTATATCTCCACAGTTTCCTGTTGATAAGAATCACAGTTAAGGACTAATAAGGACACTGCTGATCAATCCTGTCTCTATACATAGTATCTATATTTCTAAGTAAATATGTTAATAATCAGAGAAGGGAGCAAACATGAACTTCCAATTAACCAGACACCAGGGACTACACCACAAACTTCTTATACATTATTTCAGATATTGTTCCTAACAATCCTATAAGGCAAGTAGTTATCATTTCTACCTAATAAAGGTTAGCAAGGCCATCTAAACAGTACACTACAGAGTTGAGATTCTATTACAGTAACATTTTCAAACTATGTTCAGTAGGACATTCCATAGCAAAATAGTTTCAAGAAAAATGATGAGATAAAATAAACGAAGCAGTTCTCTCATGTTGGGGAAAGGGCTTGTGGGGTGCCTGCATAAACCAGCCATAAAAATATGGAACAGTAAGTTGTAGAAAGCCACAAGAGGCCTCTGAGGAGTAAAGCCTTCTAATTGCCATCATGTTCCCATGACCAGAATGTGACCTGCTCTCCTATCTATAAACACTGTGCTCAAGGAGAAAGATACTCCTTTGAAGCACTGGAATGTGGCCAGATATGCCAGCTCCTAGTTAGGCCCACTCCCCACAGCTGCTCTCTGATAAGTTAAAAAATAAATCAGTAGTTAAGTTTATACTGCTTCAGCACAAAGAAAATTTACCTAAACCGCCATTCCTATACATTAGGTGTATGACACACGGCTCTCCTTTCACCATTTCACTATTTATTTCAATAAATAGTGTGGAGATCATAGCTTGGAGCCTTTGCAGCCTCTGATTTGCTCTGGCCCCCTGGTTCCCTCCTTTATGAACTCTTAACCTGTCTCTTCTCATTTCTTTGTCACCACTGCACTTCGGGTACCCTACGGGTGGTATTGAGGCTGATCCCCAACACTCTTAACTGCAGAATATTTCAAAAACTTTTATATGTTATATATTAATATGTAATTTTCAGAACAGAATCTTATTTGACCATCGAGCCTTCTTTTGCAGAATACTCAGAATAAAGCTTTTAAAACTATGTTCCACATCACCTTGATACTCTAGAAACTAAGGGACACAAGATGATAGAAATTCTTGGATATAATAATTGCAAGAACTATAAAAACCAATTTAACCTGCCTGTTTACTAACCACATTTTAATCTCAGGTTAACACATTGCTTTCTTCTTGTCCTTTTGGTTTTAATGTTTTTGTTTTTTTCTTTTATTATAATTTCTTCTATTGGGTTTTTTAAAATCTTTTTTCTGACCAGGCACAATGGCTCACGCCTATAATCCCAGCACTTTGGGAGATATAAGTGGGCAAATCACTTGAGGTAAGGAGTTTGAGACGAGCCTGGCCAACATGGCAAAACCCCATTTCTACTAAAAATAAAAAAATTAGCCAGGCATGGTGGCACACACCTGTAATCTCAGCTACTCAGGAGGCTGAGGCTGGAAAGTTGCCTGAACCCAGGAGGTGGAAGTTGCAGTAAGCCAAAGATTGCACCACTGCACTCCAGCCTGGGTGACAGAGCAAGACTCCGTCTCAAAAAAACAAACAAAAAAACACCTTTATTCGTCTTTATTTTTTTTCCCACGTGTTATTATTTTATTTAAAAATTCTCCATTACAAGGCTGGGCACAGTGGCTCACACCTGTAATCCCAGCACTCTGGGAGGCCAAGGCAGGTGGATCACGAGGTCAGGGGTTTGAGACCAGCCTGGCCAACATGGTGAAACGCCATCTCTACTAAAAATACAAAAATTAGCTGGACGTAGTGGCACATGCCTGTAATCCTAGCTACTCGGGAGGCTGAGGCAGGAGAACTGCTTGAACCCAGAAGGTGGAGGTTGCGGTGAGCTGAAATCGCGCCACTGTACTCTGGCCTGGGAGACAGAGCGAGACTCCGTCTCAAAAAAAAAAAAAAAAAAAAAAAAAAATTCACCACTACAGCCAGGTGCAGCGGCTCAGGGCTGTAATCCTAGCACTTTGGGAGGCCAAGGTAGGCAGATCGCTTGAATCCAGGAGTCTGAGACCAGCCTGGGCAACATGATGAAACTCCACCTCTATCAAAATTGACAAAAATTAGCCAGGCGTGGTGGCCTCCCCCTGTGGTCCCAGCTACTTGGAAGGCAGAGATGGGGGTATTGCTTGAGCAGGGGAGGCAAGACCAGTTTCATAAATAAATAAATAAATAAATAAATATTCCCCACTATATCACTGGGCTAAATTATGCAATCATGTAGAGTTTGTCAGCATTTATTCTAATTGGACACGTCACAGTTATTTGTTTACTGTCTATCTCCATCCTTTAAATGTTAAGCCCCAAAAGAATAGGGTTTTGATCACCACCTAGAAGAGTGGTGGGCACATAATAAATACAATGATTATATGAAAAATGAATGGCTTATTTTTAGTTATCTACAGCATATTTTTTATCCCAGTTCAGCTCATTTTCCTAAATTTAAGGTCAACATTTACTTGAGGGTTTGAAAACCTTTTTTTTTTTTTTTTTTTTTTTTTGAGACGGAGTCTTGCTCTGTCTCCTAGGCTGGAGTGCAATGGCGCAATCTCGGCTCTCTGCAAGCTCCGCCTCCCGGGTTCACGCCATTCTCCTGCCTCAGCCTTCCGAATAGCTGCGACTACAGGCGCCCCCCACCACGCCCAGCTAATTTTTTGTATTTTTAGTAGAGATGGGGTTTCACTGTGTTAGCCAGGATGGTGTTGATCTCCTGACCTCGTGATCCACCTGCCTTGGCCTCCCAAAGTGCTGGGATTACAGGAGTGAGCCACCTCGCCCGGCCTGAAAATTTCTTAATTCACTTACGTTTCCACTAGAAAGGTAGATGAGATTACCTGGAAACCCACCTACTATAAGCACCCAGAAATGTTCCGCAAATTATAACAGATATCCTTTACACTGCTGGGTAAGCTCAGGGGAATGTTAAGAGAAATCCCTAGAGGCCAAAAACAGAGAGAGAGCTGAAAACCAGATTTGAAAGCCCCTGAGCTGTTGTGGCACCCGTAAGGGAGCAAGGCTGGGCAGTGTCTAGGTGCCTGGGTGTCTGTTTTGTTCTTTAACATTCTTGAGGTATAATTTACATTCAGTAAAATGAACAGACTTTAAAATTCTATTGAGTTTGACATTGCTAAAGCTACCATTCCAATAAAAACATATAAATTTCTACAATGGGAGCTTGCTAATGCCCACAAGAAAGTAGAGGGGCCTGAAAGAGGTGGAAGAATTAAAAACAAGTGTAATTATCTTGGCTTAGGCTCAGCTGGGCCAGGAAAAATGATTTTAATTAAAATATAAACTATTAATCAAGTGATTTAATTAAATTTAATTCCATCTATTAATTACTGATTTAGATAAAATAATTTTAAAATAATTTATTTTTTCTGGCTTACAAAAAATAAATTTTCTCCTTATACTTTCCTACCCCTAAGCCTGTGTCACATGTGCATTTAGGGAATAAATATATAATACAGCAAACGTGGTCAGGGGCAGTGTCTCATGCCTGTAATCCCAGCACCTTGGGAGGCTGAGGCAAGAGCATTGCTTGAAGCCAGCCTGGGCAACACGAGGAGACCCTGTCTCTACAACAAAAATTTAAAAATTAACCCAGTGTGATGGCAAACCTGCAGATCCAGCTACTTGGGAGGCTGAGGCAGGAAGATCACTTGAGCCCAGGAGGGCAAGGCTGCACTGAGCCATGATCATGCCAATGTACCCCAGCCTGAGCTGGGGTACAAAAAAAAAAAAAAAAAAAAAAGAAAACATGATTAGACTTATAATCATTAATGACATTTAAACAGCAAATAGAAATTTACTTATTCTGTTAAAAAAAAGACAACAAATAAAGACAACAAATACAATACTAATAACAAATTAGCCTTCAAGAAATAGACAAGCTGTCTTATACAAAACATTCCAAAGAATAACAAAAAAGTTCCCAACTCATTTTTTTTTTTTTTTTTTTTTGAGACAAGAGTCTCGCTCTGTCACCCAGGCTGGAGTGCAGTGGCGCGATCTCAGCTCACTGCAAGCTCCGCCTCCCGGGTTCACCCCATTCTCCTGCCTCAGCCTCCCGAGTAGCTAGGACTACAGTACTACAGGCACCCGCCACCACACCTGGCTAATTTTTTGTGTTTTCAGTAGAGACTGGGTTTCACCGTGTTAGCCAGGATGGTTTCGATCTCCTGACCTGGTGATCTGCCCGCCTCTGCCTCCCAAAGTGCTGGAATTACAGGCGTCAGCCACCGCACCTGGCCCCAACTCATTTTTTAAAGCCTGTGTAACTTCAATACTAAAACTAGACAAATACAGTGTAACAAAAATTACAGGCTGGCCTCATTTATGAACATTAATTTCAAAGTCCTAAATAAAACATTAGCAATCTAGCAGTGTATTAAAAACTAATACAAGACACCAAGGTGTCCTTATTCCCTAAGAATCAAAGATATTTTAACATCAGAAAAATACTATAATTTACCATATTAACAGATTAAAGAAAATTTTCATTACCATTTGAAGCATGCAATAAAATTCAACACCCATTCATAACAAAAACACTAATGAGAAAGCAACTCTTTAACCTGGTAACGGGTATACACAAAACCCAGAAGCATTATACTTAATGGAGAGACGTTCAAGTCATTTCCTTAAAGGAGACCCAGGACCACAGGAAATAGTGAAAATGAAAGTACTGAAAAAGAAAAAAAGGTCTCTGTACTCAGAGAGGATATCATTTGCTCTCTTATTTATTTATTTATTTAGAGGCAGTTTCACTCTTGTTGCCCAGGCTGGAGTTCAAGGGCGCGATCTCGGCTCACTGCAACCTCCACTTCCCGGGTTCAAGTGATTCTCCCGCCTCAGCCTCCCGAGAAGCTGAGATTACAGACCCGTGCCACGACGTGCAGCTAATTTGTATTTTTAGTAGGGACAGAGTTTCACCATGTTGGTCAGGCTGGTCTCAAACTCCTGACCTCAGGTGATCCATCCACCTTGGCCTCCCAAAGTGCTGGGATTATAAGCGTGCGCCACTGTGCCCAGCCTGCTAATTAAAAAAAAAATAAGGCTGGACGTGGTGGCTCATGCCTGTAACCCCAGCACTTTGGGAGGCCGAGGCAGGCAGATCACGAGGTCAGGAGATCGAGACCATCCTGGCTAACACGGTGAAACCCCGTCTCTACTAAAAAAATACAAAAAATTAGCCGGGTGTTGTGGCGGGCGCCTATAGTCCCAGCTACTCGGGAGGCTGAGGCAGGAGAATGGCGTGAACCTGAGAGGCGGAGCTTGCAGTGAGCCGAGATCGCGCCACTGCACTCCAGCCTGGGCGACAGGGTGAGACTCCGTCTCAAAAATAAATAAATAAATAAATAAATATCCAACCTAGACACCTCGTTTGCCTCACCTTAGTCCTGGCCCGGCTGTGCAGTCAACATACACCTGAAAAGCAGCTTAAGCTCACGCCACCAGGGAAAGTTAAATTAAAACTACCAACTGTACACTGCACAGGGACTGCTCTCAGGAGCTAACTGGTACAATCACTTTCAAGAAGAATTTGGCACTACCTAGAAAACTGAAGATGTACAAACTCTTGAACCCCCACATTTTCAATTCTAGATATACATATGCTAGATACCCATGTTTTAATAAAGTTTTGTAATGCTCAAGTTTGAAATAAAAAATTGAAAAGAAACTAAATTATCAATGAATAAATGTTGCACACCTTCAATGAAACACCCTATAGCAGTTAATATGAGTGACTGCAGCTATTCACAAAATCAATCTCACAAATGTAAAGGCAAGTGGAAAAAAGTAAATCAGAGACTGACAATGTATTGTATGTTTTAAGAGCAAATGAATTCTACGTGTAGGTAATACATATGTGATACAAAGGAAAATGTGTGTGATTCCTCAGAATAAAGATGACATGTTCCAGCCTCTCTTATACCTCGGTGTGGCCGAAAGGAAATAAGCAGAGGCGCTATTGGCAGGACCTAGAAACTTTCCTTGTAACATAGCTAGTATGTTCCCTCTGCCCCTTCTTCATCTTTTCCTCACACTTGCTGGAGCTGGAGCAGCTATCCTGACCGCAGGTGCACTCGAGAATGGAGGCCACACATGGTGAAGCAACCAGATGGAGGCTGGGTCTCCAAGGACTCTCTAAGGCAGAGTAGCCATACCAGTGACTCTGGTACCAGTTCTGAACTGCCCACCTCTGGGTTTTTGATTTTTAAAAAAAAGAAGTAAACTTCTGTTATATTTAAAAGCCACTGTATTTGGAGTCTGCTAAATCAAATCCTGTTAAAAGGCACTGTTAGGTATCCTTAAGGAAAACTAAATTTGGTAGGGAAGACAAGACATATGAGCTTGGAAAGGTCATCAAATACAAAGCCATAACTATACCACTCAACACAAGTGATATGAAAAATAAGTGTTAAGGTTAAATAAAATGAAATAATTTCACATCTTCACTTTAGTGCCCTGAATCATCCGTTGTAATGCTCATTATTATCTACATTCTACCGAAAAAAGTTATCCCTCTAGTGTATTTAACATTTCTAAGCTTCAGTTTCCCCACCTATAAAATACAGATGGTAGGGTTAACACCAAGTTCATGGGATTATTTTGAGAATTACTGACACACAGTCAACACTCAGTGACTGTAAACAATGACTGTTTTCACTGTTTTCAATAAGCTTGTGCTTACTCAAAGCCTCATCTTTCACCGCCACCTAATGCTCTGGGAACCTCAAGAACCATCTGAGGCTCTCTTGCCCTGATTCTTTTTTTTTATGGCAATCTCTGCTGCTCAAGTACTCCCTAACCCTCTACTGCCTGTGGCTAACTCCTAACTGCCCTTCTCTAACCCTCACACAACTGAATCAGGGTCCCCCTAAGGTGTGTGGAACACCCCACATTTTAGCCTCACTGTGGAACTTATCACTCTGTACTGACCTCTCCACTTCCTCACTAGGCCGTGTGTCTCCTTGAAGACTTCACTGATGAAACCTCAGTACCTGGCACAGGCCCTGGCACAGGGTAAATGTTCAATGAAATACTTGCTAAATGAACTCACAAGCCACAGATTCAAGTAGAAGCTATTACCAGGACTGGCCTGCTCTTTCCTTTGTCATTCAAAGTTGCCTACACTTAACACTGAAAACAAAAACAAATTTAAAATCCACAAAAGTATCATACCTAAAGGATTCTTCTTGTCTTTACATTTTTCTTTGAATTCAAGGATAATTTTTTTCATGAGTTCATCAACAGCTGCATTGGAAGGTGCACACACGAGGACACGGTTTTGTTTGATTTTGGCATTGGAGTTTTCGTCTGAATGCCCCTTCCTCTGGTTCTACAATTTGCCACATATACATACCAAACAAACACACAAAAAATATGGGTGAGCTCTATTACATAGCTTTAAAGTTTGTCTTTACTTCCATGTATTTTTGAAAGTTCTCGTAATAAAGTTAAAAATAAATAAAAGCATCTACATCTAACACTGATATTTAAAATTACTCCAGCAAAAAAATTTGTCATAACTGCTCTGAGCCTTACTTTATCATCCACTTACTTTAATGAATACTCAATCCAAGCCAGGCACAGTGGCTCACGCCTGTAATCCCAGCACTTCGGGAGGCCGAGGCGGGCGGATCACTTGAGGTCAGGAGCTCGAGACCAGCCTGGCCAACATGGCGAAACCCCATCTCTACTAAAAATACAAAAATTAGCTGTGGGTGGTGGTGTACGCCTGTAATCCCAGCCACTAGGGAGGTACTCGGGAGGCTGAGGCAGGAGAATCACTTGACCTGGGAGGCAGAGGTTGCTGTGAGTCAAGATCGTGCCACTGTACCCTAACCTGGATGACAGCGAGACACTGTCTCAAAAAAAAAAAACAAAAAACCACAATCCAACCAAAATGCAGCCCAGCATTCACAGCATTCTACGTGACCTACCGTGAAGCCTGAAGACCATCATTCTAGTCCTTACGATTTGTTTCACATAAGATAGTGGTTTTTTCCTCTTTTTATTTCCCATAACCTTCCCTCCCTCTGCCACCCTTTTCTCTGACACAGTTACACACAATATAAAAAATATATACAAATCAAAGAGGAAATGGCATGTTAATACTTATTTACATGTCAGTTAACTCAAGTAAAGTAAAATGATACAGCTAGTTAACAGCATCAGTGCCCTCACCCATACCTACCTCTGTCAGTAGACGATAGAGGAGGCCAACAATAGTTTTTGATTTTCCTGTTCCAGGTGGTCCATGAATCAAGCAGATTTTGGCAACTGATGGTGAGTGTTTCACCATAGCATATGCAGTTTCTATTGCTTTCTTTTGATCTTCATTGAAATCTCTTAAGTACGCAATCTATATAAAAAACACATTTTTGAGAATGAGTTGCTGTTTCTGTAGTGGAATTTGAAAGGAAGAACATGAAAAAGACCTGTCCAAATTTCTTTCAATGCATGAGACAAAAGCTTTGGTTATGGTCAGACAAGACAAGGACACCAAAGTGACCTTTAATCTAAAAAGCACGTTCACTACTGGAAAGAAAGCTAATTACTTACTAATTACTAATTAGTGTCTGTAACGCTTCAAGTACTTACAAATACAACTGTACTTTTATTTTTTATTCTTACAAAGATAATCACAATAAATTGCATTTACTAATCCACAACTTTTCTTCTATTTACTACTCTGTTTTTTTCCTTCTTTAGTCAATTTTCTCCTTAGTGAAAACATCCCAAGACTATTTATTTCCTAGCACATGTGATACAGTGGAAAAAGCATGTATGCCAGGGGAAGATCTGGGTGTAAGCTTCACTTGCACTTACAAGCTAGGCCACTACGCTCCTAACCCAAGCCTTGGCCTCTGTTACTCATTAAATCTAGGATTCCTTAAGAGGTGAGAACAGACTGAGATAATGCACATGAAAGCCATAGCATACAGCTCTAGAGTTTCTAAATAGTTAGTTTCCTTTTGCATTTCTCTGTTAACTTCCTAGAGTTTATACACAGCTTCACATGTTCAGTTGACAACTTCATCTTTGCATTTCCAACAATACCGGCCAATTCTCCATCAATCATTCAAATGTAAATTTAACACCACTAAACCTGAGACTTCTCACCTAATGCACATTAAGTAGGCTGCTGACCTAACATTTTAATGTTGCTCTTCCAGCAACCTTCGACGCTTATTGTACTGTACCTTTTCCTGAAGTGAGCTGACTTAACCTAAATTACATACTTTGCAATACTAAAGAAAACTAACACTAAACTGTTCACCGTGAACACATTTTTGTTGTAAACATATAGGAATACATAGCAGCTAAAAAATATGATGCTTTAACATCTTAACATGAAATTATCTAGTATCATACATCATCACTCACAATTCTCTCAGATGTTGTAGTCAGTAAATCTTTTGTACAGAAGTCCATAGGGTTTGGATTCAGAACAGCTCTAGCCAGTTGGTTCCGACTACCCAACAGAGACATGGCTTTCAACTTCCTTTGTGTAGTTACCAGAGAACTGATTACAATACAATTCACAAGTTCGTTTAAATTGGCCGGAAAGTTCTCTTGAGTCTGGATGGAAAGGTAACACTCAGTTTTCCCATTACGCACTATCATCAAGAAAGAGAAAAAGCAACTTCAGTTATCACTGAATAATGCTGCCTAGTTGTAAAGGTCATGCAGAATTAGGTATTTTTAACATATTTTTGGATATTATTTACATAATTTACCCAGTAAATATTTATGGACTGCTTCCTGAACCCAGTAATGTTCTGTCCTCCGGAGGCTTATTTTCTAGAAGATGGAGGCAGATAACCAAATAAATATGTCAGGTGGTAGTAAGTGCTCTGAAGAAAGCACACAAAGGGAGGAAGTGATGGGGATGGAGGCAGATAAGCTGGTCCGAGAAGGTCTTCCTGATGAAATATTTGAGCAGAGACTTGAAGTAAGGGAGTAAACAGTACTCAGCAGAGGGTAAATAGTACTACATGCAGAAAATAAGCAACTGCAAAGATCGTAAGACAGAGATGTGCCAGGAATATTTTAGAAATAGGGAGAAGGCTAACATGGATAGAAGGAAAAATAGGGAGAAGAACGCTTAGCGACTCAGAGTAAAACGGGGCTACATTTTATAGGGCTGTGCAGATCACAGTAATGACTCTGAACGCTATTCAGGATCAGGGTAGAAAACCATTGGGCACTCTGTGTAGGGAAATAACATGCTCTATCTCACAAACTAAAAGAACCACTCTTACCTCAGAACAAAGAATAACTACAATGAGAAAAGTACAGAAACAAAAAGACCACTTACAAGGTTACCATAGTAATTTAGGTAAAAGTTAATGACAGCTTGGACCAGGAGGCACTAGTAGACGTGGGAACTGGATTTGGGATATATTGCAAAGGAAAAATCAATCATATCTGCTGACAAATTAGAAGTGAGGTGTGAGAGAAAGTAAGGATCATGGATAACTCCAAGGTTTTTGGCCTGAGTAACTGAAAGAAGTGAGGCCCCAATTAACAAGATGGGAAAGAATGAAGGAAGTGCAGATGTCAGGCAGAAAATCAAGTGTTAACTTTTGGACTAGTGGATTTGAAATGTCTAACACATTTCCAAATGGAGGTATCCAAGACATGATTTTGATCTATGAGGAGTTCAGGGAATGAGACTGCCTTAGAACTATAAATTTGGCAAAGGTAATCATTTTCAAGAGCCAAAAGCACAGAGTAAGCCATCAATCCTCACTGCAACTCTTCTAAATGTATCCTATATTCTACAGAATTAAGCCCTGATCACACAAATAAACATGGTACACCTGTTATAATGCAGTACAATGTTGACACACTTTATTGCTATATTAATATATCATGCAAAAAGGAGAAGGAATAATGAAATAATGTTCTTCTCTTCACATAACTAAGACTAAAAAAGTTGCAATTGCCAAAAAGGCAGTTTGGCATAAGAAAAACAATGTGGACTTTGCAGTCAACAAAAGCAGGCTTCAATTCTGGACTTACCAATTAACACTGATGACAGCCTTGAAAATAGGTTTACTTAACATCCCTGAACCATGATTTCCTGGGGAGCAAGGAATAATTTCTTCTACCTTTTGGGGCTTTGGGGAAGATTATAAATGTACATAAGAAGGACAAGTCTCGGCTGGGCGCGGTGGCTCACGCCTGTAATCCCAGCACTTTGGGAGGTTGATGGGGGTGAGGAGTTCGAGACCAGCCTAGTCAACATGGTGAAACCCCGTCTCCACTAAAAACACAAAAAATTAGCCGGGACTGGTGGCGGATGCCTATAATCCCAGCTACTTGGGAAGCTGAGGCAGGAGAATCGCTTGAACCCAAGAGGCGGAGAGTGCAGTGAGCCGATACAGCACCACTGCACTCTAGCCTGGACAACAAGAGTGAAACTCCGTCTCAAAAAAAAAAAAAAAAAAAAAAAAAGGGACAAGTCTCACTGCATACATCTGGTA